>NT_167248.2:1008898-1342182 GCF_000001405.40 Homo sapiens
GAGGATTTCAGACGCAAGGAAAACTGGGAAGGTGGGAGGATAGAGGAGGGGACTGAGGAACAGAAGAAGGGGGAATGGGGATGGCAAACTTGTAGGCCAGGTGCCAGGGCAGGGCAGCCACAGGCCCCCTCAGGGTATAGGGAGGAGGCCAATGGAAGGGGCTGCCCTGCAGGTTCAAGGGAGGAGCATGAAGGCAGTGGTGGAAGGAAGGTCTTGCCAGAGGGGAGAGCAGAAACTGTAAGGGACCCAGGCTCAGAGGGACCCATGACCACCATGGCTGTGGTGCACAGGTAAGGGTGAGATGGAGGCAAGGTCCACTGCCTTTGAGGAAGGCTCAACATGGACAAGGTGGGGGCAAGGGAGACTTGGCTGTGAGGCAGGAGGGGCAGGTAGGCTGTGGTGCCAGAGACGTTTTCTACGAGGTCCATATCCCAGGGAGAAGCAATGGTGTGGGCTTCAGAGTGGCATGGCAATGCCCCAAGTAGGGAGGTGGATGGACCAGTTGGTGTCCCCTGGGGTGGGCTGGTGGCAAGGGTCTTAAAGAGTCAGTGCATCTTTTCAACAAATGGTGCTAGGAAAACCAGATGTTCACATGCCAAAAAAAAAAAAAAAATGAAGTTGGATCCCTAACTTACACCACATATGAAAATTAACTAAGAAAAACATCAAAGACCTAAACTCAAGAACTAAAACTGAAAAACTCTTACAATAAAACATAGGGAATTATCTTCATGCCATAGAATTTGATAGCACTTTCTTGGATATAACACCAAAGATACAAAAACAAAGAAAAAATTGATAAATTGGACTCATCAAAATAAAAAAGTTCATTAAAAACACAATAAACACAGTGAAAAAGCAACCCCCAGAATGAAAGAAAATATTTGCAAATCATATATATCTGATAAGAGATTAATATCCAGAATACATAAAGAACTCCTACAACTCAAACAGGAGACATTCAACTAATACAAAAGTAGGCAAAGGACTTGCATAGCCAATTCCCCAAACAAGATGTACAAATGGCCAACAGACACATGAAAAGATGCTCAGCATCAGCAGTCATTAGGGAAATGCAAATCAAAACCACAATGAACTATTACTTTACACCAATTAGTTTGGCTATTATCAAACACACACACACACACACACACACACACACACACACACAGAAATATCAAGTTTGGCAAACAGGTTGCGAAACTGGAACCTTTGTGTAATGCATTTGGAAATACAAAATAGGGCACCTGTTATGGAAAACAGTGTGTTGATTCCTCCAAAAATTAAAAAATGAATTACCAGCTAGGTGTGGTGGCTCACGCCTGTAATCCCAGCACTTTGGGAGGCTTAGGCAGGCAGATCACGAGGTCAGGAGATTGAGACCATCCCGGTCAACATGGTGAAACCCAGTCTCTATTAAAATACAAAATATTAGCTGGGTGTGGTGGTGGGCACTTGTAATCCCAGCTACTTAGGAGGCTAAGGCAGGGGAATCACTTGAATCCGGGAGGCGGAGCTTGCAGTGAGCTGAGACCGCGCCACTGCACTCCAACTTTGGCGACAGAGGGAGGCGCCGTCTCAAAAAAAAAAAAAAAAAAAAAAGAAGCAGTTGGACACACGGCCTGTGTTGGGTCTGGGTAGAGGAGGACAGATGTGCAGGGCAAGGACTGGAGGATGGGGTGAGCATGGTGTGGGGGTGACCCTGGGGGAACTTTGGTTAGGGTGAGGACAGGAGGGGAGGGTGCTCTGAGTGAGGGTGGGGCTTGGGAAAGATGAGAACTTGCTGAGGGCCCAAGGCAGCTGGGCAAGAGGTAGGAGCAGCACAAGGTCCCAAGGCGGAGAGGGGCGGAGGGACCAGGGAGGGATGGTCCAGCACCCGTGGGCTGGAGTGGGGGGTCCTCAAGAGGGTGGGGCTGAGGATGAAGGAGTAGGGAAGGGGCCACCGTGAGGCAGGGCCCAGAGCAGGCACCTGCACTAGAGGGGAGGGGGCATCTGCCCTGCCCTGTGCCCTGCCTAAGGCCCAACCAACATTAGCACTAGGGCTCCCCTTGGGTGGTCTAGAGGGGAGTGGGACGGAGGGAAGACCCTGGGACAAAAGGCGGCACCAGAGAGTTAGGGTCAGGGAGAGTTAGGAGTGGGAGGCATAGGGGCAGCCCTGGGTTAAGGCTGCTTCTAGGAAAGGCCCATAAGGGAGGCAGGAGGGACCTGCGGTGGCGGGGGCAGGGGATGAGGCAGAGGACATCCTAGAAATGTATCAGAGAACTGCAGATAGGAAGGGGTAACAGGGAGCTGGGAGGGCAACAGGACCCAAGGTGCCCTGAGGGCAGGGGAGGAGGTGGGAGGGAATCTGGTGTCCTTAGATCACCGGAGTTAATAGTAGCAGGGAAGGATGCAAGACAAGAGAGGATCCCCGGCAGCGGGAGGCCAGGGGAGAATGAGCTGGGGATGAGAGAAGTCGCAGGAAGAATCCTCTGCCCGGAGCCTGCAGACTCCAACCCCTCAGCGTGAGGGTCAGGAGCCCCACAGTCCCCACAGCAGCAGGAAGCACTAGCTCCGGGTCCCGAGAAAGGAGGGCCCCAACTCCAGGAGATGCGGCCCAGGAGCTGAGAACACGTCGGCTCCGGGAGAGGACAGGGCTTCAGGGACCTTAGGGCCGCCCCCAGCACCGAGGGAGGTGGCTGCCTCAGCGGCCGCGCTGGAAGGGCCCTCGAATGCCATTCACAGGAGCAGCCCAGGAACCCAGGGGCCTCAGAAAGACGGGTTTGTCCGAAAAGTGAGAGGAGACGGAGGAGAGGAGAGGAGAGAAAGTGCAGGACAAGACCAGAAAATGCAGGGGGCGGGTGATGAGCGATCCCGAGGAGGACTGAAAAGAGACGTGGAAGCAGGGTTGAGGTGTGGCGGGAACGGGCCGCGTCCACTCCCCGCACCCCCGACAGCGCACCTGAGCCCCGCCTCGGTCGCACAGCGCTCGCCGCTACCCACCCGGACCCCCAGAAACGCCCCGCCGCTGCCGCTCCGCCGAGGACCGCCAGGAACCCCACTTACCAGCAGCAGCTCCCTGGGGTGCAAAAAGGGCAGTGCGGATCAGGAACAGCAGGACTAGGCTCATCTCCATGGCCCAGACTTTGCTTTCCTCGCAGTGGCTCAAGCGGCTGCCAACCCAGCGGAGCCGCGAAGGCCCACCAGAAATTTCCTGTCACCTGGCCCCACCCCAGTGACCGCTCACCCAATGAAAACTGGCGCCCGCAGCTTAGGGCCAATCACGAGCTTGGAGGGCGGGGCCACACTCAGAAGGGAACGTTCCAGCGGTCAGGAGACCTGGAGAACTTTGGCTGGCGGGACCTGGAGCCCAGAAAAGGGGGAGCGCGCGGAAGCGCCGCCAAATGCGGGGACTGGCTCCGAGCAGCTGAGAGTACAGCCCCAACCGCATGAGCACGACCTGGGCCCTGCCGCCCTCCCTGTATTGCGACCACCCCATCCCCGCACCCCCACCCCTAGGATAGCGTGCCTCACCAAGACCGTTTCGCCAGCCACCCCATCAAGCTGACTGTCATTCGCTTGTTCTTTCCAGGACACACTTACAGAAGAGACGAGGCCTGGTTATTCTTCCAACACACTCCCCTCAGCCGCGCACAGCGTTACTGGCTATGTGGCCAGTGACCAGATTTGCAGACCTGTTTCCAGACCTCAGCTACCTCTGTTTCTGAAGCACCTGCCCCAGCTGATCCGCTAAGACGACAAATCTCTTAGACGTTTCAGCTTTACAATCTCCTTCTCCTCCCTTTTACTCAAAGCTAGGTCCCCTTTCTTATGGTCACTTCCTGTAAGTGTGTGAGGTCTCCCGGGGCTGCCTCTCTATTCAGCCCCTGGGTGATCAAAAGGCCAAGGAGGCAGCTTGCCAGTGTCCACTCCAACACCAAGCTCTCCCCAGACTCCCTTTTCCAGCCTGCTTTAGGACATCTGTACCTCTGAGACCATAGTAGCTTCCAATGTGACAGGTCTACAAGGACACTCTACACGTCTCGCATGACATCATCCTCTCTTCCTCCCCTGTTTCTCTTTCCGTGGTGCCTTCTGATTTCCCCCTTTTCCTTCTCAAGTACTCAAAGCTCCTCCAACCCTATTTTGATCCCACAGCCACTACTTTAGTCTCGGCTTTCAGCCTAGATCACTGCACAGGATTCAGCCTAGATTACTGTACAGGCTTCCTAAACACTGTGACTGTCCCAGCTATAGTCAGAGTGCTCTAAGACCCCCACAGCACCCCATGTGCTGAATGTCACACGTGAGGTCTCTACCATGGAAGCCACAGCTGCCACAACCTCCTGTCTGTCACCACCCCCATTTCTCTGGTGACATCCCTCTTTCCAGTGTTGCAGTAAAAGTGGGCTCCCCAATCTCCTTGCCCTGTCCCACCGGGATGCCACTGCCTAAGCAGTCTCCTGCTTCCAGATTACTGTCACTTCTGCCTCTGAGCCCATTAGACCGTGTCACATCCTTAAATCTTCCCAATTAGGCTGGTCAGAGTGTAGCGGTGTTTACAACTAATTGATCACAACCAATTACAGATTTCTTTTTTCCTTCTCCGCTCGCACTGCTTTACTTGACTAGCCTTTAAAAAAAGAAAATCTTCCCAATTAGATAATAGCGACTGTGGCACGATGTTGTGATTATGCTAAAAGCCACTGACCAGTACATTTTTTTTTTTAACCAGGAACACCTGCACTTTATTGAATGCCATTGTAGAAAAGTGTGTGAGGATAAAGGGCTGATACAGAACTCAGCTCTGGGGCCAGGACGAGGAATGGAAGTTGGAGTATGTGGAATACAGGTCATGGGCAGAGCTCCTGGCCTGGATGATGCCTCCTGATCTATCGACAGACTTGGAAGATCAACACTAGGATGATGATGGTGAGCAGAATGGTCATGATGATGCACACAATCAGGGCTCAGATGTTCAGGTACTTGGCAGTGGAGGCATAGGCCTGGGCCCCAGTCAGGTCTCCAACCATCTTCCTGTCCCTAGACTTCAGGGAGTAGGTGAATGCTATGAATCCCAGGCAGTGGGGGTTCATGAAGAGGATGTTGGACAGGGACCAGACAACATAGTCAGACACAGGAGGTCTCGCTGCAGATATGGATCATGGTGGACATTGGGGGAGCAGGGTTGTGGGGCGCCCCCAGCACAGCCACCTCATGCTCCTCCTTGAGCATCTCATAGCTGGGGTTGGGGGGCGGGGGAGGGCAGCCACTGTTGGCAGGAATGAAGAAGGTTTGGGCAGTGTGGTTCATGGTGTCCAGCAAAGACCAGCTGTGGTCAGGTTGCTGGGATGGTTCTGAGTGGGCCCTGGACTGTACATTTTTAAATGGTAAATTACGTGGCACATAAATTATATCTCGATAATAAAACACCATGCAAAAGCCTCTTTCTACTGAAAGAATCATCTCGTCCCCAACACACACGTCTCTTACTCTTTGGAACATCTAGCCAGTGGTCCTCAAACCTAGCCACTTCACAGAACCACCTGGAGAGTTTTTAATATCCACGGTCCCAGGTCACAGCCAAAACCAATTGAATCAGTAAGGCTAGGTTGGACCTAAGCTTCAATATCTTTTAAAGCTCTCTACGTGCTTCCAATGTGTAGGCAAGTTTTAGAACCACTGTTCTAGCCCATGGTTTGAACCTCCCTGATGGGTACCAACTTTGCCTGCATTCTTGAACTCCATCTACTATTTATTTATTTATTTATTTTTAAGAGGGGGAGATCTCACTCTGCCGCCAGTTGGAGGGCATCAGTGTGATCACAGCTCACTGCAGCTTCAGATGCCTGGGCCCAAGCAATCCAGCCACTTCAGCCTCCTGAGTACCTGGGACTGTAGGTGAGTGTCACCATGCCCAGCTGTCATCTACCATCTTGTACCATCCCCCACTACACGATGAACAGTCCATGATCTGGAACTGTGTTCATTCTATCTTTGTCACTCTTACAAACATTTTTTAAAACTGAACTATACCTATAATTACTAACCATTCCTCTTAAAACTCCTAGCCTACACATTTCTGTGAGTGAAAATTTAAGCATCACAGGGTTTTAACAATTACTTAGATTTCCCATCCACATTCACTGATTATTTATTTTGATCATCATAATCTATTGCGCACAGCAGGGACTGGGGTCCTGTCCCCACCTTAGGGGGATTATTTACACTCCTAAAGATTACAAGAGTAGTGAGGGGCAGAGAGGTGGTCTCAGCTCTCCTGACAGAGGTCTCCCTTCCCTCCACAGTGTCTACCCTCCCTCCAGGACGACCTTCCTCCCTGTGCCAGCTCTAGCAAAGGGTCTCATTCAGCTCACCCCAAAAAATACTTTTAATACTTAAATAACGACAATAATAATAATATACAAGGTTAGTTCCAAGGCATGTAGAGGTGATGGCCAGCAGAGGTGAAGCCAATCCACCCTTTCTGGGCTAGGGGAAGCCCAGATGGTCTTCCGCTCGGGGTGAGGCACTCCCCAGGGTCCAGGCCTGGCTGCCCGTCCCCCACCAAGTCTCCCAGGCCTTCTGTCCAATGCCCTCTCCCTCCACCCCACCTCCAGCCCCTTCTGCTCTGCCCCATCAACTACGTTTTCTTCCTCAGGACTCGCCTTAGACCTCTGAACTCCGGGGCACAGAGGCGACTTCCTCCTCGCAGACTTTAGGCGCCACTGCTGGGTCCGGAAAAGAAAGAGAAAGGACCCAGTGCGGTCGCTTACAGAACCCAGGGCGGGGTTGGGCTGGGCGCCCGCGCGCGTTTTCAAGCCTGCGGCCCGGAGTTCACTGCGAGGACTGAGATCACCCGTCACCCCGCCCTGGTCTACAAGTGTTTGCTGATATAGAAACGGAATAACGGCGCTGTGGGCTGGGGAGGACGGAGTTGCCTTCAGGCTTCTGGTCTCCAGCCGCGGGGCACTCACAGCTGCCGCTGTGAAAATGCAGACCTGTGGGGCAGGAATTCCGAGTCCGGGGTGGAGCGCGATGTGGAATCTGACTCGCTTGAAACAGCACCGCGGTGGATTCGGATCCGGGTGAGTAGGGAAATGCGCCTCAGCCCCTCCCACGGGCCGCCCACGGATTCCAGGATCCGAAAACGCTTCCAGCTGCTCCGCCACCCCAGGAAGGCAGCGCCTGCCTCTGGGCGGTTCTGACGGAAACTGGCTCCTCCGCCTGCAGGAACACTCACAACTAAGGGGCCAGGAGAAAGCCTCTCAGGGTCCCGCCCCTTCAGTGAGGATCCTAAATTTACATCCCGAGTGTGGCCCCATCAAAGACTGGAGCGACGTTCACTGAAATGATACAAGACCAGCAGGGGCGCAGGGCACTGCGGCCCTCAGAATGCGGTGGCAGCGCCGCCTCGCGTCCCTTCCCCGACCTGCCCCAGGCGGACGCGGTGACGTGTGTTGGCCTCGAGGCTGGAATACACCGGGGATCAAGTGCAGAGAAGGGAGAAAGTAGGGAAGGATGGCTGGGGGGTGGGGGTGGGGGGAGCGTGTTGAAGAAAAAAGGGAAGAGAGAGGAAGGAAAGAGGAGAAAAAAGGTGAAGAAGAGAATAACATTTAAAATATAGAGTTTTATTATTTCTAACTTTTATTTTTGGTTTTTATCTAGTTTTGGTATGTATGAATATTGTTAACATAGCTTTATCTCTGTCTCTCTCTCTGAATCTGTAAATATACAGTAATATATATACACACGTAAGCCTCTACCTGCCGATGTGTCAGGGTGTGTCTCTTGGGCACAAAAACAAGGTTTTTGTTTTGTTTTGTTTTACATAAGCAAAGTACAAATCTCAAAGAAGATATATTTTAAAAGCCATTTTATTGGGACTTGCTTTGCATACAATCAAATGTATCTAAAATGTATCTATTTGAAATGCATAGCTCGTTGTGTTTTGGCTGTTGTACACACCCACATCTCCACTACCACAATGAAGATGTAGAACATTTCCATCGTCCTCCAAAGAACTGCTATGCAATACAATTTTATAGGGTCATAAAAGAGGTAAGATCAGTTTTAAGTATTGTTATGAGAAGATGTGTGCGTCTCATACTTTTAACCATTTATTAAAAGATGAGGATATACTGAATTATAATGCCAGTAATACCACTTCCATAATGTATATTTTAAGTAGGGAAAAACCTGGAAGATTTCTCACCAAAGTTTTTTTTTTTTTTTTTTTTTGAGACAGAGTCTAGCTCTGTCGCCCAGGCTGGAGTGCAGTGGCGCGATCTCGGCTCACTGCAAGCTCCGCCTCCTGGGTTCACGCCATTCTCCTGGGTTCACGCCATCCTCCTGCCTCAGCCTCCCGAGTAGCTGGGACTACAGACGCCCGCCACCACACTAATTTTTTGTATTTTTTTGTATTTTTTTTTTGGTAGAGACGGGGTTTCACCGTGTTGGCCAGGTTAGTCTCGATCTCCTGACCTCGTGATCTGCCCGCCTCGGCCTCCCAAAGTGCTGGGATTACAGTCGTGAGCCACTGCGCCTGGCCTTTTTTTTTTTTTTTTTTTTTTTTTCTGAGACGGAGTTTCGCTCTTGTCGCCCAGGCTGGAGTGCAGTGGTGCGATCTTGGCTCACTGCAACCTCCACCTCCAGGGTTCAAGTGATTCTCCTGCCTCAGCCTCCCTAGTAGCTGGAATTACAGTCACTCGCCACCACACCCATCTAATTTTTTGTGTTTTTAGTAGAGATGGGGTTTCGCCATGTTGGACAGGCTGGTCTCGAACTCCTGACCTCAGGTGATCCACCCGCCTCAGCCTCCCAGAGTGCTGGGATTACAGGCGTGAGCCACTGAGCCCTCACCAAAGTCTTGACAGTGACTCCAGGGACTACAATAACTTGGTGATTTTCACTTTCTCTGAAATGTTGGAATTTTATATTACAGTATTAACTTGGATTTGGCTTGGCCCGGTGGCTTGTACCTGTAATTTCAGCTCTGGAAGGTGAGGCAGAATTGCTTGAGACCAGGAGTTCGAGGCTGCATTGAGCTATGATTGTGTTACTGCACTCCAGCCTGGGTGACGAATGGAGACATTGTTTCAAAAAAAGAAAAATAAATGCAATTAAAAATAAAAATAAACCTGAATTTGTATGGAGGTTAAGGAAGAGTATATCTCAGTTTGAAACATTATGAAGCTAAGCCCCAAACCCAAATAGTTAGAGATTTTTAAATACCAAAGTGTTAATTAAAACTCAACACCAGAAACTCTCTTTTAAGAGTATCCTTCATATTTTCATGGCATTGACTCTTTCTTAGTGTCTTTGACAGAAATGTTTTTAGTGGAGTAGAGATACATGTAATAAAATTTACAGAAGGGCTATAATAAAGAGGGAAACGCAAAATCGAGTCTGACACAGGAGACCCTGTTCCATTTATACTCAAAGCAACTTTGAAAACTGCGCCGTCATGGTGTCTTTGGGTTGAGACAAAGTCGAAGCAAATTTTGTTCCTAGAGTATTGATTTCCCCTTTCCAATGGCTAAAGGCTTTCGGAACTAGTCTGAAAACTCAGGCTCTGACTTTGGATCTAAAGAAGTGTCAAGAATGTGCGGGCAGTGGCGCTGCATGAATCTAGCGGGTCTGGGCGATGCTCTCTCCGGCTCTACCCAGTAGCAATTGCGGTAAGGACAGGACGCAGCGAAATTGTACCAGTGAGTCAGAGGCCAAAGGAGGAATCCTGGCCCAACAGCGCAGAGTGTGCTTTGTTAAGGTGGGGATCAGGTAGCGGAGGGAAGGCAAGGACACTCGGAATAAATGGCAGAGGAAGAAGGCGCGCGAGGGAAGACCCAAAGCCTTCCGACCCCTCCTTCCTTTCCTTCCTGTTGGGGTTGAAGGGCACCAGCCGGTGGGGTGCAGAGAATGGGAACAACTAGAGAGGGCGTGCCCCACACAGGCGTCCCGGCTCCCTTCTCCCAGCTACTACTGATGAGTTCAAACTAGGAGGACACTAAGACGTGTCTTTTGCAAGGTAGACTCCTTATCTCGCACTCTGTCTGGTTTTCTAAATCCATCCTAATGAAACACAAAAACCAAGAGCCAAATTCTGCGTGTGACTTTTCTGACCACTATAAGGTCCTCCCCCTCCCCATTTCTTGCGTGCTCCCCCCTTGCCTCGCCCCCTCCCCTTTGTCTCCACTTCCCCGCTCCTAAGTATCTCCTGCTTTCTTCAGAGGACTTCTCATGAAGTACAGACTCCTCCACCTCCAGGAAAAAGAGACAAAGTCCACTGAGAAGGACCTGAGGGATGCCTGTGACCCCGCCCCTGAGGTCAGCCCCTCCCGCATCGCTGGCTTTGACTCTGTATGTGTGTGTGTGTGTGTGTGTGTGTTTGTGTGTGTGCGCGCGCTTGTGTGTGTGTCTGTGTGAATGTTAATGGAGAGTCAAAGTGCTAAACTCGGCATCTATCATAGGAAACTTCCTCACCTTGGCACTGCATGCAAGAGTCAGCGTATTTATGTGCACCTGTGCCTTTATTTCAGGAGCTGGAACAATTTTATTCATGAGATCCGCAGAGTGCCAACGCCCCCACCCCAGAAAGCTTAAGGGACTCTGCATTAGAGAAGAGGGTGAGATTGGAGGGGCCCCTGACTCCAAATCTCCTGATCCCCCCCCCACAAAGAGATGCTGAAAAAAAGTGCTGGACAATCCATTCCCTCCTGGGACCAGAGAGGAAGCCAGAGGCACCGTGGATGTCAAATTCCAGCAAAGAAACAATTACAGCAAAATCTCCATGTCACATTTTTAAGCTTACACAATGGCTCAAATAGAACCAGCATCAAAAATCCCGAATTCCTGGTTCAGGTGGGATCACTGAAGTCTGCTGTTAGGCTTGGCAGGACCTGCAGGTAGAAAGAATGGCATCTCTATTTAGAGCTGCAGCCCAGTAGCCCCTGCTTCTTGGGCTCTTTGAAAAGACCCTCTCCCTTCAGCAGTGCACAGTGAGGCCATTTCTGGGGAAGAAATGTAGACTCTCCTTGGGGGAGGTTTTTATACTTAGTTACTGACTTTGCATTCGTTGACTTCATCTTTGAACATCTTACAGTTACATAATTTGCTTTGACTCTAAGTGTAGAACAAGGAACTGTTCCTGAAGCAGAAAACTAAGGGTTGGTGACCTGCACTGTCACCCCTCTCCATGGTGCTCTGATGCAATAAAATTGTGAGCCAACAAATCCATGGATAGGTAAACAGTAAACCATTTCAGCAAATGTTTCAGATGCTCCTTCGTGCCTAGCAATGTTCTAGCTTTACCCCAGCCTTAACATTCTAAAGTTTATATTTTCCTTGGTGTTGTTTTAAAATAATTCATGTATATTTATTACCATGGGTTTGTTGCTGTAAACTCCTGGGAATGAACTGTAGAATTAAGTTAAGTAAATAAATGTGTGATTCTCCATTGACTTATTGCTAACACCATCTTAAATATTTGACCCCAAATCCAATCACTTCTCACTCCTCTACTACTTTACCCCAGAGCCAATCCTCTCTAGGATAGTAAATCAGATGGGCCTTCCAGCTGGGCTGCCTGCTGCTTCTCACACCTGCTGTCCATCACCCATGCAACAGGCAGAGCGAGCCTTTCAAATGGGAATTACGGCACATCCTCACCATCACATCCCACGGACACTCCATCCTCTTCCTTTCTTAGTGCAATGAAATCCCAGTCTCCCACCATTTCCTACTAGCCCCTCAACACAGGGCATCTGTGGCCTCATCCCACTACTCTCAATAGAGCTTGCTGGTCTCCATTCACACCAGCCTCTTGTCACTGCTCTGTTCTTGTCTCTGGCTTAGAGCTACTTCCTGCTATGGTCCTTGGACTTGTGATGTGCAAGAAGTTCTCAGGTATGGGAGGGACTAGAATGATGGCTTTGCCCCATCTCACATGTAGGGATCCCACTGCTCTTGGGGGATTTGCTGAGTCACTTCTCCCTGTTTCTGCTGGGGCTGGGGATGGTTAACCCAGTCAAGCCACACACCCTGAGAGGAAACCAGGTAGACAGGCTGACTGACAAGGAGGGCACAGCCTGTCAAGTGGCCAATGACCCCAGTCAGAAGAGGTGAAGGGTGAGAGAGGAGGCTGCTGGGAACCAGAAGCTTGGCAGCCAGGAAGACTGAGAACAATCAGGCTGACAGTAGAGGCTGTTCACTCTAAGCCCCAGGGTGCGGGGGAGGGTCCTTTACACCAGGGAGCTTCAGGTCTCGTGACTGTTTCTGGGCTCTGTACTCTCCTGATCCTCCATGAGGATTTTAAACAGTGAGATAAGGTATCCAGGGCCCCAGGAATCTGAATTACCTTTACCAAAGAGATCATCCTTCCATTTCATTTCTTATAAGATATGAAATATTAAATCAAACTAATACAGGATTAATGTGAAGCTAGCAGGTGTTTTGTGGATGGATTCCCCTGGCTGTTTATACTGGGGGAAGAAACAGGCCTGGCCCCATTCACAGATGAGAACAACAGGGTAGCCATACTCAGAGGACCTCAATACTGGGTGCTCCCAACCCTGCAGGAAAGACCCTCCCTGCAAACAGATGTACAGGAGGGTGACTGCAGGATCCCATGCTGTCTCTTTCTCCTCTCCTGAATCCTGGGTTTACCTTCCTAATTTCAGCTAAGTAGCTATATTAACCAGTTATTTAAGACTCACAGGGCCCCTCTCTACCATGGCACCTAACAGGGTCTTCTCTCCTCAAAAGAACTTCAGGAGGGGTCTACTCAATAAAAAGCAGCATGGAAGGGGCGGTAGGGGCAGCTCATCTCTAACTCCTGAAATAGACAGGATGGAGCCACCGTCTCATTCCTCACTTATCCTATGGTCCTGCCTCAAATACAGTCTCCTGCAGGCTCTGCTGGGTCTTTTTATTATCATTCTCCAGGTGGTGACCGGGTCCCTGATGCTGATGTGGTGCTCACAGCTTCCTGAAATATGACCCTTGGGGCCCAACACCAACAGGAGTTGAGGCCGGGGAGAAGCTTCAAGCTGTAGGGGATCTTTGGATTTGAAAGTAGGGGTTGGTCACGGGCTGTCTGTAATGCTCAGGGTGTCAAGGCTGAGAGTGGCTGAGCTGAATCTGCTCATTAGCATGTTCTCCACTGTTTGAGAGCTGCCTTGTGCAGACCAGCAAGACACAGATTGTTCACAGCTCCCCTTGTCTCTTGGAAGACCCTGACTTCTCTTTCCCCAGCTGTGCAGCTGATGAGCTCTATCTCCTCCCAAGCATAGCAAGGGGAGGATGGTGGGAGTGAGGCCCACTCCTCTGATGCCCCAGAACCCCTTCCACGTAATCTCAATATCCAGGCCTGGTGTATCTCCCTGGACCATCATTTCTTTTCTGGGAATGAAAGGGTTACAATATCTCCCTCCTAGATTTCCCTTGTCACTCACTCACCCTGAATAGACTTCTTACTCTATTAGTTATTGTTCTCATATCATTTCTTTGAAGCTGTGGTAAAATATTATCAGCCATTAATAAAACATGGAGGTTAGGTTCTCTTTTTGGATTCTGAGGATCTGCTGTGCTGGGGCAGGGGCAGGTGGGGAGAGAAGGGCGGGTGGAGGGCCAGGTGCTGAGTGGTGTGTGGCCTCGCTCTGTGCTCAACAAAGCTCCTGCTGTGGTCATTTCCTGTTTATTTGTCTGGATCTCTCCTTGCATTGTGATTGGTGCCTGGTCTTTAGGGGTGGGTGCTGCTCCAGGTCGGAGGCCTCACACAACTCCAGGCTGAGCCTTTCTTCAAGTCCATGGAGGTCAAGGGCAGATACTGGCAGCTCTCCATCCTGCCCTCGCCTCCACTTTATCTGGCATATTTTTATATGTTGATCTGATCCTCCTCATAAGGGATGTATATGAGCATTATTTTGTAGGAGAGCCGCTATGTCCCACAGTGGCCATGCTCTGTCCCTGACACCAGGATCCTGTGTGCTTTGTTGTTGTCGTCCCCTAAAGACCCAGGACAGCCTCTGCACATGGGGCTTCTCAGATGACACAGATTGATCGTTCCCACCTCTGCCTTCTTTCCTGTTCCATTTCCAGAATGCTTCTATTGTTTCCCTTTTATTGTAGTAAGTCAAATTTTTGAATTAAGGCCTGGGCACACTCACTCACGCCTGTAATCTTAGCACTTTGGGAAGGCTAAGGCAAAGGGATTGCTTGAGGCCAGTAGTTAAAGACCAACCTCGGCAACATAACAAGACCCAGTCTCTTCCAAAACAAATTGAATTCGCATTGTGAATAGATATGTTATTGCCATGTCATAAATAAATTCTTGTCCCTTTTTCTGTGGGAGCACCCTGTGGTCTGGGTCCTGGCAGGAAAGATATGGCACAGAAGGAAGACACGTTTTAAAGAGGTTCTGGCAGGGCTAAGAAAGTCACAAGGGGCACTGAAGCTCCCTGGGATGATCTGTAGCAGGAAATGGTTTGCATTTCTGAGCTTGAAAGAGCAAGGAAGGGAGCAGTTTCTAGAACTCAGGCAAATCTGTAGCTTTCACTAGGGGCAGCCCGCCATGCCTATGGCTGTAGATAGAGGCCTGAAGTGATTACAGAATCACAGAGCTGCCCAGAGTAAGTGAGGGAAATGAAAACCCTGAGTTACTCCTCCTCCCACACTCCCATCTCCTGCAGGTGCCTGTTATCATCCACACCCAAGCACAAGCCAGATGGTGAAGGAGCACAGGCCATGTCGTCTGTCTGTCATAGTTGCCTCCCAGTGTAGGGGGCAGGATGGAAGAGAGTGGATGATGGCTCTGTGAGGAGATGGAAGCTGAGAATAATGCACTTGCTTACAGTGTTCACATTCTTCATGGAATTTACTTAAATACACTAGCATTTGCTCTAATCCAAAATTATACCTTTAAAAAGCAACGTTTCGGCCAGGCATGATGACTCACGCCTGTAATCCCAGTACTTTGGGAGGCCGAGGCGGGTGGATCACCTGAGGTCAGGAGTTCGAGACTAGCCTGGCCAAAGTGGTGAAACCCTGTCTCCACTAAAAATGCAAAAATTAGCTGGGCATGATGGTGGGCGCCTGTAACCTCAGCTACTTGAGAGGCTGAGGTAAGAGAATTGCTTCAACCCAGTAGGCAGAGGCTGCAGTGAGCCAAAATCATGCCACTGCACTCCAGCCTGAGTGACAGAGTGAGACTCCGTCTCAAAAAAAAAAAAAAAAAATCATGTATATATGCTTAGCAGGTAGTAACATTGAAGAGTACCTAACTCTCCTTCCCTATCTCCACATGGGACGTATAACTCATAAATAAATACCTTAAATTATTTGAGTATAAGCCATAAAAGCAGAGTCTGGCTCATATAAGCAAAAGGAAGTTGCTGGGCAGCTGTGGGTGAGGTTCACAGAATCATAGATGCTTCCAAAGTACCAGGACAGCACCAAGGAGCAGGCAGCAAGCCCTGACCAGTCTCACTGGACTCACCTGTGGAGTGGGAGAATTGTCACTGTTTCCTGATATCTTGTCATTGCTGAGCTTTAAATTCTGGAATAGTTTACTTAAATGGCTTAGTTTGGATCTCATAAATTTCTTATTTGCTTGTGATTTAATTTCAGGGATAGAGTCAATATTTGAATTTGACTCTATCCCTAAAAATGAATTCAATTTTGAAGTTGAATCCAAATTCCATTTCAAGGATAGAGTCAATAGGAATAGAGTCAATGTTTTCCCTTAATGGGAGCTCCTTTTCTCCATTTATCTTCTTAAAGCAGGGGGAAGGGGATGAGTCTTTCAAGTTCCCATGGACCCATGGACATCATGAGATCAACCTAATTGCCCTCATTCCATTTTCCTTTACTTTGCAGAAAAGAAACAAATTCCTTTCCACCCAAAATATGACAGCGCCTGTGGTCCAGGGCTGGAGCCCATAGTGGATGCCCAGCAGCCAACTTCCTGGAATTGAGACCTCCCCAGCAGGCTTGGGGGTGAAAAGAGAAACTAGACTCCAAAAGGGACACCAGTGCTCTGTTGGGGAGAGAGGAGCACACCACTGCATCCCACCCTGAAGAATGGGAGTGAGAAGAGAGGACAGGTGAACCCACCATGGCTCCAGTGAGATGGGAGCGGGGAACGCCCAAGAAGGAGGACAGCCATGGGGTGGCCCCAGCCAAAGCCACCAGACATCATTACATGTCTGGGGCCCTCTCAGGCCGACATGAGTTTTACTGCTCCACACACTCTTTTGTTAAGAGCTAGCTGTCAGTAGATCAGTGAGAGAGCAACTTTGATACAGAGGAAACCATGCCTGAAATGGGTCATCCCAGAAGAATTTAGTAGTAGGTTCTATGCTTCCCTCCAGGGCCTCATGGGCGTGGGCAACTTTTTTTTTTTTCCAGCCACTCACCCTAGGTAATGAAGAAAGCTCTCTGAACTGTGTCCTTGCTAGGCACACAGGCCCCTACCACATGTACATGGCATGGGAGTCATGGCTAAGGCAGGGTGAGACTCCTATTTGAGGCCAGGAAAAGCTAATGACCCTACATTTGGTTCAGTCCTTGTGGGGTCCTGACTAGGGTGTGGGCCACTGTGTTCCCACAGATGCTCTGTTAGCCCTTAGGCTGTGAGATACACAGGCAAATGTTATATTGAAGCCTTTGTTTCTCTTACACGGAGGCAACACTACTGCAGCAGAGCAAACCTTATTGTATCAGTGCACCAACCCCAAGTTCATGTTCATTACAGCAGGAAAAACTAACATGTGGTGAATTCTGCCTCCACAAGGGACAAGGACCTGATAAGACTACAATGACCAGGATGGCCAATATCCCTGTCTTCTTGCAACTCAAACTTTGCCTGGTTACCACCTACTTGCCCCAACTCCTTGGACTCCAGCCCTCCGAGGACAGCCAGACATCTGAAGGAAGTGCCAGGCACAGATGCCAGGTTGCATAAGTGCTGGCCCCTGAGCAACTGGAGAAGCTGTTAGGTCCCAGCTGGCCTAGAGATCCCTGGCTCAGGGAGTATAACTGGATGCCTTGAACAAAGACATGGGGTCACTGGAAAGAGAGGACCGGCTGTCCCTCCCCACTAAGAAATAATTAACTGTTAGATGAGGGGGAATTCCTTTTCAAGGGCTCTGTGGACTGTGCTGCTCTGGAGGGGGTAGGGAGAGGGAGGAGCCCTGAGGTCTGGGCTGGGGTGTGGTTGGGAAGGAGCTGAGAGCTGAGAGCTGTAACTACACAAGGAGCTGCAGGGGTGAGGTTGGTGCAGGGTGGGATTTAGAGGATTTCCCCCAGACTCCTGTGCTGATCCCCTTCATCTCCTCCACCCCCACCCTTGGTGTCTGTCAACATGCGGGGGTGCCCTCATCTTCCCACTGCCCCTGGAGCTGTTCTACTCTTCCACGCTTGCCTTGGGGTTTTCAGAGCAGCATCTTTGTGAGTCCTGGAGTGCTAGGGACCAGGAGGGGAGAGGAGGCAATAGCCTCCTTTAATTTGGCAACAGCTTTTCGTTATCATCTCCACTTTCCAAGGCAGGAAAAGTGAAGGCAACAGCTCTGAGAGATCCTGGAAGAGGAAAAACCATGGCGGGTGAGGCAGGGAGCTGTCTGAGTTTCCTAGCAGACATCAGGAGCCCGCCCTTCCAGGCCTGGGCTTTGCTTCAGTGCCTGGCCCTGCATAGGCCCCTGCCCCTGTCCCGTTCTGCTGCCCCCACCTCCCTCTCAGCCTGGCCCCAGACAGAATCCAGACCAACTCCTGTCTGCTGTGAAAAATGTTCCTGCCAGTTTAGGCAGATCTTGCTTTAGAGCACTGGTGCCCAGCCTTCCACAGGTCTTGTGTCTGTTTTTCTTGGCACTATGTTTCTTCTCATGTATTCTTCTGAATTGGCAAGGCAGGAATTACATCACTGGTTTGCAGATGAGGAAACTGACTCATATGGTTTCATTCAGCACTCATTCACTGTGAAAGTGTCTGTCAGGGCCAATTGTGGGCCAGATGTGCCCAGGGTTCTATAGCTAGCTGGTGGAAAGGCCTGAAGGGTTCATATTCAGGTCCACTTGACTTGAAAACTCATATTGACCTTACTTATGTACTAATTCCCACCTTACAATCCATGCCACAAACTTTATTGTCTTAAGAAGTTGCCACAGCAGCCTTCAGCAGCCACCTTGTCATCAGTCAGCAGTCATCAACATTGAGGCAAGACCCTACTCCAGCAAAAACATTAGTATTAGCTGAAGCCTCAGATGACTGTTAGCATTTTTTAGCAGTAGTGTAATTTTTAATTAAGGTATGTACATATCTATTTTATACATAATGCTATTGTATACTTAATAGGCTAAAGTATAAATATAACTTTTATGTACACTACAAAAACAAAAAAATTGTGTGACTTGTTTTGTTTGCATGATCTGAAACCAAATCTGCAATCTCTCTGAGATATGTCTGTAATTTCCCTTTCCCTCTTCTTGCTGGCCCAGAATGACCTTGTTTCTTGTCCCTGTCTAGCCCTGCCTGTTACAGGGGTTTGCCTTCTCTGGTAGGTCTGGACACTTTGTATCCCCTGTAACCTTGCCTCCTGGCATATGACACTAGTACTAGCCTCAAGCTCTGTTGGACTAGCGAGCCTCACTCCACACCTCCTGAACTAGAACCAAAGCTCTGTGCACACACCATTCATGTGAGTCTGTAGAGATCTCAGCTTCCTGCAGGGTGTTCTGAAAGGGTGTTCTGTTGTGACTGGAGGACATAGCCACAGGTCTCTGGGCAGAGGTGGCTCAGAAAAGAGTGGGTGGCCCCAGTTTGGGTCATCTGGGAAGGGGAAGATTTTCAGATAAAAACCCATGCCTTAGAAGACAAAACTACCCAAGAGCTGGCAGCAGCTAACCAGCTTGCTATCTGGGATACCACTTTGCAGTGGGAGGGAAGATAGCCTCTACCATGGTGTAGGGGTCCAGGGACCAGGCAGGGAGGTCTTCCTAGTGGTCAGTGCTTCTCACAGTTGGGAGATGAATCACCTTTCGATGAGGCCAAAGACCTCATGTTCCTCACTAGCTGACTTGTTCCCACTCAGTGGAAAAAGAACCCAGAACCTTTGCAAAATTTTAGGAGAGAAGGACTTTCCCTCTTGTCTCTTAGTGCCAGGGTTATGCATGACTCATACTTGAATTGCAATGTGTACACAGCTTAAAGTCTTAATTATTAGAACATAAGAGGCCCAAACCACTGTTGTTATAGATATGTAAAACTATGCAGTACAAAATTAAACAACCCCCAACCAATTAACAGTGGAGATAAATTATCAATATTTGTAAATTTAAAACAAGATCGACAGCCCTTTAGAAAAACAACAAAAAATGAGACTTTTGCAAGACAATCTAAATGATACGCTAATAACAAACCTTCATGAAAATGACATTTCGACCATCTGAGTTTCTGCATTAAGTTACAAATTCCAAAAGGTACTAATCCCCAATAATTTACAGTAGGGAGCCCTAAGCCACAAAGAAAGGTGTCAGGGCACACCTGAGACCTGAAGTAAGAACATACCCTCCCTCAGGGTCACGAGTGAATCCTCTAAGACCCCTCCTCCCTCAGACACTCCCTCCAGTCATCAGAAGGTCCACACAGCACTAAGACCCAACCACCTCACTGTCTTCACCTCCATGGAGAGAGCCCAGGTGACAGCCACCCCTGCTCCTCCTCCCTCATCTCCCACAGCCTCAGCACCATCGTCCGCCTCGAGTCCACCAGGACTGAGCTCCTCATGCCCTTTCCCTGTTTGTGTCAGTCACACTGGGTCCCCCATATACCCAGCACTTGCATCCCCACAAGGCTCCGCACGCTCTATTCTCTCCCCCCACCATGTCCCCTACCTAACTCCAGAAATCTTCCCTCTGTACTCCCTGGAATCCTCAGTCCATGATCAGCAAAACCTCCTCATTCTCTCTCAGGATGCTCCCTCACCTCGAAGCTCTAGCAGGAACCAGGTCTTCCTGAGGATGTGACCCGCTCTGAAGTTCCCCTACATGGGGGAGTTTCCCAGCAACTTGTACCCCTGGGTTCAGAGGTGAGGTGGGGTCCTTGCTCTTCACTGTGGTTCTCAGACCTTTCTGCATCCCTCCTCCCTAAAACCCCTAAGCTGTCATCAGACTAAGGCCCCGCTCCCCTCATTGTAGCCATTCCCTGTGGGCCCCAAGCCATTCCTGTCAATCCTAACTCTTGTAGCTCCTAGATCACTGTCACCCTCTCCAGCAGTGCTGTCTCCTTGATTCTTTCTGACTTCAACATATGCAGATGTGCTGGGCTGAGTACTCGTCCCCAAAGAGATCCAGTCTTAGTCCTTGGAGTCGGTGAACAGGTTGCATTGCATGGCAAAAGGGACATTACTCATGTAATGAAGATAAAGGACCTTAAAGTAGGGAGATAATCCTGGACTCTCTGTGTGGGCCCGATCAAATCACATGAGCCATTAAAAGGAGAGAATCTGCTCTGGATGGAGTCACATGCTGCAGAGAAGGAAGGCAGAGGAGACACAGCAAAGGGGAGATCAGTGGTTCCAAGCAGGAGGATTGGATGTGCTTTAGGCACCAGAGAGAAGTCTCTAGGATCTAAGGGTGCTCCCAAAAAGGAAGTGGGAAGCTCAGTTCTATCTGCAGGAAGTGAATTCAGACAAGAACCTGAATAAGCTTGGATGTGGACTCTTCCCCAGATTCTCCAGGAAGGAGCACAGACCTGCCCATACCTTGATCTTAGCCCCGTGAGACTGGGTGGACTTGCAACCCACACAACTGTGACATGATAATTAGGTGCTGTTTAAAGCTGCTTGGTTTGTGGTAATTTTTATGGCAGCAATAGACACCTATACAGCAGAGAAGATGCCCTCACTCCCTGGCCTCTCAGATCCTGGAACTCCTTTTCTTCATTACCATCTCCTCTCTCTGCCGGAATCTCAGGACCTTGTCCTCCCCTAGGCCTCATCATGGCAAAGAACCCCAGCCCTTCCGCACTCTCAATCTCACACTTCCCACTCTCTGACCATCTTTCCACTCATCCCCTTGCAGGGTAGCCACAGGCTCTGAAGACACTGATGCTATAATTTGATCATATGCTATAATGTAACATCAGTGAACCACTCATTGCATGTGTGCCTGCTTTCCAGGCATGGAGTCCATTCTGTAGTACATCTATTCCAATAATTTTTCCACCCCCTTGAAATTCCCAATCCAGTGATGCTGCTATCTATTCCTTCTCCCTTAGTGTTTGTTGTCCTCTCCTCCCTCCTCATCCATTTTGGATTCTGTAGTAAATAATTTCCATCCCTCCCTTGCCTCTCCCTTTCGTTGTCACACTTGCCTGGCAAAACTACACAGCTAGTGGATTCCACCTCAGCCTACACTGCACCTGCCCCCATGAGCTGCAGGAGGCTGGAGAGCAGCACACAACATGCTGACTGTTCTCTCTACATTCACGACCCAAACCTCATGGGGAGCCCCCACCATAGCCAGCAATCACCCTCTCCCTGCATGGCTCACCCTCAGCCTCCTCCTGGCCTGGGTGACTCTTACATACCTTCTCTCTGTCCTCACACATCCAATCCTCCTTCCCCATTCTTACTTCCGCTGATGATCTTGCTTCCTACTTCACTGAGAAAACTGAACACATTTAGAAGACAACTTCACAGATTCCACCACCGTCTGCCCATGCATTTGCAGCTGCACCACATGTCAGGCATTTTACTACATGGGGGATTGCTGTGTGTTAAACATCCTGCTCCCAACCAGAGCCAGTTCCTCTGCTGGCACCCTGAACATCATCCCTTCTCATCTACTTAAAGTGTTAGTTCATCAATTAATACCATTTTTTCCCTCTATTGTCATCCCTTTTCCTTTTATTCCAGTGGATCATTGTGGCACTCATGAGGATGCACATCCCAGGCCCTCAGGTAGAGGAAGAATAATTGATGATATCCCAGCTGTCGCAGCCTGAAATCTATTGTCACGTTTGATCTGAGACCACACCTGCCCCAGCTTTTTCCAACCAATGATTGACCAAAGCAGGAAAACTAAGGCAAGAATATTCCTACTCCGAAGGCTGGCTGAGGCTCCAGGACTCCCTGCCATCCCTACTGAGCTTCCCTTAGCCTACACAGGGTCTAGGATGCTTCCAGCTGACCTTCCTGCCCTCTCTCCTTCACTGGGACTCAGAGTTGCATTGTGATCTGATGGCTTTTCCAGCATTTCTGTCTCTATCCTGATTTTCTCTCACAACTATTTCCCCTAATAAATCCTTACACATTTAATACTGTATTGGGGTCTAACTTCAGGACCGCAGCTATCACAAGTGGTATCAAGGGCGATCCATGAAAATGACCAAAACTGGAAATTTGAAATAAGCTTTCCCACTGCCTGTCAGGCCAAGAGGATGCCATCTAGGTTAGCGGGGGACAAAGAAAGTCCATGGAGAAGTTGCATCTGAGCTGCCGTGGGTCTCACCAGTGCTAACCTGAGAAGATGCTCTGGTTAGGGGAAGCTATGGAAGATGTGGTGATAGAATGCCCTGCACAATAATGATGGAGTTGGGGGTAAACCCACAAAGACAGTGGAGTTGGCTGGTTACTTCCCAGCTGTGTTGATGCTCTATAAAAGGATAATGAGAATCTGCAGGTTGTTAACAGCTGTCACTGGCTATGTGTGAGAGTCTCTGCAGTGTCTCATGGAGAGGCCTTTATCTCCTGGATCAAAAGAGCAGATAGCATGGAATGGTAGCTGAACATCATTATGGTGGGCACAGTGCTCCAGAGACGTTTGATACTCAGCCAACACAGGCCTTTTATAGGAAAGTCAGGGCCCTGGTGGGGGAACCTCAGATTCTGCAAACTAGAACAGAGTTATCTGATGGGTGCCCTCCCCCAGGACCCCCTGGGCATGCAGAGGAGGCTCACCCTTCTCTAGTAATCGTTCCCACTTCCTATGCTGAAAGATGCTACAGAAGCCTCACCCCTACGATGCAGCAGGAATCCCACTCAGGAGCTTTGCAGGAACTAGCCAGCATGTCCCCATAGGGGCCTGGGGTGCACTTCTGGGATTGGAATTTGAGGGTATTTGATCAATAAACTAGAATTTCAGTCTGGATGAATAAAAATCCTTTGGCTTGGAGGCACTTTCTCAGGACATGGGTTTATCAAAGAACCCAGGACATGGGGTAAACCCACTACTGGGGTGAGTCCATATAGACTGGAAAAAATGATGCCCAACTCTCAACAAGGTAGATATGACCTAGTTATCCTGGAACATGTAGAGGACGCAATAACAAGGCTGAGGGAAGTGGGTGTGATGAAGGCCCACCAGGACCATGCTCCACAAGAGGACCCAGAGGGCACACCTTCCACCAGAGCCTCAGGAACATGCTGTGGAGAGGGACCTGCATCACTAAGAAGTGTCGGGGTGTTATCCTCTGCAGGCTGGGCGTGATGATAGTAAAGGTCCCAGAGTTGTGCTTATTCATATCTCTGGGGAGAATGTGGGCCTGCAGAGACTGAGAACAAGTGGTGGCAGTGACCTGCAAAAGCCGGAGGGCATGGTTACCATGGCAACCTCAGAGGAGCAGCCAAGGGGACTCAAGCTGCAGGGAGTGTGGGGAAAGTTAGTAGAGAGGACACCAGGGTTACAAGAGGCAGCCAACAAGGGCACTGCTTGATATATATGATAAGAAAGCAAGAATTGAGGAGCAGGAGACTGAGGGTGTTCGACCAAATACAAAGCCATGATCCCCTTCTCAATGCCTAGACTTCAATCAAGATTCAGACTCAGATCTCAGTGACAGAGGAGGAGTCCATATCCCTAGAGAAAGGACCCTGGGACACCATGGAGGTATATGGCTGGGACAATTCCCTCAGTCTTTCGGCAAGGGAACCTATAGCCATTTACTCAGGAGACTGTACATTGGGGAAGGGAAATAGGCAGAACTAGGGGGATCATTTTCATTGCATGTAAGCTGATATTGATGCCCAGATGCCCACAGCACAATCATCTTCTCCATCACAGTGGGGCTTACGGAGGCCAGGGAGTAAACCTGGACACATTATGGCCCGCAATGGGACCACTGGATGCATAGACCCAACCCTGATTATCTTCCAATTCCCTGAGTGCATAATTGACACTGATGCTCTGGTAAGTGGAGTCACCCCCACACTGGGTCCCCAGTCTGTGGTATAAGGGATCTCTTGATGCCAAAGGCCAAAGGGAAACCTCTGAAACTGCCCCCATCCTGGCCAAATCAAAAATCATAGTGTGTCCCAGGGTGGGTCTTGTGAAGGACACTGCAAGTATTGTGGGGGTCACACCACCATTACAAAGCTGAAGGAGGCGGGGTGGTGTTGAGGCTGCCTATTGTCTCCGTGTAATCCAGCAATCTGTCCCTGAGGAAGCCTAGTGAGGCCTAAAGAATGAATGAGATTACTCCAGATATGGCCAAGTAGGAGTTATAAGTGCAGCTTTTGTGCTGTCTGGATATCACTGGTAGAGCAGATTAACAAAGCCTTGGGCACACAGTGTGCAGCTGTGGATTTGGTGAGTGCATTTCTTTCCATTCCAGTTACAAAGGGTATATGGAGTGATTCACATTCATGTGGGATCCACAACACATTGAATTATAGTTTGCCTCAGGACTTTTGTAACTCCCCTGTCCTCTATAGTATAGTCTTATGACTATACTAGACATACTGGATATCCTAAAGGATATTAAATCAGCTCATTTCATTCACAACTTCATGTTGACTGGGGCGAATGAGCAGCAGGTAGAAAGTGCACTGGCATCGTTGGCAAAACATTTGCACTTCAGAAGGTGAAGATAAACCTTACAGAGCTTCAGGAAAGGTCACTGTAGTGAAGTTTTATGAGTCCAGTGTTTAGGGGAATGCAGGGGTGTCCCCTCCTAGGTAAATTACAAAGTGTTGCATTTTGCATCCTTAGTGCAAAAAAAGAAAGCACACTCCCCGGTGAGCCTCTTGGAGTTCTGACGACAGCACATTCCACATGTAGAAATGTTGCTTTGGCCCACACTCTAGGTGACATAGGAGGAGGCCAGCTTCAAGTGAGGCCTACACAGGAAAGCACCCTGCAGCAGATACAGGCTGCGGTGCAGCCACCATCCCTCAGACCTCTTGGTACTGGAAGGGGCAGGGGTGGGGAAAGATGCAGGATGGAGCTGAACCAAGCAGCAGTGGGAGAGTCATGGTGGAGGGCCTGGGATCTGGAGTAAGATCATGTCATCCACAGCAGAGACATGGCTCCCCATTAGAAGCAACTTTTAGTGTTCCTGGTCCTGATTCGATAGAATGCTTAACCACAGGACACCAAGCAATGATGTGATTCCAAGTACCTGTGTGAATTGGCTTCTGTGTGACCCAGAAAGTCATAGATTGGACAGGCCCAACAGCATTCATCATGAGGTGAAAATGGTCCACCTGGGTTGTGCTTGAATCCCATGTTGACACCCCCAGAAAACACCCAAGTCTGAAGCAGCACTGAACAACCAAACAGACAAATGGAAGTTAGCCAGCCTTCACTATGGGTCAACGCAGGCCTGGTAGGATGGGCACATGAATGGAGCAAGCACAGTGGCAGGCCTGAGGCTACATATGGGGCCAGAAGTACTGACTCCCCATTATCAAGACAGATCCAGCTGCTGCCACCTCTGAATGTCCAACTCATCAGCATTTGAGGCCCACCATGTGCCCTCGTGGGGCACTATTTCTTTAGGTGACTAACTAGCCACTATGTAACAAGTTGACTACATTTAGCTACTTCCATCCTAGAAGGGCCTGAGGTTCATCTTCACAGGGGTAGGCTCATATTCCATGGGTGAGTTTTCCTGTCCTGCTCTCGGACACTCAGCCAGCACCACTCTCTGGGTGCTGTTGACATTCCTGATCCACAGGCTAGGCGGTGCTCCCAACCCAGTATCTGCCTGAAGGACCCACTTGGCAGGGAAAGTTCCAGTGTTTCCGTGGCTATGGGTTTCACTGATCTGATCACCATCTGCACCACCCAGGGGCTGCCAGCCACAAGGAATGCTGGAAATGTCTTCTACAGGCAAAACTCAGTGTCATCCTGGAGGAAGCACTCTGAGGGGTGGGGGCCGTTTTTCAGGACATGGTGCATTGTTTGAATCAGAGACATCTCTACGGTGCTGTGTTCTCAATAGGAAGAAGATGTGGGTCTAGAAACCGAAAGTTGGAAGCAGGTTTGTCTCCATGTCCAGTCTCTTAGATTCACCCACTGGGGTATTTTGCACGTTTTATCTCCCAACTTTGGGCTGTTCAGGGCAGGAGGTCCTTAAAAGGAGACACATGACAGCCCATTGAACTACACATTATGGTTGTCACCAGAGAAGTTTGGACAGTATGTGCCCAGAGACCAGCTGGTGAGAAAAGGAGTCTCTTCCTCTCCAGGTGCAGGTAATAGATCCTGATCTCCAGGAGGAGGCATGGCTACTTTCACACAATGAGGGCAGAAGTGTGTGTGTGAGAACCAGAGATCTACTTGGGGGCCTTCTGGTTTGCCTTGTCCCTTTGTAAATGTGAGCAGAATCATCCAGCAATCCAGCCTGAGAGGATTTGATTTCCAAGGGCCCAGACCTCTCAGGACAGGAGGTTTGAGCCACACTCCTGGGTAATCACCCAAGGCCCCACTCCTGTGCTCTGACATCCTCAGTGTCATTGGTGCAGAGACCCTGCTTCCCATGGGCTGTTCCCAGCCAGTGATGGGTCACACCAGTGACACTGAGGCAGGACATTCCTGGGAGACCAGGGACTCCTCTGACGGACAGCAGTGGCTCAAAGACTCCTCCATGGCTTTGCTCAACTCTCCTGAGATTGCCTGTGGTCTAGGACACATCCAGTAAACCTTCTGTCCTTCTGTCCATCACTGGGGGTCACATTTGCATCTTGGTCTGTTGCCTTTCCCAGGGTAACCTGCCTCCGTTGCTATATCTCTGACAGGTGTGTCCCCTAATAAAATCCTGTAACTTTAATCCCATGATGGCACTTGGAATGCAAAATCATTTTCATCTGCACACCAGTGACCTCTTACTTACTCCAATTTGTAAAATCCTTTTGTTTGTTCAACTTCTTCTACCTGCATTGGCTCCATTTTGCTAGTATTTGTATTATGCTTTTGAGATAGTCGATGTTTGTTGCTTTAAGTCACTAAATTTGGGGGTAGTTTGTTATACAGCAATGGATAACTAATGAAGCCCTCTTACATTTCTGTTATTCTATAGAGGTTAAATACATCCGTTTTATTTCCTCCCATTTTGATAATATTAGCCATATATTGGGTTCCTAGTTTCTCTACGCCTGTTTTTTTCTTTATTTTCGTTTCTTTTCTCCTTTATTCCTTCCCTTTCTTCTCACTTCTATCTCTCCCTCCCTCTCTTTCTTTTCTATTTCCATTTGCCCTCCCTCCCTCCTTCTCTTCCCCTTCCTTCTTTGCTTCCTTCACTCCTCTCTCCTTCTTTCTCTCCTTTCCTCCATTTTTTTCTTTTTTATTATGACATATTCTGACATATAAAATAACCCTATGTGTTTGTACTATAAGGAAACATTTTCTGAATCTATATGTTAAAAGTATAAAGCCATGGTATATAGGATACAAGTTAACAACAGGAAGTTATTAACAGAGTCTGAATAAGAATGCCTGCTATAGGCTGGGCATGGTGACTCATGCCTGTAATCCCAGCACTTTGGGAGGCCTAGACGGGCGGATCACGAGGTCAGGGGATAGAGACCATCCTGGCTAACACGGTGAAACCCTGTCTTTACTAAAAATACAAAAAAAAAATTAGCCGGTGTGGTGGCGGGCACCTGTAGCCCCAGCTACTCAAGAGGCTGAGGCGGGAGAATGGCGTGAACCCAGGAGGTGGAGCTTGCAGTGAACCGAGATTGTGCCACTGCACTCCAGCCTGGGTGACAGAGCAAGACTCCGTCAAAAAAAAAAAAAAAAAAAAAATCTGCTATAATTCTGCAGCCAAGGCAGTTGCTATTAACTCTTAATTCCTTCAACTCAGTGTTTTCAGAACACATCAACATCACATATTACACATTTATTGTAAAAGCTTAAGTTGGCACAATTACTTTGGAAATCATATTATCATTATTTAGTATGGTTAAAGGCCATACAACATATCATCCAACCATCCCACTCCTAATCATACACTCTGGCGGCTTTCTCGCCTATGTGCCCAGGAGACATGCACACTAATGTTTATGGCAAAAACTGGAATCAGCCTCCTATACATCAATAGCAAAGTAGTGAAATTGTGGTATAACCATAAAATGTAAACCTTCAGCAGTAAAAATGAGTGAATGACAGCCTCCCACACAACAGATAACTCCTATACATAATGTGCATCATGAGAAAAGAAATGCAGTAGGAATTTCTGTACAGGAAGCTTAAAAACCAGTGAAACTAATATTTGGTTTGAGATTATATATACTTATTGTACAAATATTTAAAGAAATACAAAGTAATAATAAAAACAAGACTCAGGATGGGGTCTCATTCTGGGGGATGTGATTGGGCAGCAGCCCAGGGTGGCTTTGCGGGTTCTGTGTCTTACGCCAGTGCTGGGAACCCAGGTAACTACTAGATTATAACTCCTTAAACAGTATTTTTCAAACTAAAATATACCTGTTTCTTAAAAAATGAAAGAAAAAAATATCAAAGTTCATTGCAAGGATCCTTAACAAGAACTACTTACATTGGAAGAAAACCACAGAGAATTGTAAGGAGCCACATGACAGAGAGGCTCCTTACAGGATGCCATGACAATACCCTTGGCTAAAGGGCCATATGATCCTTGGCTCACAGGCATCTCTCTAGATTTTCAGGTATACAAGATTCAATCTGATGTGCAAGGTAATTCCATCTTGCAAAGGATTTGATTTGTTACATATTCCACACATACAACTGAATTAAACTTTTACAGAATTGGAAATGCACATCATTGATCAAAATAGATGAAACAATAAAAGAGTATAAAGGAACAACCAGTGATGGAATAGCAAATATGAATGGAAAACACAACAGGATTGCTCAAAAAAACTTGAAAGCACAAAATTGCAGTGCTATTTAGAATCATAGTGGTGTCCAAATCACTTCTATCATATCTGATTCAATACCAGAACAAAAGATGTTAAGTTTATTATAGAATGCTCACCAAATAGCCAGTTTTTGAAAAATCTTATGCCTCAGTTGGAGCTAACCATTTTGGGCTACTGCATCCAACCAAAGCTATTGACATCTTGCTAAGCTAGATGTGTTAACTGAGGTATGAGATTCACATTTTTGTAAATTAAAACCAATTAGGCAAATTTTTTAAAGTGAAATCAAGTTTATGAGAGAAGTAAGGAAACAAAAGAATGGCTACTCAATAGACACAACAGCCCTTTTTTTTAAGTGTAGGCAAATGTTTTTTGAAGATGATATTTCAATAAGAAAATTGGCACTTGGGGCATACTTCAACTAAATGTGAGACACCTTAGTTGAAACAAAGACTTATTTTCAAGTCATTATTTTTACGGCACAGAAGTCTTTGGAATATTTGCTCTAGTTACTCTGGGTTCTCAACTGTTGACTCATTGAAGAGAATATTGTTATTAAAGGTATTTGCAAGAAAAACTCAGACATACTATTGTATCCTCTTTCTCTGTCTCAAACTGTTTTCCCCACAACACCCAAGGCTCTGTGATGTCTCAAACTTTTAATCATTAATTTAAAAAGAGAAGCTTATCACAGAATTAGAAGAAACTATTTTAAAATTCATATGGAACCAAAGAAGAGCTCATATAGCCCGGACAATCCTACACAAAAAGAACAAAGCGGGCGGCCTCAGACTACCTGATTTCAAACTATACTACAGGCTACAGTAACCAAAACAGCATGGTAATAGACTAATGGAAGAGAGTAGAGAACTCAGAAATAAAACCGCATATCTAAAACCATCTGATCTTCAACAAACCTGATGAAAACAAGCAACAGGGAAATGATTCCATATTTAATAAATGATGTTGGGAAAACGGGCTAGCCATTTGCAGAAAACTGAAACCGGACCCCTTCCTTACATCTTACACAAAAATTAACTCTAGATGGATTAAAGACCTAAATGTAAAACCCAAAACTATAAAAACCCAAGAAGAAAATCTAGGCAATACCATTTGCCTGGGCATGGGCAAAGATTTTATGATGAAATCGCCAAAAGCATCTGCCACAAAAGCAAAAACTGACAAATGGGATCTAATTAAACTAAAGAGCTTCTGCACAGGAAAAGACACTGTGATCAGAGTGAACAGACAACCTACAGAATGAAAGAAAATTTTTGTAATCTATCCATCTGACAAAGATCTAATATCCACAATCTACAAGGAAATTAAGCAAATTTACAAGAAAATAACAAACAACCCCATTAAAAAGTGGGCAAATGACATGAACAGACACTTCTCAAAAGAAGACATACATGTGGCCAACAAACATATGAAAAAAAGCTCATCATCACTGGTCATTAGAGAAATGCAAATCAAAACCACAATGAGATACCATCTCATGCCAGTCAGAATGGTGATTATTAAAAAGTCAAGAAACAACAGATACTGGCAAGGTTGCAGGGAAATAGGAATGCTTTAACTGTTGGTGGGAATGTAAATTAGTTCAACCATTGTGGAAGACTACATTGTAGATTCCCCAAAGATCTAGAACTAGAAATACCATTTGACCCAGCAATCCCATTACTGGGTATATACCCAAAGAAATATAAATCATTCTATTATAAAGTTACATCCATGTGTATGTTCATTGCAGCACCACTCACAATAGCAAAGACATGGAATCAACCTAAATGCCCATCAACAATAGACTGGATAAAGAAAACATACCACATGTACACCATGGAATACTATGCAGCCTTAAAAAGGAAGGAGATCATGTTTTGCAGGGACATGGAAAAAGCTGGAAGCCATTATCCTCAACAAACTAATGCAGAAACAGAAAAACAAACACTGCATGTTCTCACTGATAATTGGGAGCTGAGCAATGAGAATCCATGGGCACTGGGAGGGGAACACTGTGTCCTTTTGGGGGAGGGCAGAGGTGGGGTGTGCATTAGGAAAAATAGCTCATTCATGCTAGGCTTAATACCTAGGTGCTGGGTTGATAAGTGTAGCAAAACACCATGGCACACGTTTACCTATGTAACAAACCTGCACATCCTGCATATGTACCCTGAAACTTAAAATAAAAATTAAAAAGAAGCTTAAAGCATTAAAGAAAAATAATCACATGAAAGAAGCATTTGATTTACAAAATCCTGAAATAATAATTTTAATTTTGCTTTCAACATGTATGCAAATCCCTTGATACTCCTCCCTTCCAATGGTGCAGCTTAATTCCTTCCCTGTGAGTTCGGCTTGGACTTAATGATGCACTTCTGATATGGCCTCACCCTGTGTCCCCACCCAAACTCATCTTGAATTGTAATCCCCACGTGCTAGGGGAAAGACATGGTGGGAAGTGATTAGATCATGGGGATGGTTCCCTCATGCTGTTCTCATGATAGTGAGTGAGTTCTATGAGATCTGATGGTTTTACAAGAGTCTTCCCTGCCACCCCCGCCCCCCACAACCTTGCATTTCTCTCTCCCACCACCATGTGAAGAATGACATGCTTCCTTCCCCTTCTGCCATGATTGTAAATTTCCTGAGGCCACCTCTTCAGTCATGCAGAACTGTGAGTCAATTAAACCTCTTTCCTTTATAAATTACCCAGTCTCAGGTATTTCTTTATAGCAGTGTGAGAACAGACAAATACAACTTCTAACTGATAGAGTAGTGCTGATATAACAGTTTTTGACTCTGGGTGTAGAACATAAAACTCACTGCAGCTTCTCTCTCTCTGTCTCTGGGATCATGAGCTCTGGGGGAAGCCAACTGCTGTGCCATAAGCAGCCCTGCAGGAAGGTCCATGTGGCTAAAAACTGAGGCCTCCTGGGACCAGACAACAAGGAACCATGTGAGTGAGCCATGTTTCATGTAAATCCCAAGCCCTAGTGAAGCTCTCAGACGATGCAGCCCTGGACTGGACTGTAACCTTGTGAGAGGCTCTGAGCCAGAAGCACTCAGGGAAACCTTGCTCCTGGATTCCTGACCATTGAAAACTGCGGTAGATGATGTTTGTTGTTTTGCGCTGCTAAGTTTTATGTAATTTGTTATGCAATAGTAAATAACTAATACATTTTCATAAGAGAGGATGATTTATTGCACTTCAATTTTCATTTGCTCTAAATTTATGATCATGATTATTACTATTTTTGAGACAGCATCTTGCTCTGTCACAGAGGCTAGAGTGCAGTGGCATGTTCACCATTCACTGCTGTGTTGACTTCCTGTGCTCAAATATCCTCTGACCTCAGCCTCCTGAGTAGCTGGCTGGGACTACAGGCATGAACCACCATGCCTGGATAATACTCTAATGTTTTTGTAGAGATGGAGGTTTCACCATGTTGCCCAGGCTGATCTCAAACTCTTGGAGTCAATGGATCTGCCTTCCTCTGCCCGCCACAGTGCTAGGATTGGAGGTGCCAGCCACCACACCTGGCATGAATTAATTATAAGCTATTAAACCTGTCACTTGATTGTAAGAGGTAAGGTGAATCTCCATGGCTGAAGAGGATGTATTTTATTATCATTCACAATGATCGCTTTACTTGAACTTCAATTTCCAACTGTGTCTCAATTAAACACAAAAGGAAAATCCAACCCTTGCTAGGCTGATTCTATAATAGCCCCAACAACCAGCTCCTGGTCATCCACCTTCCCCCAATTATTCAACCAACTCTACTGTAGGTGCTGCTGTGAAGGGATTTAGCAGATATAATCAAGGTCCTCAATCAGTTGACTTGAGGCTGGGTTTAGCCTGCTTGGACAGTCCTAATCAGGTGAGCCCATGAAAGGACTGGGTTCTTCCTGAGCATAGAGATTCACAGTGTGAGAGGGATTCAGTGTGAGGGGTTTCCTCCACTGTGGGCTTTGAAATTGAAGGGGCTGACTAGAAAAGAATGCTGCTTGGCTCCTGGCATTGAGCACAGCCCTCCCTCCTCTCTACCTTGACAGCTAGCAGGGAACAGGAAACTCAGTCTTAACGACTGTCAGAAACTGAATTCTGCCGCCTCTATATATGCTTGAAGGAGGATTCAAAATGAAAACACAGCTTTGGGAAGCCCTGAATAGAGACCCCGTCTACATCATGCCTGGATTTCTGCCTAAAGAACTGTAAACAGATCAGTGGATGTTGTTTGGGCAGGTGTGGTAGCACACACCTGCAATCCTAACATTTGAGGGGCTTACACAGGAGGATCACTTACACTCAGGAATTTGAGACCAGCCTGGGTAATGCAATGAGACTCTCATCTCTACAATTTTTTTTTTTAATTAGCTGGGCGTGGTGGCATTTGCCTGTAGTTCTAGTTACTCTGAAGACTGAGCCAGGAGGATCCTTTGAGCCCAGGATTTCAAGGCTGCAGTGAGCCATGACTGTGTGACTGCACTTCAAAATGGATGAGAGAAAGAGACCATTTCTCTAAAAATAAATGAATTAATTAAATAAATGGGTATTGTTTAAAGCCAATATTTGTGATAATTTGTTGTGCAGTCATAAAATTCGTACAGTCTCAACAGACAAATGGAATGAATTTATGAATTGATATGCACACTAGTTACATAAAATAAAAACTTTCTCAATCTTTTCCAGTATTGTTTATTTTATAATTTTCTGTGATGAAATTAAATTTTAATACACTCATATTTCATTTATTCAGTCAACAAAAATTAATTCGGGGAATAGGAACAGCTCCAGTCTATAGCTCCCAGGGTGAGCAACGCAGAAGACGAATGATTTCTGCATTTCCAACTGAGGTACCAGGTTCATCTCACTGGGGACTGTCAGACAGTGGGTGCATGACATTGGGTGCAGTGCACCAAGTGTGAGCCAAAGCAGGGCGAGGCCACGCCTCACCCAGGAAGCGCAAGGGGTCAGGGAATTCCCTTTCCTAGCCAAGGAAAGGGGTGACAGATGGCACCTGGAAAATTAGGTCACTCCCACCCTAATACTGCACTTTTCCTATGGTCTTAGCAAACGGCACACCAGGAGATTATATCCCATGCCTGGCTCGGAGGGTCCTACGCCCACAGAGCCTCGCTCATTGCCAGCACAGCAGTCTGAGATCAAACTGCAAGGTGGCAGCAAGGCTGGGGGAGGGGTGCCCGCCATTGCTGAGGCTTGAGTAGGTAAACAAAGCGGCCAGGAAGCTCGAACTGGGTGGAGCCCACACAGCTCAAGGAGGCCTGCCTGCCTCTGTAGACTCCACCTCTGGGGGCAGGGCATAGCCAAACAAAAGGCAGCAGAAACCTCTACAGACTTAAATGTCCCTGTCTGACAGCTTTGAAGACAGTAGTGGTTCTCCCGCATGCAGCTTGAGACCTGAGAACAGACAGACTGCCTCCTCAAGTGGGTCCCTGACTCCCAAGTAGCCTGACTGGGAGGCACCCCCCAGTAGGGGCAGACTGACACGTCACACGGCCAAGTACTCCTCTGAGACAAAACCTCCAGAGGAAAGATCAGGCAGCAACATTTGCTGTTCACCAATATGCATTGTTCTGCAGCCTCCACTGCTGATACCCAGGCAAACAGGGTCTGTAGTGGACCTCCAGCAAACTCCAACAGACCTGCAGCTGAGGGTCCTGACTGTCAGAAGGAAAACTAACAAACAGAAAGGACATCCACACCAAAACCCCATTTGTACGTCACCATCATCAAAGACCAAAGGTAGATAAATCCACAAAGACGGGGAAAAAACAGAGCAGAAAAACTGAAAATTCTAAAAATCAGAGTGCCTCTCCTCCTCCAAAGGAATGTAGCTCCTCACTAGCAATGGAACAAAGCTGGAAGGAGAATGACTCTGATAGGTTGAGAGAAGAAGGCTTCAGACGATCAAACTTCTCCGAGCTAAAGGAGGAAGTTCGAACCCATGACAAAGAAGTTAAAAACCTTGAAAAAAGATGAGATGAATGGCTAACTAGAATAACCAATGCAGAGAAGTCCTTAAAGGACATGATGGAGCTGAAAACTACGGCACGAGAACTAAGTGATGAATGCACAAGCTTCAGTAGCTGATTCGATCAACTGGAAGAAAGGTTATCAGTGATGGAAGATCAAATGAATGAAATGAAGTGAGAAGAGAAGTTTAGAGAAAAAAGAATAAAAAGAAATGAACAAAGCCTCCAAGAAATATGGGACTATGTGAAAAGACCAAATCTGCATCTGATTGGTGTACCTGCAAGTGACGGAGAGAATGGAACCAAGTTGGAAAACACTCTGCAGGATATTATCCAGGAGAACTTCCCCAATCTAGCAAGGCAGGCCAACATTCAAATTCAGGAAATAGAGAGAACACAACAAAGATACTCCTCAAGAAGAGCAACTCCAAGACACATAATTGTCAGATTCACCAAAGTTGAAATTAAGGAAAAAATGTTAAGGGAAGACAGAGAGAAAGGTCGGGCTACCCACAAAGGGAAACCCATCAGACTAACAGCTGATCTCTCAGCAGAAACTCTACAAGGCAGAAGAGAGTAGGGGCCAATATTCAACTTTCTTAAAGAAAAGAATTTTCAGCCCAGAATTTCAAATCCAGCCAAACTAAGCTTTGTAAGTGAAGGAGAAATAAAATCCTTTACAGACAAGCAAATCCTGAGAGATTTTGTCACCACCAGGCCTGCCTTACAAGAGCTCCTGAAGGAAGCACTAAACATGGAAAGGAACAACTGGTACCAGCCACTGCAAAAACATGCCAAATAGTAAAGACCATTGAGGCTAGGAAGAAACTGCATCAACTAATGAGCAAAATAACCAGCTAACATCATAATGACAGGATCAAATTCACACATAACAATATTAACCTTAAATGTAAATGGGCTAAATGCTCCAATTAAAAGACACAGACTGGCAAATTGGATAAAGAGTCAAGACCCATCAGTGTGCTGTATTCAGGAAACCCATCTCACGTGCAGAGACACACATAGGCTCAAAATAAAGGGATGGAGGAAGATCTACCAAGCAAATGGAAAACAAAAAAAGGCAGGGGTTGCAATCCTAGTCTCTGATAAAACAGACTTTAAACCAACAAAGATCAAAAGAGACAAAGAAGGCCAATACATAATGGTAAAGGGATCAATTCAATGAGAAGAGCTAACTATCCTAAATAGATATGCACCCAATACAGGAGCACCCAGATTCATAAAGCAAGTCCGTAGAGACATATAAAGAGACTTAGACTCCCACACAATAGTAATGGGAAACTTTAACACCCCACTGTCAACATCGGACAGATCAATGAGACAGAAAGTTAACAAAGATATCCAGGAATTGAACTCAGCTCTGCACCAAGCAGACCTAATAGACTTCTACAGAACTCTCCACCCCAAATCAACAGAATGTACATTCTTCTCAGCACCACACCGCACTTATTCCAAAACTGACCACATAGTTGGAAGTAAAGCACTCCTCAGCAAATGTAAAAGAACAGAAATTATAACAAACTGTCTCTCAGACCACAGTGCAATCAAACTAGAACTCAGGATTAAGAAACTCACTCAAAACTGCTCAACCACATGGAAACTGAACAACCTGCTCCTGAATGACTACTGGGTACAAAACGAAAGGAAGGCAGAAATAAAGAGGTTCTTTGAAACTAACGAGAACAAAGACACAACATACCAGAATCTCTGGGATGCATTCAAAGCAGTGTGTAAAGGGAAATTTATAGCACTAAATGCCCACAACAGAAAGCAGGAAAGATCTAAAATCGACACCCTAACATCACAATTAAAAGAACTAGAGAAGCAAGAGCAATCACATTCAAAAGCTAGCAGAAGGCAAGAAATAACTAAGATCAGAGCAGAACTGAAGGAGATAGAGACACAAAAAACCCTTCAAAAAATCAATGAATCCAGGAGCTGATTTTTTGAAAAGACCAACAAAATTGATAGACCACTAGCAAGACTAATAAAGAGAGAAGAATCAAATAGATGCAATAAAAATGATAAAGGGGATATCACCACCAATCCCACAGAAATACAAACTACCATCAGAGAATACTATAAACACCTCTATGCAAATAAACTAGAAAATCTAGAAGAAATGGATAAATTCCTCGACGCATACACCCTCCCAAGACTAAACCAGGAAGAAGTTGAATCTCTGAATAGACCAATAACAGGATCTGAAATTGAGGCAATAATTAATAGCTTACCAACCAAGAATAGTCCAGGACCAGATGGATTCACAGCCGAATTCTACCAGAGGTACAAGGAGGAGCTGGTACCATTCCTTCTGAAACTATTCCAATCAATAGAAAAAGAGAGAATCCTCCCTAACTCATTTTATGAGGCCAGCAGCATCCTGATACCAAAGCCGGGCAGAGACACAACAAAAAAAGAGAATTTTAGACCAATATCCCTGATGAACATAGATGCAAAAATCCTCAATAAAATACTGGCAAACCGAATCCAGCAGCACATCAAAAAGCTTATCCACCATGATCAAGTGGGCTTCATCCCTGGGATGCAAGGCTGGTTCAACATACGAAAATCAATAAACATAATCCAGCATTTAAACAGAACCAACGACAAAAACCACATGATTATCTCAATAGATGCAAAAAAGGCCTTTGACAAAATTCAACAACCTTCATGCTAAAAACTCTCAATAAATTAAGTATTGATGGGACGTATCTCAAAATAATAAGAGCTATCTATGACAAACCCACAGCCAATATCATACTGAATGGGCAAAAACTGGAAGCATTCCCTTTGAAAACTGGCACAAGACAGGGATGCCCTCTCTCATCACTCCTATTCAACATAGTGTTGGAAGTTCTGGCCAGGGCAATTAGGCAGGAGAAGGAAATAAAGGGTATTCAATTAGGAAAAGAGGAAGTAAAATTGTCCCTGTTTGCAGATGACACGATTGTATGTCTAGAAAACCCCATCAACTCAGCCCAAAATCTCCTTAAGCTGATAAGCAACTTCAGCAAAGTCTCAGGATACAAAATCAATGTGCAAAAATCACAAGCATTCTTACACACCAATAACAGACAGACAGCCAAATCATGAGTGAACTCCTATTCAAAATTGCTACAAAGAGAATAAAATACCTAGGAATCCAACTTACAAGGGATGTGAAGGACCTCTTCAAGGAGAACTACAAACCTGCTCAATGAAATAAAAGAGGATACAAACAAATGGAAGAACATTCCACGTTCATGGATAGGAATAATCCATATCGTGAAAATGGCCACACTGCCCAAGGTAATTTATAGATTCAATGCCATCCCCATCAAGCTACCAATGACTTTCTTCACAGAATTGGAAAAAACTACTTTAAAGTTCATATGGAACCAAAAAAGAGACCACATTGCCAAGAGAATCCTAAGCCGAAAGAACAAAGCTGGAGGCATGACGCTACCTGACTTCAAACTATACTACAAGGCTGTAGTAACCAAAACAGTATGGTACTGGTACCAAAACAGAGATACAGACCAATGGAACAGAACAGAGGCCTCAGAAGTAACACCACACATCTACAATCATCTGATCTTTGACAAACCTGACAGAAACAAGCAATAGGGAAAGGTGCTGGGAAACTTAATAAATGGTGCTGGGAAAACTGGCTAGCCACATGTAGAAAGCTGAAACTGGATCCCTTCCTTACAACTTATACAGAAATTAATTCCAGATGGATTAAAGACTTCAATGTTAGACCTAAAACCATAAAACCCAAAAGAAAACCTAGGCAATACCACTTAGGAAATCAGCATGGGCAAGGATTTCGTGACTAAAACACCAAAAGCAATGGCAACAAAAGCCAAATTAGACAAATGGGATCGAATTAAACTAAAAAGCTTCTGCACAGCAAAATAAACTACCATCAGAGTGAACAGGCAACCTACAGAATGGGAGAAAATTTTTGCAGTCTACCCATCAAACAACCCCATAAAAAGTGGGCAAAGGATATGAACAGACACTTCTCAAAAGAAGACATTTATGCAGCCAACAGACACATGAAAAAATGCTCATCATCACTGGCCATCAGAGAAATGCAAATCAAAACCACAATGAGATACCATCTCACACCAGTTAGAATGGCAATCATTAAAAAGTCAGGAAACAACAGGTGCTGGAGAGGATGTGGAGAAACAGGAACACTTTTACACTGTTGGTGGGACTGTAAACTAGTTCAACCATTGTGGAAGACAGTGTGGCAATTCCTGAAGGATCTAGAACTAGAAATACCATTTGACCCAGCCATCCCATTACTGGGTATATGCCCAAAGGATTATAAATCATGCTACTATAAAGACACATGCACATGTATGTTTATTGTGGCACTATTCACAATAGCAAAGAATTGGAACCAACCCAAATGTCCATCAATGATAGACTAGATTAAGAAAATGCAGCACATATACACCATGGAATACTATGCAGCCATAAAAAGGATGAGTTCATGTCCTTTGTAGTGACATGGATGAAGCAGGAAACCATCATTCTGAGCAAACTATCGCGAAGACAGAAAATCAAACAGTGCATGTTCTCACTCATAGGTGAATTGAACAATGAGAACACTTGGACACAGGATGGGGAACATCACACACTGGGGCCTGTCGTCGGGTGGCGGGATGGGGGAGGGATAGCATTAGGAGAAATACCTAATGTAAATGACTAGTTAAAGAGGGCAGCAAACCAACAGGGCACATGCATACATATGTGACAAACCTGCACGTTATGCACATGTACCATAGAACTTAAAGTATAATTTTAAAAAAATGTAAGAGAAAAGAATACCAAAGTTAATTGCAAGGATCCTTAATAAGAACTACTTACATTGGAAGCAAACCACAGAGAATTGTAAGGAGTCATGTGACAGAGAGGACCAGGATGCCAAGAAAATGGACTTGGCTAAAAATAGGTCATTTAACCCTTGGCTGACTGGCATCTCTCTAGATTTTCAGTTATACAATGTTCAATCTGCTGTGCAAGGTAATTCCATCTTGCAAAGGATTTGATGTTACATTCTACCACAAATACAACTGAATTAAACTTTTACGGAATTGGAAATGCAAATAATTGATCAAAATAAATCAAACAAGAAAAGAATAGGAAGGAATAACCAGTGATGGAATATCAAATATGAATGGAAAACAGAATAGGACTGCTAAAAAGAAAAAAAATTTCAGAAGCACATAATAGCCGTGTTATTTAGAATCATAGTGGTGTGCAAATGACTTCTATCACATCTCATTCAATACCAGAGCAAAAGATGTTAAGTTTATTATGTAATGCCCACCAAATAGCTAGCTTTTGAAAAAAACTTGTTTCTCAATTTGAGCTAACCATTTCAGGCTACTGCATCAAACCAAAGTTATTGGCATCATGCTAAGCTAGATGTGTTGACTGAAGTATGAGATTCACACTTTTGTAAATGAAAAGCAATTTGATTAGGCAATGTTTTCCTAAGTGAAAGCAAGTTATTAGAGAAGTAAAGAAACAAAAGAATGGCTACTCCATATAGTGGAGTTTTTGTTTTTTTTTTTTAAGTGTAGGCAAATGTTTAGTGAAGATGATATTTCAATAAGAAAATTGGTGCTTGGGACGTGCTTCCACTAAATTTGAGATATCTTAGACAAAACAAAGTCTTATTTTCAAGACATTATTTTTATCAGACTGAAGTCTTGGAACTATTTGATCTAGTTACTCTATGTTCTCAACTGTGTTAACTAATTGAAAACAACATTGTTATTAAAGGTATTCACAAGAAAAATTCAGAGTTACTGTTGCATATCCTTTCTCTGTTTCAAACTGTTTTCTCCTAAGCACCCAAGGCTCTGTGATGTCTGAAACAGTTAATCATTAATTTTAAAAGATAAGCTTATCGTGGAATTAGAAAAAAAAACTATTTTAAAATTCATATGGATCCAATAAGAGCTCATATAGCAAAGAGAATACTAAGCAAAAAGAACAAAGCTGGAGGCAGCACACTACCCCACTTAAAAGTATACTGTGAGGCTACAGTAAACAAAACAGCATGATACTGGTACAAAAACAGGCACATAGACCAATGGAACAGAATAGAGAATTCACAAAAAAAGTCCGCACATCTACAACCATTTGATCTTCAACAAACCTGACAAAAACAAGCAACGGGGAAAGGATTCCCTATTTAATAAATGGTGATGGGAGAACTGGCTAGCCATATGCAGAAAATTGAAACTAGACCCCTTCCTTACACCTTACACAAAAATTAACTCAAGATAGATTAAAGACTTAAATGTAAAACACAAAATTATAAAAACCCTGAAAGAAAATCTAGGCAATACCATTCAGGACACAGGCATGGGCAAAGATTTTATGATGAAATCGCCAAAAGCATCTGCCACAAAAGCAAAAATTGGCATATGGGATCTAATTAAACAAAAGAGCATCTGCACAGAAAAAGAAACTATCAGAGTGAACAGACACCCTACAGAATGGGAGAAAATTTTTGCAATCTATCTATCTTACAAAGGTCTAATATTCAGAATCTATAAAGAACTTAAGCAAATTTACATGAAAAAAAACTTCATTAAAAAGTGAACAAAGGACATGAAGAGACATTTCACAAAATAAGACGTACATGTGGCCAAAAAAACATGAAAAAAAGCTCAACATCACTGATTACAGAAATGCAAATCAAAACCACAAATGAGATACCATCTAATGCCAGTCAGAATGGCAATTATTTAAAACTACATAAACACCAGATGCTGGCGAGGTTGTGGAGAAATAGGAAGGCTTTTACACTGTTGCTGGAAATGTAAATTGGTTGAACCATTGTGGAAGACAGTTTGGTGATTCCTCAAAGATTTAGAACCAGAAATACCATTTGACCCAGCAATCCCATTACAGGGTATACATCCAAAGGAAAATAAATCACTCTATTATAAAGATACATGCATGTGTATGCTTATTGCAGCACTATCCACAATAGCAAAGACATGGAATCAGCCCAAATGCCCATCAATGATGTACTGCATTAAGAAAATATGGTACATATACACCATGGAATATTATGCAGCCACAAAAAGGAATGAGATTCAGTCCTTTGCAGGGATATGGATGAAGCTGGAAGCCATCCTCAGCAAACTAACACAGGAACAGAAAGCCAAACACCACATGTTCTCACTTATAATTGGGAGATGAGCAATGAGAACACATGGACACAAGGAGAGGAACATCACACACTGGTGCCTGCTGGGGGAGGGCAGTGGTGGGAGGAGTATTAGGAAAAAATAGCTAATGCATGCCAGGGTTAATACATAGGTGATGGTTTGATAGGTGCAGCAAACCACCATGGCACACATTTACCTATGTAACAAACCTGCGCATCCTGCACACATAACCTGGAACTTAAAATTAAATTAAATTAAAAGACAAGCTAAAAGGGTTAACGAAAAATAATTAGATAAAAAAATTTTGATTCTCAAAATCCTGAAACAAGAGTTTTAAATTTGCTTTTAATATATATTCAAATCCTTTAATACTGTTCCCTTCCAGAGATGCTGCTTAATTTCCTCTCTTGAGTGTGGCTTGGACTTAATGATGCATTTCTGATATGGTCTGGCTCTGAGTTCCCACCAAATTCTCATCTTGAATTGTCATGCAAATTGTAATCCCTATGTATCGGGGGAGGGACCTCCTGGGAGGTGATTGGATCACGGGTATGGTACCCCCATGCTGCTCTTATGATGCTGAGGGAATTCTCATGAGATCTGATGGTTTTATGAGGTATTTTTCCCCACTTCGATCTGCAATTCTCTCTCCTGCCACCATGTGAAGAAGGACGTGTTTGCTTCCACTTCTGCCATGATTGTAAGTTTCATGGGGCAGCCTTCTCAGCAATGCAGAACTATGAGTCAATTAAACCTCTTTCCTTTATAAATTACCCAGTCTCAGGTATTTCTTTATAGCAATGTGAGAACGGACTAATACAACTTCTAACTGGTAATGCTGACATAACAGTTTGTGACTCTGGGTGTAGAACATAAAACTCACTGCAGCCTCCCCCTTCTCTCTCAATGTCTCTGGAATCATGAGCTCTGGGGGAAGCCACCTGCTGTGCCATAAGCAGCCCTGAAGGAAGGTCCATGTGGCTGAGAACTGGGGCCTTCTGGGAACAGACAACAAGGAACTAGGGCTTTTCCAACAGCCATGTGACCCATCCATGTTTCATGTGAATCCTCAGTCCCAGTGAAGCACTCAGATGATGCAGGCCTAGGCTGACAACTGGACTGCAACCTTGTGAGAGGCCCTGAGCAAGAAGCACTCAGGGAAACCTCTCCTGGATTCCTGACCATTGGAACCTGCGGGAGATGATGAATATTTGCCATTTTGAGCTGCTAAGTTTTACATAATTTGTTATGCAATAGTAAATAACTAACACATTTTCACAAAAGAGGATGTAGTATTACACATTAATTTGCATTTGCTCTAAATTTATCATTATTATTAATATTATTGTTATTGAGACAGGGTCTCGCTCTGTCGCCCAGGCTGGAGTGCAGTGGCATGATCACCATGCACTGCAGTGTCTACTTCCTGGGCTCAAGGGACCCTCTTATCTCAGCGTCCTGAGTAACTGGGACTACAGGCATGAAGCACCACGCCTGGCTAATTTTCTAAATTTTTTTGTAGAGATGGGGGTTTCTCCATGTTGCCCAGGCTGATCTTCAACATCTGGAGTCAACAAATCTGCCTTCCTCTGCCTTCCACGGTGCTAGAATCACAGGCGTGAGCCACCACACCTGGCCTAAATTAATTATAAGACATTACACATGTAACTTAGTTTTAAAAGGTAAGGAGAATGTCCATGGCTGAAGAGGATGCATTTTATTACCATTCACAATGATCACTTTACTTGAACTTCAATTTCCAACTGTGTCCAAATTAAACACAAAAGGAAGATCCAACCCTTGCTGGGCTGATTCTTTGATGGCCCCCAACAGCCACCTCCCGGTCATTCACTTTCCCCCAGTTATTCAAGCAACTCTAGTGTAGATGCTGCTGTGAAGGGATTTAGCAGATATAACTAAGGGCCTCAATTAGTTGACTTTAGGCTGGGTTTATCCTGCTTTGACTGTCCTAATTAGGTGAGTCCTTGAAAGGTCTGTGTTCTTCCTGAGCATAGAGATTTGCAGTGTGAGAGGGATTCAGCATGAGGGGTTTCCTCTACCGTGGGCTTTGAAAATGAAGAGGCTGTGTAGGAAAGAACACTGTTAGGCACCAGGAATTGAGCACAGCCCTGCCTATTCTCTGTATTGACAGCCAGCAAGGAACAGAAACCTCAGTCTTACAACTGCCAGAAACTGCATTCTGCCACCTCTGTATAAGCCTGAAGGAGGATTCAAAATGAAAACACAGCTTTTGGAAGCCCAGAACAGGGATTCTATCCACATCTTGCCCAGATTTCTGACCAAGGAAGTATAAGCAGATAAATGGGTGTTGTTTTGCCAGTCGTGGTAGTGCACGAATGAATTGATGAATTGATATGCACACTAATTACATAAAATAAAATCTTTAACTTTTTCAGTATTTTACATTTTATAATTTTCTGTGATGCAATTTAATAGACTCATATTTCATTCATTCAGTCAAGAAAAATTAATTTAATCCCTACAATGAACCAGGTGTGCCCTCATATGCTCACGTGCCTGACATTCCAGAAGCTTCACAAGACCAAGGTGGAGCCAGTGGAATGTTTTAGGTGGAGAAATGACACACTCTGACTCACAGGAGCAGGACCACTGTGCAGAGAACAGTCACGTAGCAGGTAATGGGACAGTGCTAGTGTCACAAATAAGGAGTGACAAGGTGGTGGGGACTAAGGGGAGAGGAGGGCCTGAGGGATGAGAGGAATGGAGGGAAGGGCTGGAGATGCAGGAGGTGAGGAAATGGAGCAGAGGGAAAGAATTCGAAAGCAGCAGAACTCAGGTTTAAACACATTGTTTTATATATTTTAATACATCAATCTACAGAGCCTTGCAGGGTGATCTTTGCAGTTGGCCTTTAATACCTTATGTGGGTCTGCCTAAAAACTAATTTTTTTATGTTAATCAGGTTTAAAAAATACTAAGTGTTCATATAAAATATACACAACACTTAGAAGTGGATACTTCCTAAAAACAGGCAGTGCATGAGCACTGGTGAGGGGCATTGTGACTGCATTGAGTGCTTGCCACTGTGAGGTGAATAAAGTCTGTACTGGCTCCTGGTTACAACATATAGTAACACAGTGGCTACCTTGTATTAGGAGATGTCCTGGACTCACACAGAAACTCAGGGCTATGGAATGAAGGTAAATTTAAAATACTACAAGCGGGAGTCACAGATACATTGTCTGGGAAAGTGAAACTTAGGAGCTTTGTGATTCCTGTTGTAATGCTTTTAGACACATTTATATGTCAAGGGACCAAAGTCACATTTTTGGCCAATTAGATTCCTGATCATTAGGAGTTACCAAGATTCTGCTACCCACTGTAGTTAATAAACAAAAAGCAAACTGGTCTCTATTCTATCTCATGCACTCAGGCACAACTTTTCCAGATTTAAAAAACAAACAAACAATAACAACAAAAAACCCTGTCTCTACACCTCCATTCCCAGGGCAAGCTCACTCTCTGGCAACAAGCTCCCTGGAGTGATTTTTCTTCTAGAAGAGTCCACGGGGACAGGTAAGGAGTAGGAGGCAGGGAGTCCAGTTCTGGGACGGGGATTCCGTGATGCAAAGTGAAGAGAGAGGAACGGGGCCCATTTCGAGGGTTTCTCCCTGGTTTCTCAGACAGCTCCTGGGCCAAGACTCGGAAACGTTGAGACAGAGCGCTTGGCACAGAAGTAGCGGGGTCAGGGCGAAGTCCCAGGGCCTCAGGCATGGCTCTCAGGATCTCAGGCCCCAAAGGCGGTGTATGGATTGGGGAGGCCCAGCGCTGGGGATTCCCCATCTCCGCAGGGTTTCTCTTCTCCCTCTCCCAACCTGTGTCGGGTCCTTCTTCCTGGATACTCACCAGGCTGCCCCAGTTCTCACTCCCATTGAGTGTCGGGTTCCTAGAGAAGCCAATCAATGTAGCCGCGGTCCCGGTTCTAAAGTTCCCACGCACCCACCGGGACTCCGATTCTCCCCAGTCGCCGAGGATGGTGTCATGGCGCCCCGAACCCTGCTTCTGCTGCTCTCGGGGGCCCTGGTCCTGACCCAGACCTGGGCAGGTGAGTGCGGGGTCGGGAGGGAAACGGCCTCTGTGGGGAGTAGCTAGGGGCCTGCCCGGCGGGGGCTCAGGAACCCGGTTGCGGTGCCGGGAGGAGGGTCGGGAGAGTCTCAGCCCCCTCCTTGCTCCCAGGCTTCCACTCCTTGAGGTATTTCCACACCACCATGTCCCGGCCCGGCCGCGCGGATCCCCGCTTCCTCTCCGTGGGCGACGTGGACGACACGCAGTGCGTGCGGCTCGACAGCGACGCCACGAGTCCCAGGATGGAGCCGGAGGGGCCGGAATATTGGGAAGAGGAGACAGGGACCGCCAAGGCCAAAGCACAGTTTTACCGAGTGAACCTGCGGACCCTGAGCGGCTACTACAACCAGAGTGAGGCCTGTGAGTGACACCGGCCGGGGGCGCAGATCACTACCCCTCTACATCCCCCACGGACCGCCCGGGTCTCCCCGAGTCTCTGGGTCCGAGATCCACGCCGAGGCAGCGGAACCTGGAGACCCTTTACCCGGGAGAGGCCCAGGAGCCGTTACCCGGTTTCATTTTCAGCCAAAATCCCCGCAGGTTGGTCCTGGCGGGGGCGGGGCTCGGTGGGCGGGGCTGGCCGCGGGGGCGGGGCCAGGGTCTCACACCCATCTAGAGGATGTCTGTCTGCGACGTGGGGTCGGACGGGCGCCTACTCCGCGGGTATCACCAGCTTGCTTACGATGGCAAGGATTCCATCGTCCTGAACGAGGACCTGTGCTCCTTGACAGCCGCAGACACGGCGGCTCAGATCACCCAGCTCAAGTGGGAGGCGGCCCGGGGGGCGGAGGTTCATCCTCACAGGGATAGGCACCTATTAGATGTGGTGTGGTTTTCCTCTCTACTCTTAGACCCTCAGCCAGTATCACTATTGGCATTCCTGAGCCACTGGCTCAGAATTTCAGTACATTATCTGCCCGCGGGACACACCTCAGAGGGAAGGGGATGAAGCGTGGGCCATGATGACCATGGAATCCCCTGGTCTTATCACCACCTGCACCTCCCAGGGGCTGCCAGCCACACAGAGTCATGGACAGGTCTCTACAGACACAACTTAGTGCCAGCTTGGATGAAACCCTCTGAGGAATGGCTGCCATCTTTCAGGATGTGGTGCATGTATTGAATCAAAGATGTCTCTATAGTGCTGTGTTTACAGAAGGAAGAATACGTGGGTCCAAAAACCAAGAAGTAGAAGCAGGTGTGGCTCCATATCTAAACCCTTATATTCACCTTCAGGGTGATTTTGCACTTCTCATCTCCAATATCTGGGCTCTGTAGGGGAGGAGGTCCTGGTTTCCCAAAGGGGGCACCCTGGCAAGGAGACATTTAAATGAGAGTCCATGGAACTACACCTTATGGCTGCCCCCAGGGATGTTTGAATAGTATGTGTCCAGACACAAGAAGGTGAGAAGAGGAGGAGGCAGGGCTGCTATCACACAAGGAGGGCAGGAGATGTGTGTGTGGAAATAAGAGATCCACTTGGAGACCTTATGGTTCCCCTTGTCCTGTTGTAAGTGTGAGCAGAATCATCCAGCAACCCAGCCTGAGAGGGTTTCATATTCAAGAGCCCAGAACCCTCAGGAAGGAAGGATTGAGCGATACTCATAGGTAATGTCCCAAGGCTGTGCTCCTGTGCTCTGACATCCTCAGCAGGATTGGTGCAAAGCCCTGCTTCCCATGGGCTGTTCCCAGCCAGTGACTGGTCACAGCAGGCGTTAAGGCAAGCCATTCCTGGGAGACACGGGACTCCTCTGATGGCCAACTGTAGCTGGAAGGCTCCTCCACGGCCTTGCTCAACTCTCCTTAGATTGCCTGTGCTCTAGGATGCGTCGAACAAACTTTCTCTCCTTCTGTCCAGCACTTGGGGTCACACTTGCATCGTGGTCTGCCGCCTTTTCCAGGGATTTCTGGCTCACTTCCCATATTCCCTTACGGGTGTGTCCCCTCATAAGATGTCGCAGACTTTAAGCTCATCTTGGCATCTGCTCCTTGAAGGACTTGGACTAAAAATTATTTCCATCTGCATATCAATAACTCTTATTCCAACCTGTAAAATCCTTCTCTTTATCCAACTTCTGCCACCCCCACAGAATCTATTTTACTTGTGTGTGTAGTATCTCTTTGAGTTAACAGATATTTGTTCTATTAAGCTACTAAATTTTGAGGTAGTTTGTGACACAGCACTAGATAACTATTAAGGCTTTCTTAAGTTTCCATTTTCCATGGATATTATCTACATATCTTTTAATCCCTTGCATTTTAATAACATTAGCTATACTTGCTGTTTCCAACTCTTTCCTCCTATTTTTGAACATTTTCAAATTTTGTCTTTCTCTGTCCTTCCTTCCTTCTTTCCTCCTTTCCTCCCTCAGAGCTTTCTCCCTCCCTCCATTTTTTTTCATAAACTCCAAGTGTTTAGGCCAAAAGGAAGCATTATTTGAACTTTATGCTAAAAGTATAATGCCGTAATTTATAATATAAAAGTAAAGAAAAGGAAGTTGTTAATGGAATATGAAAAAATGCCTAGGGTGATTCTATAGCCAAGACAGTACCTTTTAACATTTAATTTCTGTCTCCAACTGAATGTTTTCAGAACACATGAGCAACACAAGCTCTTTCCCATTCTTGGTACAAGCACTTGAGAAATCAAATTAGCCTTATCTAGTATGATTAATGTCCATACATCATATAATCCCACCATCTGCCTCCTGATCATACCCCCTGGGGACATTCTTGGCTATGTGTCCAGGAGACATGTACACCAATGTTTATGGCAAAAACTAGAAACAATCACATATACATCAATGGGAATTAACAAAATTGTCGTATAATAATAAAAAGTAAAACTTCAGCAGCAACAGTGAATGAACAGCACCCTCCCACATCAGAGATAACTCTCCTACACATAACATGCATCAGCATCACAGAAGAATGCACATTGTGTGAGTTCTCTGTACGGGGAAGTTTAAAAAAGCAGGTCAAACTGTGATTTGGATATATATATACTTATTGTAAAAATCTTTAGAGACAATGAAAAGGAATAGTAAATACAAGACTCAAGATAGAAGTTCCTTTTGGGGAATAGAATTGGACAACAGCCGAGGGTGGCTTCATAGGTTTTGTTTTTTATGCCAGGAGGGGATGTCCAGGTAGTTAAGTTACTTGATCATAAATCTTTATTTATTTATTTATTTATTTATTTTCGAGATGGAGTCTCCCTCTTGTTGCCCAGGCTGGAGTGCAGTGGCGTGATCTCAGTTCACTGCAACCTCCGCCTCCCAGGTTCAAGCAATTCTCCTACCTCAGCCTCCTGAGTAGCTGGAATTATAGGCATCCACCACGACACCCAGGTAATTTTTGTATTTTTAGTAGAGACGGGGTTTCACCATATTGTCCAGGTTGGTCTCAAACTCCTGACCTCAGGTGATCCACCAACTTCGGCCTTCCAAAGTGCTGGGATTACAGACATGAGCCACCATTCCCGGCCCACAAATCTTTAAAGTGTCATTTTTCAAAATGCACCTTGTGTGCCATTCCTGACTGATTATTTGGAAATGAAAGAGAAAAGAAAATACCAAAGTTCATCTCAAGGATCCTTAGCAATAACTACACACGTTAAAACAAAGCCACAGCCAATTGTAAAGAGTCATGTGACAGAGAGGACCAGGATCTCATGAAAAATAGCCTTGGCTAGAAAGAGGTCATTTGACCCTGGGCTAATTGGCAACTCTCTACATTGTCTGGCATACAGTGTTCAATCTGATGTGCAAGGCAATTGTATCTTGCAAAGAATTTGAGAATTTGATATGTTGCTCACATTTTACCACACATACAAGTGGATTAAACTTTTACACAGTAAAAAAAAAAGCATTGTTGAGCAAAATAAATTAAATGAAAAGACATAAAGGAATAACTAGTGATGAAATAGCAATAAGAATGGAAAACATGAAAGAGATGCTTGTACAGCAATGATAGCAGCACAAAAGAACAGTGTTTTTCAGAATCATACTGGAGTCCAAATCACTTCTACTACATCTAATTTAAAAACACAGTGAAAGATGTTAAACTTTCATAGGATGCCCACTGAATAGCCAGTTATTGAAAAATCTTGTTCCTAGATTGGAGTAAACAATTTCTGCCTACCCTAGCCAAACAAATTATTGTCATGATGCTAAGCTAGTGTATAGACAGAGGTGTGAGATTCACATTTTTCTAGCTGCAAAGCACCCTGATTAGGCAAATATTTTTGTAGATGCTTGAGTAAGAAAATTGGCATTTTGGGCATTCTTAAACCGAATTAGAAACTTCTGAAGAGAAACAAACATAGTTACGATTGTAAAGGCATTATTGTATGGCACCAAAGTCTTGGGACACTTTAATTTAGCTACTGTATTTTCTCAACTCTGTTGCAACTTATCAAAGAGAACATTAATATTAAAGGCATTTACAAAAAAAATCTGAGATATTGTTGTATCTTCTTTCTCTGTCTCAAATATTTAATCAACTTTACAGAAGAGAATTTTAAAGTATTAAAAAAAGTCAGATACAAGAAGTATTTGATTTACAAAACCCTGAAACAATAATGTTAATTTTGCTTTTAACATGTTTATAAATTCTTTGATACTCCTCCTTTCCAGAAGTGCAGCTTCATTCCCTCCCTGTTCGTGTAGCCTGGACTTAATGACTCACTTCTAACTGATAGAGTAATGCTGACTTAATAGTTTGTGATTCTGGGTGTAGAACATAAGACTCACTGAAGTTTCTACTTTGGTTCTTTCTTTCTCTGGAATCATGAGCCCTGGGGGAAGCTGGCTGTTGTGTCATAAGGAGGCCTGTGGTCCATGTGACTAGGAAGTGAGTCCTCCTGGGACCAGACAATAAGAAGCTAAAGCCTCTTCCAAAAGCCATGTGAGAGATTCTTGTGTCTTGTGAATCCCTGGCCCCATTTGAGCCCTCAGGTGATTCAGCCCTGGAAGACAACTAGACTGCAACTTTGTGAGAGGCCCTGAGCCAGAAGCATTCAGAGAAACTTCTCCTGGATTCCTGACCATGGATAACTGTGGGAGATGATAAATATTTGTTGATTTGAGCTGCTAAGTTGTAGGTGACTTGTTATGCAGCAGTAGATAACTAATACAGCTTCACAAGAGAGGATGAATCACTGAACTTTTTCATTTGCTCTAAATTCATTATAAGATATTAAACATGTCATTTGCTTTTAATATTTAATAAAAATTTCCATGGCTATATAAGATATATTTTATTATCATTAACAATGATCTATTTTTTGATCTTCAACTTGTATGTTCTATTTAAACATGAAAGGAAGATCCAGGCTATGCTAGGCTGATTCTATGATGACACCCCAATAACCACCCTTGGTTACTCAGGTTACCCCAGTTACTCAGTTGACACTAAAGCAGGTGCTGCTGTGAAGAGGTTTTGCAGATATATTTAAAGTCCCCAGTCAGTTGACTTTAAGATGAGGATTATCCTGCTTAGACGGTCCTAATCAGGTAAGCTCTGAAAAGGATTGGGTTCTTCCTGAGAATAGAGACTCACAGTGTGAGAGGGATTCAGCGTGAGGGGCTTCCTCCGCTTTGGGCTTTGAAAATGGAGGGATCATGGGGAAAGAACACTGGTGGCCAATAGGAATTAGAAGCCCTCCCCACTGTCTACTCTGATAGCCCGAAGGAAACAGGGACCTTAATCCTACAATTGCCAGAAACCGAATTCTGCCAACAAACTCTACACAAGCTTGGGGGAGAACCCCAATCTTAAGATGAGGATACAACTTTGCGAAACTCTGAACAAAGAGTCTATCACGTTAGGCCTGGATTTCTGATGAAGGAAATGTAGACAAATAAATGGGTGCTGTTTTCAGCCACTAAGTTTGTGGTAATTGGTTATGTACTGCCAGGAAATAAATAAACAGATTCAAAGGATAAGTATATGACATTTTCTCCACCGGAATGAATTCATGAACTGATATGCATAGTAGTTGCATAAAACCAAATATTTCCTAACTTGCTTTGCATTTTCCATTTCATGATTTTTGTGTGATACAATTTTGAACACAATTATATTTCATTCATTCATTCAACAAAAATTAACTTAGTGCCTACTATGTGGCAGATATACTTTTATATTCTGTAGATACAACTTTGATCAAAACAACCCAAAGCCCCTGTGCTTGTGCCTTCCATTCTAGAGGCTTCTTGAGAGTAAGATGGAGCCATTAGAGGCTTTTAAGTGAAGAAATGAAACAATCTGACTCACATTAGCAGGATTGCTGACCTTTGTGGGGAGAACAGTCATGGGCAGCAGGCAAGGGACAGAGCTAGGGCCAGGGACAGAGCTAGGGCCACAATTCAGTAGTGACAGAGTAGTAGAGACTAAGGGGAGAGGAGGGCCTGAAGGATGACAGGAACAGAGAGAAGGGCTGGAGAAGCAGGAGGTGAGGTAAAGGAACAGAAAGAATTCTAAAGCAATGGAATTCTCAGACTTAAATACAGTGTTTTATAGATTTTTAATGCATTTATCCGCAAAGCCTGGCACAGTGTTACTTGCACCTTGGTCTTTAATGCATTCTGTGGGGCTGTCTAAAACCTAATTGCCTCTCTAAGATAAAAAGGTTAAAAAAGGCCGGGCACGGTGGCTCACGCCTGTAATCCCAGCACTTTGGGAGGCCGAGGCGCGTGGATCACAAGGTCAGGAGATCGAGACCATCCTGGCCAACATGGTGAAACCCCGTCTCTAATAAAAAATTACAAAAAAAATTAGCCGGGCGTGGTGGCGGTCGCCTGTAGTCCCAGCTACTTGGGAGGCTGAGGCAGGAGAACGGCGTGAACCCGGGAGGCGATGCTTGCAGTGAGCGAGATTGCACCACTCCAGCCTGGGCGACAGAGCGAGACTCCGTCTCAAAAAAAAAAAAAAAGGTTAAAAAAGAATACCAAATGTCTCAATAAAATATACACATAGCTTAGATGTGAATAATTCATAATAATAGGCAAGTGCATGGGCCGGCCATTATAGCTCATGCCTGTAATACCAGCATTTTGGGAGGTTGAGGCGGGAGGATTGCTTGAGCCCAGGAGTTCAAGACCAGCCAGAGCAATTTAGGGAGACCTCATCTCTACAAATATTATTTTTAGAAAAATTAGCCAGGAGTGGTGGCACAAGCCTGTGGTGCCAGCTACTTGGGAGGCTGAGGGAGGAGCATTGATCACATGAGCCAAGGAGGTCGAGGCTTCAGTGAGTCATGAGCGTGCCACTGCACTTTAGCCAGGATAACAGAGTGACGCCCTGTCTGTAAATAAATAAAAAATAAAAAAATTAATAATAAAGGGAGTGCATGAGCACTGGCGAAGGGCACTTTGGCTGCATTAAGCACTTGCAATTCTGAGGTAATTAAATTCTGTACAGGCTCCTGGTTGCAATATACGGTAATACATTGTGCTTTGTATTGAGATGTCCTGGACTCGCACACACAAACTCAGAGCTATGAAATAAAGATACTGTAAAAATACAACAGACCAGAGTCACAGATACACAGTCTAGGAAAGTAAAACTTCACTTTGTGAGTCTAATTGCAATGCGTTTAGACATATTTATATATAGTGGGGCCAAAAATCATCTCTTTTACAAATTAGATTCGTGACCATTCAGGGGCTACCAAGATTGTGCTACCCACTGTAGCACAATCGGAGACCCACCCCGAGGCTGCGAGACTCGTGGAGACCCTCGACACAAGAACCCCAGGTGCCTATACCCGATTCCATTTTCAGTTCAGGCCCAAATCACCGGGGGATTGATCGGGGCAGAGGAGGAGCTCAGTGGCTGAGGCTCAGTGGCTGAGGCTGACCGCGGGCTTGGGGACAGGGTCTCCCACCTCCAGTGGATACACAGCTGCGACCTGGACCCGGACCGGAGCCTCTTCGCGCGGGGATGAACATACCCTACGATGGCGCCAGTTACCTCGTCCTAAACCAGGAACTGCTCTCTTGGACCGCAGCGGACAAGGCGGCTCAGATGTTTTGGAGGAGGAACATGCAGAGCTGCTCAAAACCTACCTGCCCGGAAGGTGGGCGGAGTGGCTCAGCAAAGGCCTTAAGAATGAGGAGAGTCTGCAATGCGCAGGTACCAGAGGCCACGGGGCGCTTCCCTGATCTCCTGCAGATATCCCTGAGCCACCTTCCAAAAGAAGGGAGGAAAATGGGACCAACGCTAAAATATCCCTCTCCCTCTTGTCCTGAGGCAGAAGAGTCCTCCTGGGTTTCTAAATCCTATACCAGAGAGTGACTGAGGGCCCGCCCTGCACTCTGGGACAATTAACGGATGAAGTCTCTGCGGGAAAGGAGGGGAAGACAATCCCTGGAATACTGATACGCGGTCCCCTTTGACCCCCCAGCAGCCTTGGGCACCAGGAATTTTCCTCTCAGGCCTTGTTCTCTGCCTCATACTCAATGCGTGTGGGGGTCTGATTCCAGCTCTTCTGAGTCCCTCGGCCTCCACTCAGGTCAGGACCAGAAATCTCTGTTTCCGCCTCAGACACTAGAACTTTCCAAGGAATAAGAGATTATCCCAGGTGCCTGTGTCCAGAATGCTGTCTGGGTTCTGTGCTCCCTTCCCCACCCCAGGTGTCCCGTCCATTCTCAGGATGGTCACATGGGTGCTGTGTCTCATGAGGAATGCAAAGTGCCTGAATTTTCTACCTCTTGCCCTCAGATCCCCTGAAGGCACAGGTAACCCACCACCCCATCTCCAACTATGAGGCCACGCTGAGGTGCTGGGCCCTGGGCTTCTACCCTCTGGAGATCACACTGACCCAGGAGCGGGATGGGGAGGACCAAATTCAGGATGCAGAGTTTGTGGAGACCAGACTTGCAGGGTACAGAACCTTCCAGAAGTGGGCAGCTGCAGTGGTGTCTTCTGGAGAGAAGCAGAGGTACACATGCCATGTGCAGCATGAGGGGTTGCCTGAGCCCCTCACACTAAGATGGGGTAAGGAGACGAATGAGAGGTCATGTCTCTTCTCAGGCAAAGCAGAAGTCCTTCTGGAGCCTTTAAGCAGGGTCAGGGCTGAGGCCTGGGGGTCAGGGCCCCTCACGTTCACCTCCTTTCTTAGAGCTGTCTTCCCAGCCCATCATCCCCGTTGTGGGCATCATTGCTGGCCTGGTTCTTCTCGTTGCTGTATTCACTGTAGCTGTGGTCGCTGCTGTGATGTGGAGGAATAAGATCCCAGGTAGGAAAGGGGTGAGCTCTGAGTTTCCTTCTTCCATTGGTGGATTTCAAGCCCCAGGTAGGAGTTGGCTCATATCTTGCCTAGTTGTGAGGCACCATCTCCACACACATTTACCCTGTTCAGAGGCCCTGTCTATCAACACTTAATCTTTTGTAAAGCACCTGTGAAAATGAAGGACAAATTTATCACCTTGATTGTGGTCATGGGAACCTGACTCCCAGCAGTCACAGGTCAGGGGAAGGTCCCTGCTGAGGACAGACCTCAGGAGGACAACTGGTCCAGCCTCAACACATCCTCTTCCCTTGGGTTTTCTGATCCTGACCTGGGTCTGTAGTCACAGTTCTGGAAACTTCTCTAGGATCTCATGCCCTGCCTCCTCCCTGGCCTCTCACAGTTTGTTTTCTTTCCACAGATGGAAAAGGAGGCAGTTATGCTCAGGCTTCATGTAAGTGTGGTAGGGGTGGGAAGAGTGATCCCTGAGATCCTTGGGATAGTGTAGACAGGAGCCCATGGGGGAGCTCAGCCACCCCAAAATTCCTCCTTTAGTCACATCACCTGTGGGCTCTGACCAGATTTTGTTTTTGTTCCACCCCAAACAGGAACAGTACCCAGGGCTCTGATGTGTCTCTCACGGCTTGTAAAAGTGACACCTTAGAGGGCCTGAAGTGAAAGAGGAGTTGGGCAGAGGGGACACAACTAAGCTCTGGAGATTCTTTGATTTGGAATTTTTCAAGGTGTGGTGGGCTGTTCAGTGTCACAACTTACTGTGACTGACCTGGATTAGTTTATGACTATGTTTTTTCTAAGATTGCCTTGTGAGGGACTGAGATGCAAGATTTGTTCATGCCTCCTCTTTGTGACATTAAGGGCCTCTGGCTTCTCTTTCTGCCAAAGCATCTGAATGTGTCTATGTCTACAGTAACAGGTAAGAAATGGGAGACCAGCCCATCCTCATGTCCACCATGACCCCTGATATTGTTTGGATCTGTGTCCCCACCCAAATCTCATGTTCAATTGTAATCCCTAATTTTGGAGGTGGTGTCTGGTGGCAGGTGATCGGCTCATGAGGATGGATCCTTCATGAACGGTTTAGAACCATCTCTTTGGTGCTATTCTTGTGATAATTCTCATAAGATCTGGTGTTTAAAAATCTGTGTCACCTCCCTGCTCTCTCTCCCTCCTGCTCCAGGCATGTAAGTAATGTCTGCTTCCCCTTAGCCTTCCAGCATAATCGAAAGTTCCCTGAGGCCCTCTCATAAGATGAGCAGATGCCAGAATCATACTTTCTGTATAGCCTGCAGAACCATGACCCAATTTAAACCTCTTTTCTGTTTTTGTTTTGTTTTTGTTTTTTGAAGGAAAATTTATATTATTTTAATTATTTTTACATACAGAAAACTCAACAGCATACATTTCACCCAATTTAGTGGCATGTTCTTTACCCTTTGCCTTTTTGAGCTTGGCAATGCAAACCACATACTTGAGACCCAGGACACTGTCTCCCCAGTGACGGCGGATCTCATCATATCTGTCATTGTAATTGGTCCTGAGAACTTCCACCAGCTTAGCCAAAGCACCTTTGTCTTCCGAGTTAACCTGTGTGAAGGTGACAGTGGTGCAGGTCTTCCTATGGACTAGATGTCCCAGTCTTGCCTTCCCTTTGATAATGCAGTAAGGGACCCCATTTTATGACACAGGACAGGCAAGAAGACAACCAGCTTGATGGGATCTACATCATGTGCAATCACCACCAGCTGAGCTTTCTTGTTCTCCACCAAGGTGGTGATGGTGTTAACTCCTGCTCGAAGGACAGGTGGACTCTTAGTGGGGAATGTCCCCTTTGCCAGCAGCTTTCTTCTTGGCCCAGGCCAACAGCCTCTGCTTCTTCTCTTGGTTTGTCTCTGGTCTGTATTGTGGGCCAGCTTAAGCAGCAGAGTAGCTGTTTGGCTGTCTGGTGCCTGGGTGAACTGGTTAATCTCAGGAGGCACTTTCAGCCACTTATAGAGGATGGTTCTCTGCTGCTGCAACCTGATATAGCAGGGCCATTTCACAAAGTGGGTGAGGTCTCTTTTGGGCTGGATATCCTGTCCAGTGCCAAGATTCTTAGGCCTTTTCTCAAACAAGGGATTTACCACTTTCTTGGCCTCCTGCTTCTTCACGACAGCAGGGGCTGGAGCCACCTTCTTCTCCTTGGCCTTCTTTCCTTTTGGCATCTTGGATGGTGGGAGGAGAAAGAAAGAAACCTATTTTGTTTATAAATTACCCAGTCTCAGGTATTTCTTTATAAAAGTGTGAGAATGAACTAATTCAGAAAATCGGTACCAGGAGTTGGGTATTACTATAAAAATTGTTGAAAATGTGGAAACGGCTTTGGAACTGGGTAACAGGCAGAGGTTGGAAGAGTTTGGAGAGTTCAGAAGACAAGAAAATGGGGGAAAATTTGCAACTTCCTAGAGATTTGTTAAGCTGTTGTGACCAAAATGCTGATAGTGATATGGACAATGGAGTCCAGGCTGATAAGGTCTCACATGGAGATGAGGAACTTATTGGGACCTAGAGGAAAGGTCACTTTTGTTATGCATTGGCAAAGAACTTGGAGGCATTGTTCCCCCTCCCTAGGGATCTGTAGAACTTTGAACTTGAGAGTGATGTATAAGGGTATCTGGTGGAAGAAATTTCTAAGCAGCATAGCATTCCAGATTTGGCCTGCCTGCTTGTAATAGCCTATGCACATATGTGTGAGCAAAGACATGACCTGAAACTGGAACTGATATTTAAAGGGGAAATTTAATATCCAGGACAATTCCTAGTGGAGCTGCAGGAACAGGACCCCTGCCAAAACTACTAAATCATAGAGCCACTGGCAATATGCAAGCTCAGCCTGGAAAAGCCATAAGCATTCAATGTTCACCCATGAGAGCAGCTATATGGATTATGTTCACCAAAGCCACGGATATGAGGCTGAAGATGGCATTGTGAGTCCATTGCTTGCAGCAGCCAGTGTGCTCAGGGTTCAAGATATAGAGTCAAAGGAGATTATTTTAGAGCTTTAAGTTTTAATGTCTGCCATGATGAGTTTCAACCTTGTGAGGACACTGCATTCATTTCTTTTGGCCCATTTATTTCTTTTGGAATGGAAATGTATAGGAAATGTCTCTACCACTGTTGTATTAATATTTTAGAAGTAAATAACTTTTTTTAATTTTACAGGTGCACAGCTATAAGAACTTACCTTGAGTCTCAGATGAGACTTTGGAATTTAGAGTTGATGCTGGATCAACCCAACACATTTTGGACAATTGGGAGAAGATTATTGTCTTTTGCAATGTGAGAAGAATGTGAGCTTTGGCTGGCTAGGGACAGGATGCAATGATATAAATATTTATCCCCAGATACCTCATGTTAAAATCTGATCCCCAATGTTGGACTTAGGGCCTAATGGGTGGCGTTTGGGTCTTGGGGGCCAATCTTTTATGAACAGAGAGATACTGCCCTCTCTCGGGAGTCAATGAATTGTTGCCCTATTAGTTTCCAAAAGAGCTAGTTGTTAAAAGAGTCTCGCACCTTCCTACTCCCTCTGTTCCTCTCTTACCACGTGACTTCTGCACATACCAGCTCCCCTTTGCCTTCTGCCATGAGTGGAAGCAGCCTGAGGCCCTCGCTAAATGCTCAAACATTTCCAGACATCAGAATCCTGAGCCAAATGAACCTTGTTTATATAAATTAGTCAGTCTCAGACATTTCTTTATAGCAACACAAAACGGAATAAGACAACCCTCTCATCATAGGTATGTGTCTGTGGCAGCCAGCCCCCATTCTCAAGGTATCCAGGATCCACTCAGCCAAGAGTCCTTTCCTCAGTATTCTAAAGACACTCTAATCACTCAAGAGATTCTAAGGTTTTTAGGAGAAACCAGGGACAAGACTAAATGTTTTTGTGATAACTCATATTATCCCCTTTTCTTTGACCACATATTTTTCATACGAAAAGGATTATAACAGTAAAGAAGCATTGGCATATTATCCAAGTCTCATTCGGTCATTCAAAATTAGGCCAGTTTATCATCCTCTTGTATGAATATGTCTCCCAGAATGACATCACTCAGCTTTGCAGACACCACTCAATCTTAACAGGTTCCAAAAACAAGAATGGTCTCAGGGACACACAGCTTCACCCTTTTAGGCATCCAGTATAGTTGACCTAAGAGACAACATCTCTTGCTCACACCACTTTTGAGGAGATAAGCTAATATTGAATTTTCCTCATTACATAACCCTTTGATTTATTCACCTACCCTCAGCCACTATTCCTCCTTCTGTCCCTTTATATCAGTCTTTTCCAGTTCTAGAAGTGACATTAGGTTTGGCTGCTGTGCTGGCCTAGACTGCATGCAGCAACAGTATTCTACCATGTCTTCTCTTAATCTACTCTTGATCATAGACGGTAGGTTACATAGGTTAGGAACTAGTGCAGGCTATCTGACCACCAGTCTACGTAGCTCTACTTACAGTTAATCCCGACTTTGCCAGATGAAATGAAGGCACAGCGCAATCCTTGATTTGCTTGGGAATTCTTACATAAAGGTATAAAAATATAGTTATGGTTTTTTCCTTAGGGATAATTCCTGTTTCTGGCAGTTCGATTTGCATCCCTGTTCCTGGTACCACTGCACCCTGTGTAAAAAAAGAAATAAGAAATGAAGTGTAGTCATTATTCCAGCATCCTCCCCTTAAGAAGAATTGTATGTACAGTCATAACAGCATCACCCTGATCCATCAGGAAAAAGAGAGGAAGCTACCTAGTGGAGTCAGTTTCGCAGCTCCACCCATGTTGACAGTAAGCACATTCATGAAGATATAAAAGCCAGTCCTTCATGTTTATATTGCCCAACAATTATATTGGCAGTTTTTAGACAATTAGACAACCAATGTTTCAACTGACTATTTCTTTTTTTTTTTTTTGAGATGGAGTCTCACTCTGTCGCCCAGGCTGGAGTGCAGTAGTATGATCTCGGCTCATGCAACCTCTGCCTCCCAGGTTCAAGCAATTCTACTGTCTCAACCTCCCAAGTAGCTGGTAATACAGGCGCCCACCACCACACGCAGCTAATTTTTGTATTTTCAGTAGAGACGGGGTTTCACCATATTGGTCAGGATAGTCTCAAACTCCTAAACTCAGGTGATCCGCCCGCCTCGGCCACCCAAAGTGCTGGGATTACAGGCATGAGCCACCGCGCCTGGTCAGCCATTTCAATATTCTATCAAAGTTTCCCCTGAATAGTACATTTCCCTGTGCATTGTTGGCTTTTTAAGGCTGTAAAGTGTGTTTTCTTGTGTAAAGAAATGTGACTCAACAGTCCAAATTGGTGTAATCTCCATTTTTCTGGTTCTTGTATAGCCCTTGAAGCATTGACATCTACCCCTGGTTGAACATAGCCCAATCCAGAGTCAGTGACTTCCCTGTCAAGATCCATTGGCAGCTCCTTTGGGGTTGCTGGCATTAGTCTGGCTTGCCAGCTATGAATGATCAAAGCTTCCCACTACAGAATCTGTCACAGAGCTGCCTCTGTCTGTTTTCTTGACCAAAAGTCAAAACAGACAGTACGAGAAATGAGATAAATTACCAAAATTGTGAACACAAGAGAGAGTATCACTAATGACCCTTTAGAAGTTAAAAATCATTATAAGTTAATACTCTGAAAAACCTGAAGCCAATCAGTTAGACCACTTAGATAAAATGGACAGATTTATACAAAGATAGAAATTGCTGAAACTGACTCAAAAATAGATAGAAAATCTGAAGAGAACTGTACACTAAGACAGTAATTTTAAAACCTTCTCACAAAGAAATGCCAAAGCCCAGATATCTTCACTGGTGAATTCTATCAAATATTTCAAAAGCTCTTTCAGACAAGAAGAGAGGAGGCAAGACTTTCTAGCTCATTTACAGAACTGACATTACCCTAATATCAAAGTCAGAGCAAGACTGACAAGAAAAGAATACCATAGACCAGTGTCACCAATAAACATAAATGAAAACATCCTTAACAAACATTGGCAGACAATAGAAAGCCACGTAAAAAAGGATTACATTCCATGACCAATGGGATTCATCCCAGGAATATATGGCTGGATTAACAATTAGAAATCAATTAATGGAATGCACTGTAGTAAGGGAATAAAAGACATAATTATCTCAAAAGATACAGAAGAAACAGTTGACAAAAATGTTAACACCACTCATGTTCATAAGTTTCAACAAAATAGGAATGGAGGGGACCTTCCTCACCCTGATAAAGGGCATCTATAAAAAACCCACAACTAAAATCATGCTTGCTGAAGAAAGACTGAATGCTTTTCTCCTAAGATGGAGATCAATGCAAGGATGTCCAATCCAACACTTCTATTTAACATTGTACTGGAGATTGCAGCTGGTGCAATAAGGCAAATAATTAAAAGTTAAAGGCATCCAGATAAAAAGGAAAACATAAAACTCTATTCACAGATAACATGACCTTGTCTGTAGAACTCACAAGCAGATAAAAGCCTGCTAGCACTAAAAAATGAATCCAGAAGCTCCCATAGGATATAAACTCAAATTAAAAATTATTAACATATTTCTCTATACAAGCAATTAAAATCTAAACTTTCCTATCACAGTAGTTACAAAAAGAGAGAAACAGGAATAAATTTAGGAAGACAGCAGAGTTTGTTTGTTGAAAACTACAAAACATTACTGAGAGAAATTAAAGGTCTAAATTCATGGATAGATGCGGTTGGAAAGCTCAATAATATTGTTAAGATGGCAATTCTCCACCAAGAGATCTATAGGTTCTGTACAATCTCTATCAAAACCCCAGCAGGCATTTTATGGAAAATTGACAATTTAATCCTAAAAATGTATGTGAAAATGCAGAGGATGCAGAAAAGCCAACGCAAATTTGAAAAAAAATGGAATGTCATATAAAACTACAATAATCCAGACAGTGTGAAAGCGAGAGACACAGAGATTAATGAACAGAAGTGAGAATCTAGAAAGACATTCTTACATTTTTTTGTCAATTGATCTTCAATGAAGTTGCATAGGTAATATGATGTGACACTTATCGCCATATAAAATATAAGCTCAAACAAATTAGAGACCTAAACAGCTAAAATTTGTAAGTTAAAACCATAAAATTTCTAAAAGAAAATATAGGAGAAAATTTTTGTGACATTGAGTAGTTAGGCAAAAGATTCTTACATAAAATACAAAAAACATGATCTACAGATGAAAAAAAAGTGAGAGACAAATTGGGCTTAGTTAAAATTTAAAACTTAAGTACTCCAAAAGACAATATTGAGAAAATGAGAAGACAAGCCGTAGATTGAGAGAAAATATTTCACAATTTATCACAAATTACATCTGTGATGAAGAACATGTATCCAGAATATGTGAAAAGTTCTTAAACTCAATGTAAGAAGATGAGCAACTCAACTAAAAATGAGCAAAACATGCTCAACTGACTTTTACAAAAGCACAAAAGCAATTCAATGAAGGAAGGAGAGCTTTCCCATCAAATGGTGATGGAACAACTGGACAACCACAGTGGAAAAAAATAACCTGAGCCAAAACTTCATGCTTCATACAAAAATAACTCAAAATGAGTCACAAGCTTTCATGTAAAGCACAGAGTTAAAATGGCAAACATTGAGCCAGGTGTGGTATCACAGGCCTGTACTCTCAGCTACTCAGGAAGCTGAGGTGGGAGGATCCCTTGAGCCCAGGAGTTCAAGGCCAGCCTAGGCAAGAATTTTTTTTCTAAAATAAATAATAAATTTAAATTTTTAAATTACAAGCCTTTTAAGAAAAAGTCATCAGAGCTAAGACTGGACAAAGAGTTCTTAGACATAACACCAAAAGTATGATCCATAAAAGTTAATAAATTGGATCTTATCAACACTAAAAACTGTTGTTCTGTGAGAGACCTATGAAGAGCATAAAAAGACAAGCTACAGAATGAGAGAAGATATTTGCAGGCAACATATTATGTAAAGACTGTATTCAGAATATATGAAGAAATTTTAAAAACAATAAAAATGAAATCCAAATACAAAACAGGCAATGAGCAAGACATGAACAGACATTTCACTGAAGAGGATAAATACTGGGCTAATAAGCAGATGAATAGGTGCTCAACATCATTATCCAGTAGGAAAATACAAATTAAAACCACAGTGATGAGAATGGCTGAAATACAAAATAAAGGTAGCAACAGATGCTGGCAAGGACGCAGAGGAACTGGGACACTCTTATATTGCTGGTAGGGATGTATTTTAAAATGGTACAGCCACTCTGGAAATGAGTATTGCAGTTTTCTTCAAACCGAACATGCAATTTACCTTATGACTAGCAATTGCCCTCCTAGGCACTTATTTCAAACAAGGGAATACTTTATGTTCACGAAAATCCTGTGCACAAATACTCTTGCAGCTTTATTCATGATACCCCCAAACAGGAATTAATACAACTGTCTTTCCGTAGGTGAGTGAGATCTGCTGGTTGAAATCATAACTGAGTCACACAAGTGCCCTTTCTCAAGGCTACCATCCTGCTTCTCTGTGCAGTAAGGGTCTTATGCATATTTCCCATTTTCTCACAAAGAATATTAAAGACGTATACTCAAGGATCAAACTTTAATCCACATAAATTTTTTACTGCTCCATCAAAGACACTCTTAAATGGGACTGCAGTTTGGAGCCACTGCCTGGTTCTGCTGAGGTGCTGGGTGTGCTACCGACCTTGGCATTTGCAGCACTAATGGAAAAGTCAACACAATGAAACAGGCAGATGGCATCTTGGTATTACTGTGAAAACAAGCCTGCCTCCAGGACTCTCTGAAGGCTGCTCAGGGGACACACTTTCAAAATGGCAAAGATCAATTATGGTTCCTAGTGGGACACAACCCCTAGCCTATTCCTATTCAGCACTGTCTTGCTCTCTATTTTCCCTCATTCTTCCAACTTATAACTGTATAAATTTTCAAATGTGCAAAGAAGCTGAAAGAACGGTGCAGTAAAATTCAAGTTACCACTCTGCCGTATTTGGTTAATATCTCTTTATATACATAAAAGGAGAGTGTGAAATGATGGACCATGGAGACCCAGAAGGGTAAGGGGGTTGGCAGTTGGTGTATAATAGAGGGGTTTCTTGATGGGTACAATGTGCTTGTCTCCAGTGCTGGATGCTCTGAAGGCCCTGACTTTACCACAACCAATATAGCAATGTAGCAAAATTGCACTTGTGCCTCATGAATATATATGAATTTAAGAAATAAAAAATAAAATAACATAACATGTCTCTTTATAGATACAGGTAGACATGTTTGTATAGCATGTGTGTGAATGTGTGTGTGTGCCTGTGTGTGTGTCCGCCTGTGTGTGTGTGTCCGTGTAGAGAGGCAGCACAAATTAAGAGATTAAGATTTTGTGACTGAGCTATTCCAAAGTAACTTAAACATAAAACACACATGGATAAATGTGTCTGTGACAACAAACCTGAATACAAACATGAAATAATATGTCTATAAACACATCTCTAGATAGATAGCTTATGAATGAATTCCCTACCCCAGCTCCCTTACTGGTTGCCCTGTGAACACAAGGAGTCAGGGAACAGGACCCAGCTAGGGTCCCTCATCCTTCTCTTGCATCCAGGCAGGTCCTGCATCCACTCTGGCTGCACAGAAGGCTCCCATCCCTGCCTTGGTCTGTTTCACAGGTGCTCCCCTAACTCTCTCTGCCACCACTGCTTTATCTGGATGGAGCTGAGGCTGCCCTGACCAAGAACAGCACCACCCATCTGTGTCCCCAAGACCAGGAAGTTAGGAGGAACCACACAACAAGGTCAGGAACTATCCCACCTCCCCAATCAGTCTGAACTGATGGCGGGAGATGCTGATGCTTGCTTTACTCATCCTCAATCCCAGCTCACTTATTCTTCATTAATTCAATCCAATCTCCCCAGCAGTCACTTCACCCCAGAAGCTGACTGACCTCTACTCTTCGTAATCAGGAAACCACAAAGCACTCTCCGTCCCCTCCCTGATATCACCCTTCAGCTCTACATCATCATATGTGGGCTCTAACTCTGCAGGGAAGATGTTGCCCCACAGGGTCAGCCCCTGAACACTGGCTGCAAATGTCCCCCCATCCCTTCCCAGCCCTTTCGGTGTTGCTGTGAATCTGTCCCTCACTGAGAACTGGTGGGGAGATGTGGGGGAGGAGGGGAGATTTCTTTATGCTGTGTCAAAGCATGGAGACAGACCTCTCCTTCTCTCCTGAACCTCACACTATCCCTTCCCAGACACTTGAAATAAAACGCAGACCAGAAATGTCTATTTAAGAGTTAAATATCTATAGTATAAAATATGAAGACAGAGTAGAATGGGGTAATGCAGGAGAGCATGACAGAGATGACAGGACCTCAAGGTGCCAGGAAAGCTGGTGCTGGGCCAGGACCAAGGAGCCATCAGCAGGACACTCACTCATAAAGCTCACCTATAATAATACAATTACTGCATATGTAATATATCAAAATATAATAAAATAACAAAATAACAAAAATAATATGGCACAGCTGCAAATACCCCATATATACTAACCCTTTTCATTCATCCAACCACAAGAAATAAATGCTCGTAGTTTCCCCATGTCATAGATGAGGAAAATGAGGCACAAAGAGAGAACATGCTGGTGAGGCCTAGGCAAGGAGTTGAATCCAGACCGTCTGGCTGCAGAGTCTAGTTGCCCTCAGTGGAGCCAGCGAACCCAGGAGCTGACACCAGAGACTGAGATCTCAGCTGTGCACTGCCCTGGTGGTCTCCTGTCCCAACCAGGTGTTGACCCAGGCCTTGCAGGCTCACGCGCTCTGGAAAAAAGAGAGAAACCAATAAATGCTCCCCTGGGTGCAGAGTGCTGCTTTTTATTTCCTGAGGAGTTCTCCCTCCTCAGTCACTCCCAAATCAGATTTACCCTTTCTCTGACGGAAGATGACGTCCCCACTTTTTTCTCCCTCCCATGGCACTTTTCCAGCCCCTGCCAGTCCCCTCCCGTGACTCCATCAACATCAGCACCTGCCCTGTGTCCACCATCCATTGTGCAGTGAGTGAAAGGACCCAGGACTAAGGAACAAGACCCAAGAGGAAACTCAGTGCCCTTTCCTCCTCCTCTCAAGCCTGACCAGCCCTGACACAGTGAGAGGCCTCCCCAAAGAGAGGCCCTGGCCCTGTCTCCATGTCCTTCCAGGTCTGGGCCAAGTCACACACAGTCCTTCTCTTCCTGAGACCCCAGGCCCTCTTCACCTGCAGAGGCACCTGCATACCAGGGCAGGCCCTGCACACTGTGGGTTCTGCCCTCCACCAGCAGCTCACTGTTCCTCCCCTCCCAGCTCTGAGCAGACAGCTCCTAACTAGAGATACCATCAGGAAGCCCTGGGGCTCACAGGCCCTGCATGGAAATATGTGGCTGCCATGGAGTCTGCACCTGACCTGATGCTGGGGACCCCCTTGCTCAAGGAGGCCCAGCCTGCCCTCCCCATAACCTGCATTTGGGCTGTGCTTGCTCCTGCCTGTCCACTCAACCCTGGAAATGCAGCTCCACCCCAGGGCTGCTGCTTGGTGAGGCTGCAAGCCCTTCCTGTCCCATTCCTAACAGGGATTCCACCCAGGCCACTGCCATCGCAGCTCACAGGGGATCTTCTTCGCCTGTGGAGTAGGGGGTTTCTTCAGACCCCTCATCCTGAGGCTGCCTCTACGCACCCTCTGCACCTGGGGATTGCCACTGCCACAGGCACTGTCTCCCACATGGACCCTCTGAGAAACGAAGCCCCAAATTTGACTTCCTGTTCTATTCAACATCCTTTACAACATCAGTGTTGGAGGAAATCCTATTAAGATTATCCAGCTGAAATTATGTTGATGTACACCAATACTTAAAGCAGGAATTTTGAGAAACTAACATGTAATTTTCATGCCCTTTTTCTAGCCAATGTCCCAGTGACCTACGAGAAAACCATTCCTGCCTACAGGGAACCAGAACTGACAATCCCTCTATAGGAGACACCGCAGGTGAGAGCAGGAGCAACCACAGACCTGCACTGCCCGCGCTGTGGTTGCCTCCTGGACGGGGCCCTCTTGCTGCAGGGCAGGGGATGAACCGTCCCATCTGCCCAGGCCTGAGTGGCCAACTAACTGTGCAATTAGGTTCAAGGATGAGTCACCACCACCTCACTGGCCAGACACACGGAAGTGGAGAAATGGCAGAAAGACTCGGGTTTCCTGGACACCTCAGACTCTCACTGTCCCCTGCACTGCCTCTGTCTTTGCAGAAACTCAAAACTTTCTGCTTGCTCTTTTCCTCTCCCCTCAAACAACCTGACTGTGGGGGACATGATTCTGACTGTCTCTTATTTTAAACTTACCAGGCAGTGACTACACTAAGAACAAAAAAATTGGCTCAGGAAAGGCAAGGTGAGGCCACAGAGCACAGAACAAAGCCCAAAAAACAGCCCACTGGGTACTATGACCCTCGGGGGCTGGAAAAAGTAACACCTGGACATGGGATGAAAACAGGGACCACAGCTGCCCTGACAGAGGGCTGGTCCCCACTCCCCAAATAGCCCAGGGACATCTGCTTATCAACTGGTCCATATTATCTGCAAGGAAACACAGGGAGACAGGGGCCATATGGTGGGAACCCAGAAAAAGCACGGTCTCGAGGGACCCAGAGGACGTGACACCCCTGAGACAGCTCCCAGATGAGGCATATGGGGAGCTGCAAAGTGGACAGAGGATGGCCATGTGCACTCAGGACTCTCCCTGTTACAAGGGGACCTCAAAGGGGCTGTACACATGGGGGCCCTCATTCTGGGTCTCGTGGGTCTTTTTCTTGATGTCCTCCTGATGGCTGGAGAAACAGGGGAGGGGGATGCAGAAAGGAAGGGACTAGAGGCACCACCTCTCCTTGGATTCCTCTCCAGTTTCTAGCCCTCCCTAGATCACATCTGCCTTTACTATTTGCTCCCTCTGAGATAGCGATCATCCAGGCCCTCAGCAATCAGCACGCAATTCCCAACTCACCCACCTGGATGCAACCTGGTAAGCCTGAGAGACAGAGACCGGGATGGGGACAAAGCAGGCACCACGGCCCTCCCTGCTGCCCACTCCTCACCTGCAGCAGGAGGAGGCTACAGCTGGATGTTCGAGGGCCTTGGCCCAGCCCTGGCTTGGGCAGGACTTAAGGGTGTAAAAAATAACCTACATGTGATGGCTCATTTTCAATTCTATGTGCCTTAGTATAGGTTTAAGCAGGCCACATGGTCATAAAGAGATAAAGAAGGAAAATGTACTAAGCCACCATCCCCCCTACTTCTTGCTTTCCCTTTCATGCACTGGCCAGGCACCTATCGGTTGGGGCCCCCTCAACGACCCCTTCCCCACCTCACCAAAAAATGTAGTTTAGGCTAACTTGCAACATAGATAATTGTACCCTTTCTTATCAACTAAGTGCAGCCATTAGGGACATAAGTCAAATGTTTAAAGAGTCCTGAGACAATCACAATGCATTATGGGCTGCAACAAAATGCAGCAAAAAAAAAAAAAAACCCTAAGGAACATACTAGAAGTCTTAAACTACCAATAGGTGACATCCGGGAAGATCGTAAGTCCTTGGTACTCAGCTAATGAGCAACTGGGGGAGGGAGTTGAGCACTAGGGAATAAATTGTTGAAACTCTCCCTGGTGTGCCTGCATTCCAGACACCCAATATTGCAAAACCGTCACTGACACTCTCACTTTTGCTGTTCTCTGGGTCTCAGAGTCCATTCTTTGGGTTTGGATGGGTGCGTTTGTTTCTCATAATCTAGTTGCCTATATGGGGATCTCTGTGCTTGTGTGAAGTGAGTGAGACTCTGCCTGAAAGGAGAAACACATACCAATTGATTCATGTGGCCCATTCTATCTGGATGTCCTGGCTCCTCGCAGAAGCCATAGACAAACTTGAAACTGTTATTCAGGACACAATGAAAGTGACATGGGGGTACGGGAGGGTGGGGTGGAAAGTGGGCACCACAGCAACCAGGCAACCTCATGTGTCTTGTGGAAGGCACTGAAAGTACTGTGGGGGTCACATCACCATGAGAGAGCTGAAGGATGTGGGGTGGTGTTGGGGCTGTCTATCGTCTCTACGTAATCCAGCAAACTGTCCCTGAGGGAGCCTGATGAGGCCTAAAGAATGAATGAGATTACTCTAGGTATGGCCAAGTAGGAGTTATAATTGCAGCTTTTATGTTGTCTGGATATCACTGGTAGAGCAGATTAATAAATCCTTGGGCCCACAGTGTGCAGCTGCAGACTTGGTGAGTGCATTCCTTTCCACTCCAATTAGAAAGGGGATATGGAATGATTCACATTCATGTGGGATCCACAACACATTTATTTATCATTTGCCTCAGGGCTATTGTAACTCCTCTGCCCGCTATAGTATATAGTCTTAAGACTACACTAGACATACTGGATATCCTATAGGATATTAAATCAGCTCATTTCATTGACAATTTCATGTTTACTGGGGTGGATGAGCAGCAGGTAGAAAGTGCACTGGAGTCCTTGGCAAAACAAGCACACTCCAGAAGGTGAAGGTAAACCTTACAGAGCTTCAAGAGTGGCCACTGAAGTGAAGTTTTATGGGTGAACAAGTGCCAAGTGTTTAGGGGAATGTAGGTGTGTCCCCTCCAAGGTAAAAGACAAACTGTTTCATCTTGCATCCTCACCAGAAGGAAGGAAGCACACTGCCTGATGAGCCTCTTTGAGTTCTGATGACACCACATTCCACATTTAGGTGTGTTGCTTTGGCCCACACTCTAGGTGACATAGGAGGAGGCCACCTTCATGTGGGGCCCACACAGGAAAGGACCCTGCAGCAGATCCAGGCCATGGTACAAGCAGCCAGCATCCCTAAGACCCCTTGGGGCTGGTGGTGCCAGTGGTGGGGAAAGATGCAGGATGGAGCTGAACCAAGCACCAGTGGGAGAGTCACAATGGAGGGCCTGGGATTCTGGAGTAAGATCATGTCATCCACAGCAGAGACATATGCCCCCTGTTAGAAGCAACATTTAGTGTTACTTGTCCTGATTTGATAGAATGCTTGACCAAGAGACACCAAACAACAATGTGGTTCCAAGTGGCTGTGTGACCCACAAAGTCATAAATTGCACAGGCCCAACAGCATTCATCAACAGGTGAAAATGGTCCACCTGGGTTGAGCTTGAATCCCATGTTGACACCCACAGAAAACACCCAAGTGTGATGTGGCACTGAACAACCAAACAGACAAATGGCAGTTAGCCAGCCTTCACCATGGGTCAGCCCAGGCCTGGTAGGATGGGTGCATGAATGGAGCAACCACAGTGGCAGGCATGAGGCTATGTATGGGGCCAGCAGCACTGACTCTCCCAGCCCTACCAAGGTAGATCCAGCTACTGCCACTCCTGAATGTCAACTCGTCAGCATTTGGAGCCCATGATGTGCCCTAGTGGGGCACTATTTCTTTCGGCGACCAGCCACTAAGTAACAAGTGACTACATTTAGCTACTTCCATCCTGGAAGGGCCAGAGGTTCATCTTCACAGAAATAGGCTCATATTCCATGGGTGGGTTTTCCTGTCTTGCTCTGACACTCAGCCAGCACCACTCTCCGGGTGCTGTTGACATTCCTGATCTGCAGGCTAGGCGGTGCTCCTAGCCCATTCTCTGCCTGAAGGACCCATTTGGCCTGGAAAGTTTTAATGTTTCCATGGCTGTGGGTTCCACTAATCCTATCACCATCTGCACCACCCAGGAGCTACCAGCCACAAGGAATGCTGGACAGGTCTTCTATAGGCACAACTCAGTGCCAGCCTGGAGGAAGCACTCTGAGAGTGCCATCTTTCAGAACATGGTATATTGTTTGAATCAGAGATGTCTCTATGGTGCTGTGTTCTCAATGGAAGAACATGTGGGTCCAGAAATCAAAAGGTGGAAGCAGGTATGGCTCCATGTCCAATCTCTTAGATTCACCCACTAAGGTATTTTGCCTTTTTTATCTCCCAACAATGGGCTGTGCGGGTTAGGAGGTCCTGGTTTCCAAAGGAGGGTACCCTTAAAAGTAGACAAAAGAGAGCCCATTGAACTACACATTATTTTAGTCACCAGAGAAGTTTGGAGAGCATGTTCCCAGAGACCACATCGTGAGAAGAGGAGTGTCCTTCTCTCCAGGCCCAGGTAATAGGCCCTCATCCCCAGGAGGAGGCATGGCTACTTTCACACAATGAGGGCAGAAGTGTGTGTGGAAACCAGACATCCACCTGGGAACCTTCTGGGTCCCCTTGCCCCATTGTAAGTGTGAGCAGAATCATCCAGAAATTTAGCTTGAGAGGATTTGATTTCCAAGAACCCAGACCCATCTGGGCAGCAGGTTTGAGTCACACTCCTGGGTAATCTCCCAAGGCCCTGCTCCTGTGCTCTGACATCCTCAGTAGCATTGGTATGGAGGCCCTGCTTCCCATGGGCTGTTCCCAGTCAGTGATGGCTCACACCAGTGACACTAAGGCAGGACATTCCTGGGAGACAGGGGACTCCTCTGATGGCCAATGGTGGCTCCGGGTCTCCTCCATGGCCTTGCTCAACTCTCCTTAGATTGCCTGTGGTCTAGGAAACATCCAGTAAACCTTCTCTCCTTCTGTCCATCACTGGGGGTCACACTTGCATCTCGGCCTGTTGCCTTTCCCAGGGTAACCTGACTCCCTCACAATATCGTCTGACAGGTATGTCCCCTAATAAAATGTTGTAACTTTAATCCCATGATGGCACTTGCTTTTTGGAGGATTTGGACTACAAAATCATTTTCATCTGCACACCAGTGTCCTCTTATTCCAATTTGTAAAATCCTTTTGTTTATTCAACTTCTTCTACTTGCGTTGGCTCCATTTTGCTGGTATTTGTATTATGTTTTTGAGTTCGTCAATGTTTGTTGATTTAATCACTAAATTTGGGGGTAGTTTGTTATGCGGCAATGGATAACTAATGAAGCCCTCTTACATTTCCATTATTCTATACAGGTTACGTACATCTGCTTTATTTCCTTCCATTTTCATAACACTGGCCATACGTAGGGTTTCTAGTTTCTCAACGTGTATTCTTTTCTTTATTTTAGTTTCTTTTCTTTTTTGTTCCTTCCCTTTCTCCTTCCTTCTGTCCCTCCCTCCCTCTCTTTCTTCTCTATTTCCATTCAACCTCTCGCCTTCCCTCCTTTTTACTCTGCTTTCCTTCCCTTTTCTTCCCCTTCCCCTTCCTTCTTTTCTTCTTTCACTCCTTCTTCTCTTCCTCCTTCTTTCCCTCCCTTCCTCCATTTTTTCCTTTTTATTATGAAAATTTCCTAACATATAAAATAACCCTATGTGATTGTGCTATAAGTAAGCATTTTCTGAATCTGTATGTCAAAAGTACAATGCCACGGTATATGAGAAACAAGTAAACAACAGAAAGTTATTGACAGAATCTAAATAAAAATGCCTGCTATAATTCTGCAGCCAAGACAGTGGCTTTCAACTCAATTCCTTCAACTCAGTGTTTTCAGAACACATCATCAACATCAAGTATTACGCACTTATTTCAAAAGTTTAGGCCAGGCGTGGTGGTTCACGCCTGTAATCCCAGCACTTTGGTAGGCTGAGGTGGGTGGACCACCTGAGGTCAGGAGTTCAAGACCAGTCTGGCTAACATGGTAAAACCCCATTGTCGCAATCGGTTACTATGGGATATAATGAAGGGGGATGAACACAGAAATAAAGACAAAGACAAAAAGATCTGTTCTAAAAGAAGGGGTCGGGGGCTTCTTGCTTCTAGTGATTCCTTCTGGCAGCAAACTCAGTTTGTCAGTTTGCCAACATCCTGCTTTCATGAGAACAGTTTGCTGTTTGCTCATATAGCCTCCAGTGGTATACTGAGTTGATCACGACCCTCATTCTTTCGGCCTCCAATACCCCGACTCTACTAAAAATACAAAAATTAGCTGGGCGTGGTGGTGCATGCCTGTAATCCCAACTACTCGGGAGGCTGAGGCAGGAGAATTGCTTGAACTGGGAGGTGGAAGTTGCAATCAGCCAAGATAGCACCACTGCAGTTCAGCCTGGGCAACAGAGCAAGACTTCGTCTCAAAAATAAATAAATAAATAAATAAATAAATAAATAAATAAATAAGTTTAAGTTGGCACAATCACTTTGGAAATCATATTATTATTATCTAGTATGGTTAAAGGCCATACAACATATCATCCAATCATCCCACTCCTAATCATACACTCTGCGGGCTTTCTTGCCTATGTGCCCAGGAGACATGCACACTAATGTTTATGGCAAGAACTGGAATCAGCTACATATATATCAATAGAAAACTAGTGCAATTATGGTATAACCATAAAATGTAAACCTTCAGCAGTAAAAACGAATGAATGACAGCCTCCCACACCACAGATAACTCCTATATGTAATGTGCATCATGGGAAAATAAATGCAGTAGGAATTTGCTGTACTGGAAGCTTAAAAACCATCAAAACTAACTAATATTTGGATTGGGGATATATCTATACTTATTACACAAATCCTTAAAGAAACTCTATAATTTCTTTATAGATATTATGAAAACAGCAAGGTACTGGTACAAAAACAGGCACATAGACCAATGGAACAGAACAGAGAACTCAGAAATAAGACCACACATCTAAATAAAGGAATAATAATCACAAGACTCAGGGTGGAGTCTCCTTTTGGGGGATGTGAATGGGCAGCAGCCCAGGGTAGTTTACAGGTTCTGTGTTTTACAACAGTGCTGGCTAAAGTCCAAACAACATATCATCCATTCCCTTTTAAAATGGAACTTTTAAAATAAATGTGTAATACTTGATGTTGATGATGTGTTCTGAAAACATTGAGTTGAAAGAATTGACTTAAATTCCTAATTCCTTAAATAGATTTTTTCAAAGTAAAATATGCTTGGTTTTTATAAAAATGAAAGAGAAAAGAATACCAAAGTTCATTGCAAGCATCCTTAACAAGAACTACTTACATTGGAACAAAACCACACAGAATTGTAAGGAGCCATGTGACAGAGAGGACCACGAGGCCATGAAAATGGCTTTGGCTACAAATAGGTCATTTGATCCTTGGCTCACTGGCATCTCTGTAGATTTTCATGTATACAATCTTCAATCTGATGTGCAAGGTAATTCCATCTTGCAAAGGATTTGATGTTACATTCTACCACACATACCACTGAATTAAACTTTTACAGAATTGGAAATGCACATCATTGATCAAAATAAATGAAACAAGAAAAGAGTAGAAAGGAATAACCAGTGATGGAATAGCAATATGAATAGAAAACACAATAGGACTGCGAAAACAAAGAAACAAACAAAACCACTTCAGAAGCACCTGATGGCATGCTATTTAGAATCATAGTGGTGTCCAAATCACTTCTATCACATATCATTCAATATCACAACAAAAGATGTTAAGTGTATTATAGAATGCCGATCGAATAGCCAGTTATCGAAAAAACTAGTTTCTCAATTCGAGCTAACAATTTCGTGATACTGCATCAAACCGAAGTTATTGGCATGCTAGATGTGTTGACTGAAGTATGAGATTCACATCTTTGTAAATGAAAAGCAATCTGATTAAGCAATATTTTTCTAAGTGAAAGCAAGTTAATTAGAGAAAGAAACAAAGGATGGCTACTCCAGAGACAGAGCAGTACTTCTTTTTTTAAGTGTAGGCAAATGTTTTTTGGAAGACGATATTTCAATAAGAAAACTGGCACTAGGGGCATACTTCCCCTAAATTTGAGACATTTTAGACAAAACAAAGACTTATTTTCAAGGCATTATTTTTATAGCACTAAAGTCTTGGAACTATTTGATCTAGTTATTCTATGTTCTCAACTGTGTTAACTCATTGAAGAGAACATTGCTGTTATTAAAGATATTGGCAAGAAAAACTCAGAGATACTGTTGTATCTCCTTTCTCTGCCTCAAACTGTTTTCCCCTCAACACCTAAGGCTCTGTGATGTCTCAAACTTTTAGTCATTAATTTAAAAAGTGAAGCTTATCATAGAATTAGAAAAAAACTATTTTAAAATTCATATGGATCCAAAAAAGAGCTCCTATAGCCAGAAGAATCCTAAGCAAAAAGAACAAAGCTGGAGGCATGAGGCTACCTGACTTAAAACTATACTACAAGGCTACAGTAACTGAAACAGCAAGGTACTGGTACAAAAACAGGCACATAGACCAATGGAACAGAATAGAGAACTCAGAAATAAGACCACACATCTAAAACCCTGTGATCTTCAATGAGCCTGACAAAAATAAGCAATGGGCAAAGGATTCCCTATTTAACAAATGGTGCTGGGAGAACTGGCTAGCAATCTGCAGAAAATTGAAACTGGACTCCTTCCTTACACCTTGCCCAAAAATTAACTTAAGATGGATTAAAGACTTAAATGTAAATCCCAAAACTATAAAAACCCTGGAAGAAAATCTAGGCAATACCAATCAGGACATAGGGATGGGCAAAGATTTTATGATGAAAATGCCAAAAGCAACTGCCACAAAAGCAAAAATTGACAAATGGGATCTAATTAAACAAAAGAGCTTCTGTAGAGTGAAAGAAACTATTATCAGAGTGAACAGACATTTCTCCCAGAATGGGAGAAAATTTTTGCAGTCTGTCCACCTGACAAAGGTCTCATATTCAGAAGCTACAAAGAACTTAAGCAAATTTACACCAAAAAAAAAGCTTCATTAAAAAGTGGACAAAGGACCTAAACAGACACTTCTCAAAAGAAGACATACATGTGGCCAATAAACATAAGAAAAAAAGCTAAACATCACTGATCATTAGAAAAATGCAAATCAATACTACAATGAGATACCATCTCATGCCAGTCAGAATGGCAATTATTAAAAGTCAAGAAACAACAGATGCTGGCAAGGTTGCAGAGAAATAGGAAGGCTTTTACACTGTTGGTGGAAATGTAAATTGGTTCAACCATTGTGGAAGACAGTGTGGCAATTCCTCAAAGATTTAGAACCAGAAATACCATTTGACCCAGCAATCCCATTAAAGGTTATATACCCAAAGGAATATAAATCATTCTATTATAAAGGTATATGCATGTGTATGTTCATTGCAGCACTATTCACAATAGCAAAGACATGGAATCAACCCAAATGCCCACCAGTGAGGAACTGGATAAAGAAAATATGGTACATATACACCACGGAATATTATGCAACCATAAAAAGGAATGAGATCAAGTCCTTTGCAGAGATACGAATGAAGCTGGAAGCCATTATCCTCAGCAAACTCACACAGGAACAGAAAACCAAACACCGCATGTTCTCACTTATAATTGGGAACTGAGCAATGAGAATACATGGAACCAGGGAGAGGAAAAACACACAATGGGGCCTGTTCGGGGAGGGCAGTGATGGGGGGATCATTAGGAAAAATAGCTAATGAATGCCAGGGTTAACACCTAGGTGATGGGTTGATAGGTACAGCCAACCACCATGGCACATGATTACCTATGTAACAAACCTGCACATCCTGCACATGTACCCTGGAACTTAAAATTAAATTAAATTAAATTAAATTAAAAGATAAGCTTAAAGCATTAAAGAAAAATAATTAGATAAAAGAAGTCTTTGATTTACAAAATCCTGAAACAATAGTTTTAATTTTGCTTTTAACATATACGTAAGTCCTTTAGTACAGCTCTCTTTCAGAGGTGCAGCTTAATTCCCTCTCTTAAGTGTGGCTTGGACTTAATGATGCACTTCTGATATGGCCTATCTCTGTGTTCCCACCCAAATCTCATTTTGAATTGTCATGCGAATTCTGATCCCCACATATTGGCGGCGGGACTTCATGGGAGGTGATCGAATCATGGGGATGATTCCCCCAAGCTGTGGAAGTCAGCGGTTGAACCTATTTTTCCTAATGCTCCCCTCAGCACTGCCCTCCCATAATAGGCTCCAGTGTGTGATGTTCCTCTCCCTGTGTCCATGTGTTCTCATTGCTCAGCTCCCAGTTATAAGTGAGAACATGTGGTGTTTGGTTTCCTGTTCCTGTGTTAGCTTGCTGAGGATAATGGCTTCCAGCTTCATCCATATCCCTGCAAAGGACTTGATCTCATTCCTTTTTATGGCTGCATAATATCCATGGTGTATATGTACCATATAAGGGGATTTTCCCCACTTCACTCTGCATTTTTCTCTCCTGCCACCATGTGAAGAATGACACGTTTGCTTCCCCTTCTGCCATGATTGTAAGTTTCCTGGGGCAGCCTCCTCAGCCATGCACAATTGCGAGTCAACTAAACCTCTTGCCTTTATAAATTACCCAGTCTCAGGTATTTCTTTATAGCAGTGTGAGAACAGACTAATACAACTTCTAACTGATAGAGTAATGCTGACATAACAGTTTGTGACTCTGGGTGTAGAATGTGAAACTCACTATGGCTTCCACCTTCTCTCTCTCTGTCTCTGGGATCATGAGCTCTTGGGGACCCAGCTGCTGTGCCATAAGCAGCCCTGCAGGAAGGTCCATGTGGCTAAGAACTGAGGTCCCCTGGGACCAGACAGCAAGGAACTAGGCTTTTCCAACAGCCATGTGACTAAGCCATGTTTCATGTGAATCCTCAGCCCCAGTGAAGCCCTCAGACGATGCAGCCCTAGGCTGACAACTGGACTGCAACCTTGTGAGAGGCCCTGAGCCAGAAGCACTCAGGAAAACCGCTCCTGGATTCCTGACCATTAGAAACTGTGGGAGATGATGAATATTTGCTGTTTTGAGCTGCTAAGTTTTACATAATTTGTTACACAATAGTAAATAACTAATACATTTTCACAAGAGAGGATGTATTATTACACGTTAATTTGCATTTGCTCTAAATTTATCATCATCATATTACTATTTTTGAGACAGGGTCTTGCTCTGTCACCCAGGCTGGAGTGCAGTGGCATGATCACCATGCACTGCAGTGTCGACCTCCTGGGCTCAAGGGATCCTCTGATCTCAGCCTCTTGAGTAGCTGGGACTATAGGCATGAATTAACATGCCTGGCTAATTTTCTAATTTTTTTGTAGAGATGGGGGTTTCACCATGTTGCCCAGGCTGATCTTGAACTTCTGGAGTCAAATCTGCCTTCCTCTGCCTTCAACAGTGCTAGGATTGCAGGCGTGAGCCACCACACCTGGTCTAAATTAACTATAAGATATTAAACATGTAACTTAGTTTTAAAAGGAAAGGAGAAGTTCCACGGCTGAAGAGGATGTATTTTATTACTATTCATAATGATCACTTTACTTGAACTTCAGTTTCCAACTGTGTCCAAATTAAACACAAAAGGAAGATCCAGCCCTTCCTGGGCTGATTCTATCATGGCTCCCAACAACCAGCTCCTGGTCATTCACCTTCCCCCAGTTATTCAACCAACTCTAATGTAGGTGCTGCTGTGAAGGGATTTAGCAGATATAATTAAGGGCCTCAATTAGTTGACTTTAGGCTGAGTTTATCCTGCTTGGACTGTCCTAATAAGGAGAGTCCTTGAAAGGACTGGGTTCTTCCTGAGCATAGAGATTCACAGTGTGAGAGGGATTCAGCATGAGGGGTTTCCTCCACTGTGGGCTTTGAAAATGAAGGGGCTGTGTAGGAAAGAACGCTGGTGGGCACCATGCATTAAGTGCAGCCCTCCCTGTTCTCTACAGTGACAGCCAGTGAGGAACAGGGACCTCAGTCTTACAACTGCCAGAAACTGCATTCTGCCACCTCTGTATAAGCCTGAAGGAGGATTCAAAATGAAAACACAGGTTTAGGAAGACCGGAACAGAGATTCCATCCACATCATGCCCAGATTTCTGATTAAGAAACTATAAACAACAAATGGGTGTTATTTGGCCAGGCGTGGTAGTGCACACCTGTATCCTAACATTTGAGGAGCTGACACAGGAGGAACACTTGCAGCCAGGACTTTGAGACCAGCTAGGATAATATAGTGAGACACTCGTCTCTACATTTCTCTTTAATTAGCTGGGCATGGTGGCACTTGCCTGCAGTCCTAGCTACTCTGAAGACTGAGGTAGGAGGGTCCCTTGAGCCCAGGAATTTGAGGCTGCAGTGAGCCATGATCATGTGACTGCACTTCATCCTGGATGACAGAGGGAGACTCTGTATCTAAAAATAAATCAATGAATACAATAAATGGGTGCTGTTTAAAGCCAATGTTTGTGACAATTTGTTACCCAGTCTTATAAAATTCATACACAGACTCAAAAGACTCCTGGAATGAACTGATGAATTGATACGCACACTAGTTACATAAAATAAAATCTTTTTTAACTTTTTCAGTGTTTTACATTTTATAATTTTCTGTGATGCAATTTAATACACTCATAATTCATTCATTCAGCCAAGAAAAAATAATTTAGTCCCTACAATGAACCAGGTATGCCCTCATATGCTCAAGTGCCTGACATTCTAGAAGCTTCACAAGAATGAGGTGGAGCCACTGGAGTGTTTTAGGTGGAGAAATGACACACTCTGACTCATAGTAGCAGGACCACTATAGAGAGAACACTCATGTAGCAGGTCATGGAACAGTGCTAGAGCCACAATTCAGGAGTGAGAGGGTGGTGGGGATTAAGGGGAGAAGAGGGCCTGAGGGATGAGAGGGACGGAGGGAAGGGCTGGAGGAGCAGGAGGTGAGGAAAAGGAGCAGAGGAAAGAATTCCAAAGCAGCGGAACTCTTAGGTTTAAACACATTGTTTTATAGATTTTATTACATCCATCTACAGAGCCTCGCTGGGTGTTCTTTGCAGTTGGCCTTTAATATCTTATGTGGGTCTGCCTAGAAACTAATTGTTTTTTATGTTAATCAGGTTTAAAAAATACTAAGTATTCCTAAAAAATATACACTCCACTCACATGTGGATACTTCCTAAAAACAGGCAGTGCATGAGCACTAGTGAGGGGCATTGTGACTGCACTGAACACTTACAACTGTGAGGTGAATAAAGTTTGTGCTGGCTCCTGGTTGCAACATATAGTAACATAGTGTGGTACTTTGTCTTGAGGAGATGTCCTGGACTCACACGGAAACTTAGGGCTACGGAATGAAGGTAAATTTAAAATAAAACAAGCGGGAGTCACAGATACATTGTCTGGGAAAGTGAAACTTAAGAGCTTTGTGAGTCCTGTTGTAAGGCTTTTAGATGCATTTATATACCAACGGGCCAAAGTCACATTTTTTACCTATTAGATTCCTGATCATTCAGGGGTTACCAAGATTATGCTACCCACTATAGTTAATAAACAAAAAGCAAACTGGTCTCTATTCTATCTCATGCACTCAGGCACAACTTTTCCAGATTTAAGGGGGAAAAAAAACCCTGTCTTTACACCTACAATCCCAGGGCGAGCTCACTCTCTGGCACCAAGCTCCGTGGGGTGATTTTTCTTCTAGAAGAGTACAGGAGGACAGGCAAGGAGTGGGAGGCAGGGAGTCCAGTTCAGGGACAGGGATTCCGGGATGAAAAGTGAAGGGAGAGGGACAGGGACCTTGCCGAGGGTTTCTCCCTGGTTTCTCAGACAGCTCCTGGGCCAAGACTCAGGGAGACACTGAGACAGAACGCTTGGCACAAGAGTAGCGGGGTCAGGGCGAAGTCCCAGGGCCTCAAGCGTGGCTCTCAGGGTCTCAGGCCCCACAGGCGGTGTATGGATTGGGGAGGCCCCGCGTTGGGGATTCTCTCCTCCTTCTCCTAACCTGTGTCGGGTCCTTCTTCCTGGATACTCACCGGGCGGCCCCAGTTCTCACTCCCATTAGGTGACAGGTTTTTAGAGAAGCCAATCAGCGTCGCCGCGGTCCTGGTTCTAAAGTCCTCGCTCACCCACCCGGACTCATTCTCCCCAGACGCCAAGGATGGTGGTCATGGCACCCCGAACCCTCTTCCTGCTACTCTCGGGGGCCCTGACCCTGACCGAGACCTGGGCGGGTGAGTGCGGGGTCAGGAGGGAAACGGCCCCTGCGCGGAGGAGGGAGGGGCCGGCCCGGCGGGGGCGCAGGACCCGGCAGCCGCGCCGGGAGGAGGGTCGGGCGGGTCTCAACCTCTCCTCGCCCCCAGGCTCCCACTCCATGAGGTATTTCAGCGCCGCCGTGTCCCGGCCCGGCCGCGGGGAGCCCCGCTTCATCGCCATGGGCTACGTGGACGACACGCAGTTCGTGCGGTTCGACAGCGACTCGGCGTGTCCGAGGATGGAGCCGCGGGCGCCGTGGGTGGAGCAGGAGGGGCCAGAGTATTGGGAAGAGGAGACACGGAACACCAAGGCCCACGCACAGACTGACAGAATGAACCTGCAGACCCTGCGCGGCTACTACAACCAGAGCGAGGCCAGTGAGTAACCCCGGCCCAGGGCGCAGATCACGACCCCCCACCTCCATGCCCCACGGACGCCCCGGGTACTCCCGAGTCTCCGGGTCTGGGATCCACCCCGAGGCCGCGGGACCCGCCCAGACCCTCTACCTGGGAGAACCCCAGGCGCCTTTACCAAAATCCCTGCGGGTGGGTCCGGGCGAGGGCGAGGCTCGGTGGGCGGGGCTGACCGAAGGGGTGGGGCCAGGTTCTCATACCCTCCAGTGGATGATTGGCTGCGACCTGGGGTCCGACGGACGCCTCCTCCGCGGGTATGAACAGTATGCCTACGATGGCAAGGATTACCTCGCCCTGAACGAGGACCTGCGCTCCTGGACCGCAGCGGACACTGCGGCTCAGATCTCCAAGCGCAAGTGTGAGGCGGCCAATGTGGCTGAACAAAGGAGAGCCTACCTGGAGGGCACGTGCGTGGAGTGGCTCCACAGATACCTGGAGAACGGGAAGGAGATGCTGCAGCGCGCGGGTACCAGGGGCAGTGGGGCGCCTCCCTGATCTCCTGTAGACCTCCCAGCCTGGCCTAGCACAAGGAGAGGAGGAAAATGGGACCAACACCAGAATATCGCCCTCCCTCTGGTCCTGAGGGAGAGGAATCCTCCTGGGTTTCCAGATCCTGTACCAGAGAGTGATTCTGAGGGCCCGTCCTGCTCTCTGGGACAATTAAGGGATGAAGTCTCTGAGGGAGTGGAGGGGAAGACAATCCCTGGAGGACTGATCAGGGGTTCCCTTTGACCCCACAGCAGCCTTGGCACCAGGACTTTTCCCCTCAGGCCTTGTTCTCTGCCTCACACTCAATGTGTGTGGGAGTCTGACTCCAGCTCCTCTGAGTCCCTTGGCCTCCACTCAGGTCAGAACCAGAGGTCCCTGCTCCCCCGCTCAGAGACTAGAACTTTCCAAGGAATAGGAGATTATCCCAGGTGCCCGTGTCCAGGCTGGTGTCTGGGTTCTGTGCTCCCTTCCCCACCCCAGGTATCTGGTTCATTCTTAGGATGGTCACATCCAGGTGCTGCTGGAGTGTCCCATGAGAGATGCAAAGTGCTTGAGTTTTCTGACTCTTCCTTTCAGACCCCCCCAAGACACACGTGACCCACCACCCTGTCTTTGACTATGAGGCCACCCTGAGGTGCTGGGCCCTGGGCTTCTACCCTGCGGAGATCATACTGACCTGGCAGCGGGATGGGGAGGACCAGACCCAGGACGTGGAGCTCGTGGAGACCAGGCCTGCAGGGGATGGAACCTTCCAGAAGTGGGCAGCTGTGGTGGTGCCTTCTGGAGAGGAGCAGAGATACACGTGCCATGTGCAGCATGAGGGGCTGCCGGAGCCCCTCATGCTGAGATGGAGTAAGGAGGGAGATGGAGGCATCATGTCTGTTAGGGAAAGCAGGAGCCTCTCTGAAGACCTTTAACAGGGTCGGTGGTGAGGCCTGGGGGTCAGAGACCCTCACCTTCACCTCCTTTCCCAGAGCAGTCTTCCCTGCCCACCATCCCCATCATGGGTATCGTTGCTGGTCTGGTTGTCCTTGCAGCTGTAGTCACTGGAGCTGCGGTCGCTGCTGTGCTGTGGAGGAAGAAGAGCTCAGGTAAGGAAGGGGTGACAAGTGGGGTCTGAGTTTTCTTGTCCCACTGGGGGTTTCAAGCCCCAGGTAGAAGTGCGCCCTGCCTGGTTACTGGGAAGCACCATCCACACTCATGGGCCTACCCAGCCTGGGCCCTGTGTGCCAGCACCTTCTCTTTTGTAAAGCACCTGTGACAATGAAGGACAGATTTATCACCTTGATGATTGTAGTGATGGGGACCTGATCCTAGTAATCACAGGTCAGGGGAAGGTCCCTGGCTAAGGACAGACCTTAGGAGGGCAGTTGGTCGAGGACCCACATCTGCTTTCCTTGTTTTTCCTGATCCCGCCCTGAGTCTGCAGTCACACATTTCTGGAAACTTCTCGAGGGTCCAAGACTAGGAGGTTCCTCTAGGACCTCATGGCCCTGCCACCTTTCTGGCCTCTCACAGGACGTTTTCTTCCCACAGATTGAAAAGGAGGGAGCTACTCTCAGGCTGCAAGTAAGTATGAAGGAGGCTGATCCCTGAGATCCTTGGGATCTTGTGTTTGGGAGCCCATGGGGGAGCTCACCCACCCCACAATTCCTCCTCTGGCCACATCTCCTGTGGTCTCTGACCAGGTGCTGTTTTTGTTCTACTCTAGGCAGTGACAGTGCCCAGGGCTCTAATGTGTCTCTCACGGCTTGTAAATGTGACACCCCGGGGGGCCTGATGTGTGTGGGTTGTTGAGGGAAACAGTGGACATAGCTGTGCTATGAGGTTTCTTTGACTTGAATGTATTGAGCATGTGATGGGCTGTTTAAAGTGTCACCCCTCACTGTGACTGATATGAATTTGTTCATGAATATTTTTCTGTAGTGTGAAACAGCTGCCCTGTGTGGGACTGAGTGGCAAGATTTGTTCATGCCTTCCCTTTGTGACTTCAAGAACCCTGACTTCTCTTTCTGCAGAGACCAGCCCACCCCTGTGCCCACCATGACCCTCTTCCTCATGCTGAACTGCATTCCTTCCCCAATCACCTTTCCTGTTCCAGAAAAGGGGCTGGGATGTCTCCGTCTCTGTCTCAAATTTGTGGTGCACTGAGCTATAACTTACTTCTGTATTAAAATTAGAATCTGAGTATAAATTTAGTTTTTCAAATTATTTCCAAGAGAGATTGATGGGTTAATTAAAGGAGAAGATTCCTGAAATTTGAGAGACAAAATAAATGGAAGACATGAGAACTTTCCACAGTACACGTGTTTCTTGTGCTGATTTGTTGCAGGAGAGGAGAGTAGATGGGGCTGCGCCCAGTGGGTGCTCAGGCCACCATGAACTTTATGTGGTCACTGCTCAGCTGGGTCATCTTTGCTGCTCCATTGTCCTTGGCCCTTCAGTAGAACCTTGTCCCACCAGGACCTGTGATCACATAGACTTGGATATCACCTAGGGTGGTCCCTACACTTAGAAGTTCCTGTGTTATCAGAAGAAAAATTTTCAGACCCCTACACCTCTTCCCCTCCTTCCAGGTCTCTTTCAATTGTATTTTCCATCTTTTTTTTTTTTTTTTTTTTTTTTTTTTTTTTGAGATGGAGTCTCACTCAGGCTGGAGTGCAGTGGTGCAATCTCGACTCATTGCAACCTCCACCTCCCGGGTTCAAGCAATCCTCCTGTCTTAGCCTCCCTAGTAACTGGGAGTACAGGCACATGCCACGATACCCAGCTAATTTTTTGTATTTTTAGTAAAGACGGGATTTCACCATGTTAGCCAGGATGGTCTTGATCTCCTGACCTTGTGATCTGCCCGCCTCTGCCTCCCAAAGTGCTGGGATTACAGGTGTAAGCCACCATGCCTGGCTTCCCCAACCTTCTTAAAGGAAGCAGATTCTGAAACTTCCCGAGAGGAGAGGTCCCAGAGTTTTTCATTGTAGTTTACTTTCTGTTGGAACTCCTCTTCTGCTCTCTCTCCTACTCTTCTTCCTGCCCTGAGTTGTAGTAATCCTATTGCTGGCTCCAAACCAAACTCATGGATTTGTAAAGCAGAGTCTAATTTAGATTCATATGTGGTTGGATAATTGGAGCCATAAGCCTTGGGTTATCTTTCCTCAAGAGACAAATATGGTTGTGTGCTGCAGTGTGCAGGAGGATTGGTGTGGGAGGAGGGAGGGAGGGAGGACACAAAAGCAGCCCTGGTGAGAAAAGCACTGGTGCATTTATATCCACATGAGATAATATTGTTCCACAGCGGCTACAAAATGACATTTGGCCTGAGTCTACATTAATAAAGATATTGCCTTTAGAATAGGGGGGCGCACTACAGTAATCATCCATTCAAGTGGCATTTGTTGTCTGCTAGGTATTTGACTGTTTTTGCATTTAGAAAACATCGTTAAAGTAAAAACAGAAAAATTTCTGGCCTTGTCGTGTATACATTCTAGATGCAAGCTTGTCCAACCTGCAGCTCTCGGGATGCATGTGGCCCAGGACAGCTTTAGAATGTGACGATTTTTTTGCTTATCTGTAGTGGCAGATATCATGAAAATTATCCATGCATTTTTTTTCTTTTTTCTATTTTTTTCTGCTCATCAGCTGTCATTAGTGTATTTTTTGTGTGGCTCAAGACAATTCTTCTTCCTATGTGACCCAGGGAAGCCAAAAGATTGGACACCTCTGCAGGCAGATGATATAGTATAAGCAGAGTAGGAACAGAAAATGCTTGAGTTAGAAGGTGGCAAGTGCTGTGTGGCAGGTGATCCAGAGGGTGGGCTGTGGGTACAGGGAGGTGGCTGTTGTGCTGGGTGGTCAGCATGGGCCTTGTTGCAAATGTGACCTTGGAGTAAAGATTTGAGGGATGTGAGGAGTTGTCTACACGGATGTCTCAGAAAGTTCTTTTCAGGCAGGGAAACCTTCAGTGCAGATGCACTAGGGCAGGAAATTGTCTGTGTTCCTGGAAGGAGGAAGAGGCCAGAAGTGTTGAACAGAGAGAAACTGAAATGAAGTCAGAGGTGTGCCCAGAGCAGGTTGCCCTGGAGGGTGTGGGAAGGATGTTGACCTTTGCTCTGAATGACATGGGGAGTTAGAGGACAGTTTTGGAAAGTGGGACATGGTAGGACTTATCCTTTGAAAGCTTCTCTCTGGCTGCTGTGCTGAGAACAGAATTGAGAGGTGGGGGACTAGTGAGGCAGTGGGAAAAACGGTGGGAAAGGAGTGCAGTATTCCAGGATGGAGACGTCGCTTACCTTGACTGGGGTGTGAGCAGGGGAAATAGTGGGAAGTGATGGGATTCTGGATGAATTCACAGCACTTGCTAATGGATTTATCTGTGGTGTGAGAAAGAAGAATCAAGGACACCCACAGTATTGGACTGAGTGAGCAGAAGGGTGGAGCTGCTGTCAGTGGAGATGGGGAGACTCTGGCAGGAGCATACAGAGGAGAGGGCATTGCAGGCATCCAGTGGAGGTGACATCTACGAGGAATGAAGGTGAGGGGCCCAGATGCCTCTGCAGCTACAGATTCATCATCCAATCACTATCCTACTTCCACCACCCCTGTGTCTCAGAGCCAGAGCATTGATTCTCCCCTGTGCTGTCTGCACAGGTAGGTGAAAGTCAGGGAAGTTATGGTCTGCTGTTGGTTATAATAAGTCACAGATTATTGTGCTTTCTCAGATAATTAAAGAAATAACAAGAGAATTTGTAACTAGAACACTTACTGAGAAGACCACAATAATGCAAAGTTTTTTATTCATCTAAAGAAGGCAACAGAAGAAAAATAGTTGAGCAAGAAAGATAATATTAGAAGGCAGTAAATGAAAATGGACAGACTTAAACCCAATGAGGTCAACAATGACATTAAACGTAATGGACTCAGACACTCCAATTACAAGACAAATAGTGCAGAGGGATAAAAATAAATAAGTAAATAAATAAATAACCGTAGGCTATTTACAAAAGCCATAATTTCAGTAGAAGGTACAGAAAAGTTGAAAGTAAAAAGATAGAAAAGAAATACCAGACAAACATTCATGAAAGACCACATGGAGATGCCATTTAGAAAAATTACAGCACATGAGTCTCCTGAGACATAGAGTACATGTAGACAGCTCACAGTGTCTTTTTCCTTTTTTTCAGAGACAGGGTCTGTTGCCCAGGTTGAAATGCAATGGTGATATCAGACCTTACTGTAACCTCAAACTCCTGGGCTGAAGCAATTCTCCTGCCTCAGCCTTCTGAGTAGCTAGGACGAGAAGCCTGTGCCGCCACACCTGGCTATAATGTCTCATTTTCTCATTTGCTGTGGTGTGAACAAGGAAACAATATCATACCATGTATTTGACTTGCAGCAGGTACACAACAAATGTCAGGTGAATGAAGAAATAAAACCACTTAGTAATCCAAGCCATATCCACATTTACATTTTACAGGTGAGGAGCAACATCCCAGACAAGTAAAGTAAAATAAATTGATTTACATCATCCAGAGCAGAATCGAGAACACATTCCCTGTGCTAAAGGAATCAGAACTCTACTAGGGGTCATAGCAGATATCATGCAAGTCACATATGTTAATTACTAGAACTGGAGTTGATACATTTTGAGATATACTAAACCAAGGGTTTGGAAGGATTAACTGAATGCAGAAATAAAGGAAGAAAATAGATTTGTTTAAAAGATGGTTAGAATCTTTAAAGAAACAACATCTTTTTAAAGTGGCCTTATGTGGACCAAAGCAGAGATGAGCTCAAATGTCAGGTGGGAAAATGCTTGACTAAATGCAGCTCTAGACCCAAGGGAGACCTAAAAATCCTGGGACATTTTCGGTTGTCACGTGGGGATTGGTGGGAGGGGGTGAGTGGGGTGCTGCTGGCAAACCTCCCACAATGCACAGGACAGACCACAAGGGATTCTCTGTCTCAAATTCTTAATAGGGCTGCTGTTGAGAAACCCGCCCGAGAGGTAAGTGCTGTAATGTCCTCACCATTTCACAGATTAAGAAACTGAGGCACCAGGAAGAAAAGTGTCAGTAGGACCAGAGCTGAAGGTTGAATCCAGGCCACCTGGCTGCAGGGTCTTGGCTTCCCTGGTTAAGTCAGGGACCCAGGAGCCCACCACAAACAATCCCAGCTGCGCGGTGCCTTCATGGTCTGTGGCGCCCCCTGGTGTTGACACTGGGCCTGTGGCCAAATGAGGCTTGAGGGAAAAGGAAAACGGGTTTAGGTAGCGGGATCTCCTTCAGGCTCTCCAGATTTCAAGCCATGACTTACACTCAGAAAAAATAATGTTCACCTTAATTATCTCCCCAACCCTGTTTTTCCCAGTTCCGGCCAGTACCCTCCCTCGACTCCATCAACATCAGTACCTGCCAGATGCCCAGCACCCACCATGTGAGGAGTGAAAATGCCCCAGGACTAAAGGACAAGATGACGTTCCACCCCAGCCATCCCGCCCCTCCTAGAGCTCTAGCTCTGTGCATTTAGTGCTTAGGCTTTTAACCTGGGGTCCGCGAACCCACTTTCCCATGACACTGCGTGCAGAAGTGATGTTACATGCACACATGACTTCATTACAGGACATTGGATATTAATATTCATCCGATCAACTGGGGGCCCAAGATACCACTCTTCCCCCAACAGTTTGTGATCCTCTGAATTAAAGAAAGGGCAGAGATTGAGGGAGGCCCTAACTCCAAATCTTCTACCACTTCTAGGGAAGTGCTGAAAAGAAGTGCAAGGTACTCAATCCGCTCTGGGAATACAGCAGGAAAGCAGAGTGTTCATGGATTTCGAATTCCATCAAAGAAATACAACTTTGGCAAAATATCCAAGTCACTTTTCTAAGCCCCAGGCAGCAGCTCAAAACAAACAACACCAAAAACAAAACAAAATCTCGGCCCAGGTGAAATCATTGAAGACATAAAACTTTGTGAGACCTGTATTTAGAGCGAAGGACAATTCAATTTAGGGCTGCAGCAGAAAACCCCTACATCATATTGGGTTTTTCCTCATCATGAAGTTCTCCTGGAGGGACCTTCTCCCTTCAGCAGTGCATAGTGAGGCCATTTCTGTGTAAAAAGATAGAATCTCCTTGGATTCCTGATGTTTACATTTACTACTCACTTCTTTGACTTTGTAGATGCCAACTTCACATTCAACATCTTTCAATTATTTTCTTTACTTTGTCTAAGCAGAGAATTTAAACTTGTTTCTGAAGCAGAAAACCAGGGACTGGTTATTTGAGCTATCACCCCACTCTGTGGCTCTCTTATGCAATAAGCATAAGAGATTGTGGGCCAACAGAATTTGTAGCAAGATAAACATAAACCCTTCATTTCAGCCTATGTTTCTGTTTGTCTGGTGATGTTCCAGTCTTGCTCCAGTCTTAACATTTTAAAAAGTATAATTTTACTTAAATTTCATTTTATAGGAAGTCATATATATTCATTTCTGTTAGGTTTCTCAGTGAAAGCCTCCTCAAAACAACTGTGAAGTAAAGACATGTAAATAAATTCATGGTGCTCCCATGTATTCGTGCTCATTGCATCTTACAAATGTGTCAGCCCCACTGCAACAGATGGTGCATCAACAAATGGTGCTGGAAACCTGGATATCCACATGCAAAAGAATGATGCTGGACAAAATTTATGCCCTTCCATTACACCCTTTTCAAAAATTAAGTCAGAATGCCTTAAAGAACTAATCTTAAGAGTTAAACCTGTAAAACTCTTAAAAGAAAATACTGAGGGAAAGTCTTATGGTCATTAGAATTGGTAGTGGTTTCTTGGCTGGTGACCAAAAGTACAAGCAATAAAAGGAAAATGACAAATAAGACTTCATCAAAATGTAAAAACTTTTTTGCATCAAAGGACGCTATTAAGAGGTGAAAAGAGGCTAGGCGCAGTGGCTCACGCCTGTAATCCCAGCACTTTGGGAGGCCAAAGTGGGTGGATCACCTGAGGTCAGGAGTTCGAAATCAGCCTGGCCAACATGGCAAAACCCTGTCTCTACTAAAAATACAAAAATTAGCCGGGCGCAGTGGTGGGCACCTGTAATCCCAGCTACTCGGGAGGCTGAGGCAGGAGAATCGCTTGAACCTGGGAGGCAGAGGTTGCAATGAGCTGAGATTGCACCATTGCACTCCAGCTGGGGCATCAGAGAGAGACTCCGTCTCAAAAAAAAAAAAAAAAAAAAAAAAAAAAAAAAAGTGAAAATAAAAGAAACTGCATAGAATAAGATAAAATATTTGCCAATCACATATCTGATAAAGAATTAATATCCAGACTACATACAGAACTACAACTTAACAATAGCAAAACAATCTCATTCAAAAATGGGTAAAAGACATGAATAGACAATTCTCCAGAGAAGATACACAGTAAGGACATAAAAATAAGGAATTCCAATAAGGACATGAAAATATGCTCAGCTTCACTAGTCCAGGTGTTGGTGAGGATGTGGAGAAAATGGAATGCTTGTGCACTGCTGCTGAGAGTGAACAACAGTGCAGCCATCATGGAAACAGGATGACGCTTTCTCAAGAAGGTAAACATAGAATTTCCATATGAAGCAACAATTCCACTTTTGGGTGTATACCCCCCAAAAATTGAAAGCAGGTATGCACACAGATAATTGTACAGTCATGCTCATAGCAGTGCTATTCCCAATAGCCAAAAGGTGGACGCAACCCAAGTGTCCATCAGAGGATGATTGGAAAAACAAAATGTGGTGCATATACACATGGAATATTAATCAGCCTTAAAAGTGAAGAATATTTGGATTGGATGGAACCTTGAAAACACGCTAAATAAAATAAGCCAAAAAAAAGGCAAATATGATATTTCACTTATATGAGGCACCTAGAATAAGCAAATTCACAAAAACAGAAAGTAGAATACAGGTTACCAGGGGCTGAAGGCAGGAACAATGGGCAGCTGTCATTTAATGGGTACAGTCTCTGTTGGGATGATGAAAATGTTCTGAAAATGCATGTTGGTGTTTGTGTAACCACCATCAATTGTAAATGTGCTTAATGCCAATGAATTGTACACTGAAAAAAATTGTTAGAAGGTAAATCGTATAGTATGTGTGTTTTACCACAATTTTAAAAATATATATCAACACCAAATCCAATCACTTCTCACTCCTCTGCCACCTCCACCCCAGAACCATCCTCACTAGGATAGAAAACCGGAAGGGCCTTCCAGCTGGGCTGCCTGCTGACTCTCATGCCCACTGTCCATCACCCACACAACAGAGAGAGCGTGCCTTTCCAATGGGAATTAGGGCATATCCTATGAACGCTCCAGCTCCTTCCCTTCTTAGGCACAAGGAAACCCCAGTTTCCCACCATTTCCTATGCACTCCTTATCACAGGGTCCCCTCTGGCCACTTTGGCCTCATCCCATTACTCTCAGCCTAGCTCATTCTTCTCCACTCACACCAGTTTCTTGTCTACTCCACCCTGTCTCCACCACCTGCCCCTGCTGTGACTCCCACATGCATGTGCTGCCCAGTGATCCACATGGCTCACTCCTCACACCATTAAGGTCCCTGCTTAAATGTCCCATGGTCAAGTGTTCAGAAATGTCTTGTCCAGTGACCTCTTCTGAAATCTATCCCCTGCCATTCCCACCACCGCCACCAATCTTCTAACCCAAGCATATTTTTCTTAATGGCAATTATCAGTGATACTATGACAGGTTCTATTTGTTTATTGTCTGTTGATTTATTAAGGTTACCAAGAAAGAAAGAACCAATAGCATAGGTACATAGATGATAGATAGATAATAGATAGATAGATGATAGATGATAGATAGATGTTAGATGATGATAGATAGATAGATAGATAGATAGATAGATAGATAGATAGACAGACAGATAGATAGATAGGTGATTTATTGGGCTAATTGGCTCACACAATTATGGAGGCTGAGAAGTCCCATGATAGACTGTCTGGAAGCTGGAGAACTAGAAAAGCCAGTAGCGTGGCTCAGTCCAAAGTCAAAGCCCTGAGGACCCAGAATACAGAACAGGAGGATAAAGGGGCTCACTGGTGCAAAAGTCAGAGTCCAAAGATCATCGAACCTGGAGTTTTGATGTCCAAGGCAGGAGAAGAAGGGTGTCCCAGCCCCAGTTCCAGAGAGAGAGACAGAGACAGAGAGAGACAGAGAGACAGAGACAGAGAGAAATTTTACTTCTATCTACCTTTCTGTTCTATCTGGGCCACTAGGTGATTGGACTGTGGCTGCCCACAGTGAGAGAGCATCTTCCCCACCAGTCCACCCACTCACATCCCTTCCAGAAAAACTCTCACAGACACTGGTTTAATACTTACAATTTGAGTAGTCTATAATTTATTTTTTTGAGATTGGGCTTGCTGGCTGGAGTGCAGTGTTGTTCATGGCTCACTGCAGCCTGAATCTTCCAGGCTTAAGCAACCCTCCCACCTCAGACACCCAAGTAGCTGGGACTACAGGCATGTGCCACCAAGCCCGGCTAATTCTTTTGAATTTTTTGTAGAGACAGGGTTTCTCTATGTTGCCTAGGCTGGTCACAAACTCAGGGGCTCAAGCAATCTGCCAGCCTGAGCCTCCCAAAGTGCTGGAAGTACAGGCATGAGCCACCATGTCCATCCTGAGTGTTCTATGAATTTTTAAAATCACAACCATAGAAGAATCTTCATGTACAAACATGCTTGTCAAAATATTCTTTACCAAAAGACAAGATGAAAGCACATGGATCTAAAAGAACCCTGGTGACTTCTCCTTGTTTGAGATGGGATGCAGCTTCTAGAAGTGTGTAAATTTTATGCAGACTTTATGACATGGAAAACTACTTTCATAATAATACATTCAAAAAGCAACTTCAAAATAACCCACAACCACTCTGGGAGGCCAAGGTGGGTGGATCACTTGAGGTCAGGTGTTCAAAACCAGCCTGGCCAACAAGTGTAACCCCATCTATATTAAAAACACAAAATTAGCCAGGCGTGGTAGTGCACATCTGTAATCCCAGCTACTCGAGGGGCTGAGGCAGAAGACTCACTTGCATCCGAGATGCAGAGGTTGCAGTGAGCCGAGATCATGCCACTGCACTCCAGCCCCTGGGGGACAGAGTGAGACTCCATCTTAAAAAAAACCCCAAAACTTATGAATGCAACTTTCTACAATGAAAGCATATATAAAAATATATACATAGAAAACAAAAGAATGGAAGTCAGCATCACTGCAGAAGATAGCTCCAGGGATGACCATTCACACTGCAGTCCAGGAAGTTTCAATAATATGATAGCAGTGGTTCTTTGGAGGGGAAGCCTGGGTGATATTTCTTTCTTCTCTGCATTTTTTTTTCTTTAAAATTCAACCAGGTGTTGATGTGTGCATTTTAAATTCTTCTGTAATCAAATACATTTTCATATTTCTAATGTAGAAACATGTATTTTTAACATTCAAAATAAAACATTTGAAGTAAAATAACAATGAAAAGTGGCTGAACACTGTGGTGGGCACCTGTAGTCCCAGCTACTCAGGAGGCTGAGATAGGAGAATGGCTCGAGCTCACGAATTTGAGGCTATGGTCACACCTGTGAATAGTCACTGCTCTCCAGCCTGGAGAACATAGTGAGACCTCATATTTAAAATAATAATAATAAAAAGAAGTTCAGATCTCCTTCCAATCTCAACCTAAAACAAATTTCTCATTTGAAGTCCATATGGCAGAAATGCCTACTGATGGCTCCTCCAGAGAGTAAAAAAAATATTGTTCCTCTACAATCCATGACTCATCCTTCTGTTACAGTGTTCACCTGGGCAATGAAGTCAACACTGAGAATATCATCAATTTATGGAATACTGATTATCTCTTTTATAGATATATAAATTATAATTATGTATATATATATTATATTATAATATATATAATTACCATCACACCTGAGAGAGTGAGATGGATTCTTTTCTTCCACAGATGAAAATCTGAGTCCCTGAGAACCTAGGGTTTTGGTATGGGTTCACTGAAAATGTTGGCCTTGAGAATTAGGAAACAGCTTCCTGCAGGCCTGCCTGGATGTGAGCCACACCAATGGAGTCTCCACAACAGCAGGAAGAGCAACTGAGAACCCTGGAAGCTTCACACTTGTAATGTTCCATGTCCAGCGGCATTCAGTTGATGGATGGGCCAAGATAAGAATACAGCTCCTTCCTTCAATTGGGGGTGGCAGAGGGGTGAATCAGTCAGCTACACATAATGTGTGTGGTGTTTCTACAGATATCTTTAATTACTCTGCTGAGAACTCCACCTCAAATGTACAAAAACTCTGTACTCACTGGTAAGCAGGATCCTTTTTAGGAAAGCAAAGGACTTTGCTGACTTAAGCAAAACATTTTCTCTCCAAATGAATTATCCTGATTGGATAATCTCTTACTCCCACTGAAATTAGCCCCAGAGTTGCATTTGAGCATTTGGGTCAAAGACAGAAAGTCATTTTGAGGGTTGGGCCTGGCTGATCTTGGACAATGTTCTGAAAGAGGGCTTTCTACTTGCAGAAGAACAAAGGTTTGCTCTGGGTAGGAGATGATGTCCTGAGAAGAAAAGACAGATAGGCAGATTCTCAAGCAAACTCAGGAGTTTACTATACAAAAGATTTTGGAATACCTTCCTCAGCCTCTTTTTCATTGTGGTAAAATACACATAAACACAAAGGATACCACCGTAACCATTTAAAGTGCACAATGCAGTGACAATTTGTATGTTCACAATGTTATGTAACCATCATCACTCTCTAGTTCCAGAGTGTTTTTATCACCTCAGGGGGAACTCTGCACCCATTAAGCAGTCACCCTCCATTTCCACCTGCCAGCAGACCCTGTCGCCACAAATCCACTTCTTTCTCTATCGACTTGCCTCTTATGAATATTTCACAAAAATGGGCTCATAAGTTACGTAGCCTCCTGTGACTGGCTTCCTTCACTTGTCTTGTTTTCAAGATTCAGCAATGTTTTAGCATATGCCAGTGCTTTATTCATTTTATGACCAAATAATATTCTATTGTAGGAAAAAACTATATGTTGTTTCTCCATTCATTGGTCGATGGACATTTTCTTTTAAATCAAATAGGAAAAACAAGAGAGGAATTACAAATATATATATGTGTGTGTGTATATATATATGTCTTGTAGGGTTGAGACCATCTCAGTCAGCTTTTTTTAACCTGTGAATGTCGTGATTTCTCCATCATTTCTGAAGGAGAGTTTTGCAGACATACAATTCTTGGTTGATAGTCCTTTTACTTTCTCAGCTTTAAATTTGTCATCCCAACGCCTCCTGAACCCCATGGTTTCTGATGAAAATTTGTATGTTAATCTTATTGAGGATCCATTGTACCTGAAAAGTTCCTTCTCTGTTATTGCTTTCAAGATGGTCTGTTTGTCATTGGTGTAGACTGGTTGATTATAACGTCTCTCAGTGTGGACTTCTAAAATTCTTGCTGCTTAAAATGTATCAAGTTTGTTGGATGAGTAAAATTATATTTTTCATCAAATTTAGGAGATTTGAAGTTATTATTCCTCCAAATAGCCATTCTTCTTTTTCTCTCTCCTTTCTTTGAGGATTCCCAAAATGCATATGCTTGGTGTTGTCTCACAGTTTTCTTAAGTTCTGTTCATTTTTCTTCATAATTTTTTTTTATTTCTGCACCTCAAACTGGATAATTTCAATTGTCTTACCTTTAAGCTTGCCGATTCTTCATTCTGCATAGTGAAAGTTGCTTTTGTAAAAAAGTAAATAGTAAATTTACTCTAGTAAAATATAGTAAAAAATAGTAAAATTACTCTAGTAAATTTTTCATTTCAGTTATTGCACTTTTCAGCTCCAAAATTTCTATTTGGTTTCTTTTTAAACTTTCTATCTTTTTATTGATGTTCTCTATTTGAGTTAAGATAGTTCTTCTGATTTCCTTTAGTTTTTTGCCCATAGTTTCCTTTAGCTCTGTGAACATATTTAAGCAGTCAATTCAAAGTTGTTTGTCCAGTAAGTATGTTCAATGGCCTTTCTCAGGAACAGTTTCTGTCAATTCCTCTTTTTTCTTGAGAATGGGTCTTACTGTCTAGTTTAATTGCATACCTCATTTTTATTTTGAATACTAACATGTGGTGACTTTGAAAATCATGTTTTCTAAACTATTTTTGTATAGACTGTATTCTTTATTGTGTGTCATCACTGAAGTCTCTATTCTGTAAGCTTAGTGGTCAACTCATGATTTGATAGATATTTCCTGAAACATCTTCAGCCAAAAAGAAATAAGAAAAGAAAATTCAATCTTTTTATCTGGGCTCTCTGTGTGTTTTGGGGCATGCCCTCAACACTCTGCTGGGCAGTTTACAATACTGCTTTGGCCTTCATTTCCTACTTGTGCAGATATTGAAAGTTAGCAAGAGGTGTGAACACAGGGCATTCTCAGGTGCTTTGTGAGTCTGTGCGACATACTGGTCATGAAGGAGGCTATACAGATTCCCAGGGATATGGAAGCTTTTCAAAACCCATATTCCCATCTCACTCACCCAGTTTCTCCTCCAGGCTTTTCTGTATGTCTATTACCTTTCTCATGTAATATATTTTTGCCCCAAGGGGGCAGCTGCTGGTTCAGTGGCACTTAAATGGTTTTAGCAGATGCCCTCTGCCTCTGTGACCTAAGAGAGTTCTGAGTAGGGAAAATAAATGCAAACCATTTATTTTCTTTTTCTTTCTTTTTTTTCTTTTTTTAGACAAGGTCTTGCTCTGAAGCCCAAGCTGGAGTGCAGTTGCACGATCCTGGCTCACTGTAGCCTCAACCTCCTGGGCTTAAGCAATCCTCCCACCTCAGCCTCTTGAGTAGCTGAGACTACAGGCACATGCCATAATGCCCAGTTAATTTTTGTATTTTTTGTAGAAATGGAGTTTCACCATGTTGTCTAGGCTGGTCTCAAACTCCTGAACTCAAGAAATGCACCCAGCTGAGCTTCCCAAAGTGCTGTGATTACAGGCATGAGTCACCATGCCCAGCCCAATGTAAGCCATTTCTTATCATCCTTCACGGAGTCACCCAACAGGAAAAGGTAGACAACCACAACACTTTGAGAACATGGTCCACTCGGCTCCCACTGGCATTGGAGCCCACACTAAGGAACCAGGCTGCTGTCTTCAAGATCACTACTGACTTGAACAGGGAGGAATGGGCCAAGGGTAAGATATGGTGCCACAAAGCTCTGCTCCTGAGTTCCAGTTGATTTTTCTGGACTTGCTAGGTTGCAATAAACCTTTGATGATTTTTCAGGGTTCCAATGCAGTTGATTCTTTATCAACCCAATCAGAATATCTGGTGGTAGGTCCAGGAATTCTTGCTTTAACAGCTCTCCGAGGGAATTTTTTTTTTTTTTTTTTTTGATGGAGTTTTGCTCTTGTTGCCCAGGGTGGAGTGCAATGGCATGATCCCGGCTAACTGCAACCTCTGCCTCCCGGGTTCAAGCGATTCTCCTTCCTCACCTCCCGAGTAGCTGGGACTACAGGCGCGAGCCACCACACCCAGCTAATTTTGTATATTTAGTAGAGACTGGGATTCTCCATGTTGATCAGTCTGGTCTCGAACTCCTGACCTCAGGTGATCCCCCCACCTCGGCCTCCCAAAGTGCTGGGATTACAGGCATGAGCCACCATGCCCAGCCAAGGGATTTTTTTTTATAGTGATGTTTTACAAGCACATTGTCTCTGTGCAGAGGTGGCCCTTGGAGTTCCTATGCCACTATGTTCTCTGATGTCACTCCTCAGCCACCTTTGAATTGTGCTTATGCATCAGAATTCCTGATCTGCTAAGTACTTCCAGGAAACTCATTCAAATGGTAAACATCATTAAGCACCTACCTTATTCTGGGTACTGTGCTCTATGGAGCTGAGCCTCAGATAAAAGAATCAAACTTCCTTGGACTTCATAGAAGTCAAAGGTGGGGGTGGGAAGATAAATAAAGAAATTATAGCACAGCATGTTATGTATTTTACATGACTTTTTTCTTTGAAAGCTACATTATTAATATTTTATGACAGTACTGAGTTACATATACCAAAGATTACAAATTAAAATTTATGCTTTCTTTCTCTCTTTTGTTCTTACATATTTCTCTGTTCTTGTAGATATTTTGAAATTGGGTATTATGGAGACAGTGCAACAGTTTCATTTATATGATAATGTTTTGTTTTACCTTTATTCATCAAAGAGAGATTTGTCAGCTGCAAATTTCTAGTTTGACATTGGTTTTCTCTCAGATCTTTGATGATTATGTTGCTTCTGGCTGCTGTGGCTGACAGGGGATAGTCAGTTACATTTTAACCAGTTGCTTCTTAGAGGATCTGTGTTTCTCCTGTGGCAAATTTTAAGATATCTGTTTCTCTTTAACATCTTCTGTTCCAGTGCAGTATGAGTAAATGTGGATCTCTTTTTATTCACAGTGCTATGATACTGTTAGGTATGAGTTCTAAATTTCTCTTAAAATAATTAACATGTCAGTATGTTCAATTCTTTGCCCTCTACTTTTAAACTTAACTTCCTCATAAAGCAACCTTTTTTGATCACCTGTTCCACCCTGACTCATCCTGATTACTTGCTCCAGCCTGACTCATTCTGGTTACCTGCTCCACCCTGACTCATTCCAGTCACCTGCTCCACCCTGACTCATTCTGATTACCTGCTCCACCCTGACTCATCCTGATTACTTGTCCCAGCCTGACTCATTCCAGTTACCTGCACCACCCTGACTCATTCTGATCACCTGTTTCACTCTCTTTAAATTAGCCAATCTGAATTAGTTTAGCCTGTGCGGTCTAACCCTAGCCAATAGGGGAATAACACAGCAGCAGGGGCCACGTGCATCAGGGATAAGAACCCCTTCCCCTTCCTTGTCCAGGGGTGTGCTCACCATTGCTCCATCTGTGAGGGCACACCCTTGTATAGAAGTAATTGCCTTGCTGAGAAGAAAAAAAGAAAATTTTATATTTGAGTGCTATTTCTTTGTGGCATCAAGACTTTATTTACAATAATACATTTCCTTAATATTTTAAGATAACCTCTTTCTGGAATGCCTCTTTCCATTTACTCACTTCTCTTCTTCTAGGAATTTAATTAGAGAAGAATTAAATTAAACCTCATTCAACCACCATATACACTGTGGAATCCAAAATAATGGCCTCACACATATGTCCAAGCCCTAAGACGCAGACCATTTAGATATGTTACTTTACACAGCAAAAGGGACTTTGCTGATATGATTAAGAGCATGGACCTTTAGATGTGGAGATTATTTTGTATTATTTGAGTGGCCCCAATCTGATTGCATGATTTCTTTAACCTGGAGATGACTGGAGAAATATGGGTCAGATGGAGTGCTGAATTTCATCTAGAATAATTTCTTAATCTAGTAAAATAACATCATCTCTGTTTTTTATTCTTTAATTAAGTGGCAAAATGCATTAAAAGGTTTAAAGTTTAAATATCCTTGCATTCTTGGGCTATATACCTTGGTCAAGACAGTCTGTTTATAACACATTGGTTAATACAGTCTACTAATATTTTTCTTAGAATTTTCACATCTAATTAATTAAAAGTGATTTTCCTATAATAGGTAAATAGTAGAAGGGGGTAAGTCTCTTATTTTACAAATTATTCAAATAATACATGAAAAGAAATGGAAGACTGAGACTACAACTCTTTGCCATCCGTAATGAATGAACAGATCTAGCCACTGAACAGCAATGACAATTTTCATCACCAAAGGGAAATAACCAGTATTAAACTCTTCCCCTTGTTGAAAAACATGATATAGTACCACCAAAACTCACGGGGAAAAAAATCTGAATAGATGCAAACCTCTATACCAAACTACAAATTTCTAGAAAATGCAGGTAATAGAGATGCATATTAAACCATAGTTTGGGGTGCAATCCACAAAATACAAACAACAGGAAACTCTACCAGACAATATTAATTTCAAAGGGATAACCTATAGAACAAATAAGAACAAAAAACTTATTTTTAAAGGTAAAACTAAACTATCATTTGGGATGATGAAAATATAAAATAGAACAAAGAAGTGAGGACCACAAAAGTCAGGATGTGATGGATTTTTATTTGAAAAAATAAAAATTTACTATTGAACTGGGTCAATTGATGGGGCTTCTAGGTCAGCTGACAAACTTCTCTCTCTTTCTGATGGTTAAAGAGTGTTTACTGTTGATTAAAGGTCACCATTTTAAGATTTTTTTTCTTTTATGTCACCTGTGTTTTATGACAAAAAGGCGAACGCAGAATAAAATGAGTTATGGGGCACGGTTCCTGTTCTGCACAAAGCCTCCTCCCCATCCTCCTCTCTGGACACTGAGCACCCAGAACAACCGGCAGCCCCAGGACCCCTGGCAGGGCTGTCTCATTACTGAGTGTGCATCCAGCTCCACGGTTCCTGTTCTGCACAAAGCCTCCTCCCCATCCTCCTCTCTGGACACTGAGCACCCAGAACAACCGGCAGCCCCAGGACCCCTGGCAGGGCTGTCTCATTACTGAGTGTGCATCCAGCTCCACGGTTCCTGTTCTGCACAAAGCCTCCTCCCCATCCTCCTCTCTGGACACTGAGCACCCAGAACAACCGGCAGCCCCAGGACCCCTGGCAAGGCTGTCTCATTACTGAGTGTGCATTCAGCTCCACGTCGCTGGAGACAATGTCCACAGTTTATTTCTTGAGTCCTGGATGAACCTGACAGGACATAGCTGAGGGGAAGCCTGGCCCAGTCTGCAGGCTTTGGCCATCAGTGTAGAGGGAGGAGGTCCTCATCTCTCCACTGGAGCAGTTACAACCAGAGCCTCCTCTCTGCGTGGGAGTGAGGCTCGGTCCTTCCCCTGAACACGGTGACAGGGATCTCTCCACAGGTAGAGATGACACCATTCCTCCTGTAACATGGTCCAATCTCACGCTTGTTCTGCTTTACAAGAAAGTTGACCCACGCTGGTGTCCCCTGAAGAAATCACAGGCACAGAGGAGGGACAGGTGGATTTCAGGGCTGTGCTTGATCTGGGAAAGGAAGAGTGCAGACCGCCAGGTGGCGCCGCTGCACTGCTTCTGCGCCCAGGAGGTGCCTGCTGGGGCTGAGATTGAAGGTGGGGAGAAGGATGTCACAGCTCATCGCACAGGTTCCCGGTAAAAATCCTCCTGCCCAGCCTAGCGGGCTCTCCCTTAATCAACTGTAGCGAAAACTGTCTCCTTCTCACGTTCCTGGAAGGTGCTTTTTGACACAAGAAAGAGGATGTGATTGCTAGGGTCATCATGTCATTGTTTATTGTGTTGCCAGTAAAGTGAAATCAAAATACACAATAAATAATAAAATAACCCATGATAAGCCAATGTTTATAATGTACTAACACCACTGAGCCAGTGTTTATAATGTACTGACACACTCCAAGTGTGGGCACAGCTGCAGACATGCCTTGTCTCTTGGGTCAGGACACAGGGTAGAGTGAAATGGAAAGAAATCCCAGTCACTGCAGAAAAGGGCCCCCATGGAAGAGGCCTGGCAGGGAGGCCAGCTGTCCCAGGGCCGCCATATTTAGGGATGACTCCCCCTTTCTGGGCAGCACTGGTTTTTTTAATTATTTTTGCATTCACAGTAGTTCTGAAATTGCAGGATGCTGAGACCCAGCACTGGTCAGTTACACCGTCTCTTCTTCACCATTAAATACTGTGCCAAACAGCACCTTCATACATTTCCATCCTCTTCCAGGAGAGAATCAAAACAACAATGGACACATTGATGCATGCAAAAATACTTTAAATATGTGCTATCAGAAGTAGCTACTAAAACATTAATTCCACTGAAATGAGGGAGGCTGTAAAAAAGAAAAACATTGCATACCCGTATTCACAGCAACATTACTCACCATAGCCAAGACAAGGAAGCAAACAAAGCACCCATCAACACATGAATAGATGAAGAACATGTGGTCTATGTAGGCAATGGAATATGATTCAACCTTAAAAAGAAGGAAATTCTGTTACATGCTGCAACATGGATGAACCTGGAGAACAATGCTAAGTGTAATAAGCCAATCACAAGGAAATTCCAATACTGCGCAATTCGTTATATGCGGCGTCTAAACTCTTAGAACCTGAAAGTAGAATGGCGGCTGCCAGTGGTTAGGCTGGGGGGATTCTTGAGGAGATTTTCAGCGTAGAGTTTCAGTTTTGCAAGATGAAAAGTTCTAGAGATCTGTTGCATAACAATGTGCTACAGTTCATATTATAGTACTCTATACTTAAAAATTGTTACGATACCAAATTTTATATAATATGGATTTTGGCGCAATGAAAAAAATAATTAGCTCTGATACCAACTTAGGAAAAGAGCACATGAATTTATTGAAAATATATTAGCATGTGCTTACTATGAAAAAGAGATGCAGAAAACTGTGAGACAAAAAGAGAGATCCTTGCTACCCCAGCTATTATCCATGAACCAGCAGAACCAGCATCTCATGAAACTGGACAGAAAGGCTCACAGGCCCAGCCTTGACAGGTTGATCAGTCTGCATTTGTCAGGACCCCAGGTGGCTCCACTGCATGTAAAGCACCGCCCCAGATGGTGGTGGAGGGAGATCCTAGGAAGGTGACTCTGTCCCACAGGTAGAAGCCTCCAGTCCAGATGGGAGCAGCCAGAAGGGCCCAAGAGGGACATTTCCAAGAAAGTAAAATTAATAGAAAGTTCAAAGTCTCTAATTTCTTAACAGAGTCACAGAAATGGAACAGATATCAAAGTTAAATTAATGAGAGTTATCTAGAACATAAACAAAAACAAAGGCAAGTATTAACTTGAGGAAGAACAAATACTACGAAGCAAGTGAAAAGTAGTCAAGTTGACATATGAGAAGATGAGTCACGGAAAAAAACAAGGAGTGGCTGAATTAAACATAATTACTATATAAATATACTGGGAAAAGGAAAGAACGGGAAGAGTGAAAGAGAACAAGTGATGGATGTGGTGACGTCGCGTTCTCCCGGGCGGGGCCGGAGGCGGTACAGATGAGGGACACATTCATGGCTAACGGGACGGCTCTTCTCGTTCTGCGTTCCGCTTGCGGCCGGTAGTCTCTCCTCCCCGCCCATGGGCGGTGGTTGGAGGCAGGGGTGCGGAATCCGGCCGACCTCGCTGTCCTCGCCCTCTACCTTGTGGCGTCGGTGGGGTTGGGGAGATGAGTTCTCCGACGCAGCAGGCACCCCTGCTCATCTCCTATGGCTGTTGCCTTTTGGGCAGCCCCTCTTCGCGGCGGTGGGGCTGTCCCGCCGGCCTGTCACGTTGCCCTTCCCTGGGCTTGTGAGGATTGGCTCCGCTTGGACCTTTGCGGTGCTCCCGGAGCCCTCCAGGTTGTCCCTCCGGTGCCGGAGGCCAAGCGGTGGTGTCCTTCCTGTTCCCAGCGCCCCCTCCTCCTGTCGCTGCTGCAGTGCCTGTGTGTGGGTCCTGAGGGGTTTTGGGGAGGTAGAATATTTTTATTTATTTAAATAAATTAAAAAATAAGAAAAAAATACAAAAAGAAAGAGAACAAGTAATCTTAACTATTGATTCCACCATCGTGCAGTGCAATAGTCAATGGCTGCAACTGAAAAATCAAGCAATGTTAATAAAGAAATGGTGCTTTGGTGCTTAGATATGTGAAAGTAAAGTCAAAAGAATCAGCTGAAACTTGAAAGTGGTTGCTCCCTAGAAAGGCAGAAATAGAGAAGAGAGGACTCTCCCTAGAAAGGCAGAGAAGACTCTCATTTTTCTCAGAAAGTCCTGCACAAATATTTACTCTTTCCATTATGTGCAATTGTAACTTCGAATAAAATAAAAACAAAAGCTTCAGTTAACATGCAAGTTTATGCCTAATGACAACTTTGTTTAACAATGATAAAGGGCTAACCAAAATATAAAAACACTTAAACATAAAACAGCATGTATAAATGTGTATGTGACATCAACCCTGAATACAAACTTGAAAGAATATGTCTATAAACAACTCTGGATAGATAGCCCATGAATGAATTCCCCACTCCAGCATCTTTACTGGTTGTCCTGTGAGCCTAGGCAGGGAGGGGACCAGGACCTGACTAGGGTCCCTAATACTCTTGCTTCCAGGCAAGTCCTGCATGCACTCCTGCTGCACCAAGGGCTCCCATCCCTGCCTTGGTCTGTTTCATAGGTGCTCCCCTAACTCTCTGCCACCACTGCCTTACCTGGGTGGAGCTGAGGCCGCCCTGACCAAGAAGAGCACCACCCATCTATGTGCCCCAAAACCAGAAAGTCAAAAGAAACCTTGCAACAGGGTCAGGAACTATCCCACCTCCCCACCTCCGAATCAGTCTGAACTGATGGCGGGAGATGCTGATGCTTGCTTTACTCATCCTCATTCCCTGTGCATTTATTTTTCACTAATTCAGTCCACATCTCCTAGAAGCAGACTGACCCCTACCCTTCATAATCAGGAAACCCCAGAGCACTTTTTATCCCCTCCAGAATATAACACTTCAGCTCTGCATCATCACATGAGGGCTCCAACTCTGTAGGGCAGGTGTACTCTCACAGCTTCAGGCCCTGAACATTTGCTTCAGATGTCCCCCCATCCCTTTCCAGACCTGTCTGTGTTGCTCTGAATCTGTCCTTCCCTGAGAACTGGCGGGGAGATATCAGGGAGGAGGGGAGATTTCTTTGTGCTATGTCAACGCATCTAGACAGAGCTCTCATTCTCCCTTGAACCTCAACTCTATCTGTTCCCAGACACTTGAAATAAAACACAGACCAGAAATGTCTATTTAAAAGCTAAATATCTATAGTATAAAATATGAAGACAGAGTAGAATGGGGTAATGCAGGAGAGTGTGACAGGGCGAGGGGACCTCAACGTGCCAGGAAAGTTGGTCCTTGGCTCCCCGGAGGAGCCGTCACCAGGACACTCACTCATAAAGCTCACCTGTGATAATACAACTACATGACATTAATGTATTAAAATATAATAAAATCATAACAAAATAACAAAAATAATATGGCACAGCTGCAAACACCTCATATATACTAACACTTTTCATCCACCCAACCACAAGAAATAAATGTTGTTACATTCCCCATTTCATAGATGAGAAAGCTGAGCCAGCAAGAGAAAAAGTGCTGGTGAGACCTGGGCAGGGCATTCAATCCAGGCCGCCTGGCTGCAGAGTGTAGGTGCCCTCAGTAGAGCCAGTGGACCTGGGAGCTGAGAGCAGAGACTGAAATCCCAGCTGTGCACTGCCCTGGTGTTCTGTCTGAGTCAGGTGTTGATCTGGGCCTTGCAGGCTCATGTGCTCTGGAGAAAAGAGAAAAAATAGTAAGTGCTCCCCTGGGTGCACAGTGCTGCTTTTTACTCCCTGACGACTTCTCCCTCCTCAGTCAGTCCCAAATCAGATTCACCCTTTCTCCGAGGGAAGATGATGTCTGCACTTTTTTCTCCCTCCCATGGCACTTTTCCCAGCCCCTGCCAGTCCCCTCCCGTGACTCCATCAACATCAGCCCCTGCCCTGTGCCCACCAGCCACCATGCAAGGAGAAAAAGAGCCCCAGGACCAAAGGACAAGACCTGGGAAAAACCCAGTGCCCTCCCCTCCTCTCAAGCCTGGCCAGCTCTGACAGCAGGAGGACTCCCCAAAGAGAGGCTCTGGCCCTGGCTCCATGTCCTTCCAGGACTGGGCTGGGTCACACGCACAGTCCTTCTCTTCCTCAGTCCCCAGTCCCACCTCACCTGTAGAGACACCTGCACACAAAGGCAGGCCCTAAACACTGTGGTTCTGCCCTCCACCTGCAGCTCAGTGCTCCTCCACTTCCAGCCCTGAGCAGGCAGCTCCTAACTGGGAAGCCCATTAAGAATCCCATCAGCATGGCAGGCCCAGCATGGAAACATGTAGCTGCTATGGGGTCTGCAGCTGACCTGACCCTGGGAACCCCCTTGCTCAAGGAGCCTACCCTGACCCCCAGGCCCATGACCTGCACTTGGGCCATGCTTGCTCCAGCCTGGTCCACTCATCCCTGGAAGCACAGCTTCTCCCCAGGGCTGCTGCTTGGGGAGGCTGAAAGGCCTTCCTCTCCTGTTCCTAGCAGGGATTCCTAGCAGGGATTCCACCCAAGCCACTGCCCTCACAGCCCATAGGGGATCTTCTTCTCCCTGTGGAGTAGAAAGTTTCTTGAGACCCCTCAGCCTGAGGCTGCCTCTGCCCACCCTTTGCACTTGGGGATTGCCACTGCCACAGCCACTGTCTCCCACATGGACCGTCCTGGAGAGGGAGCTCCACATTTGAGTTCCTGTTTCATTTGATATGGGTTACAACATTAGTATTGGTGGAAATCCTTTTAAGACCCAGCTGAAACTACGAACATCTTTATTGGACATCAGCATTTAAAGCAGGAATTTTGAGAAATTAGCACATAACTTTCACACCCCTTTCCTGGCCAGTGCCCCAGTAACCTACAAGGCAACCGTTCCCGCCCACGGGGAACCAGAACTGACAATCCCTCTTCAGGAGACACCACAGGTGAGAGCAGGAGCGACCACAGACCTGCACTGCCCCTGCTGTGGGTGCCTCCTGGACAGGGCCCTCTTGCTGCAGGGCAGGGGATGAACCATCCCATCTGCCCAGGCCTGAGGGGCCAACTGACAGTGCAATTAGGTTCAAGGATGAGAAATCACCACCCCCTGCCAGATACACAGAAGTGGGGAAATGGCAGAAAGACTCGGGTTTCCCGGACACTCCAGGCTCTCAGTGTCTCCTGCACTGTCTCTGTCTTTGCAGAAACACAAAACTTGCTGCTTGCTCTTTTCCCCTCCCTTCAAACAACCTGACTGTGCGGGAAATCATCCTGACCATCTCTCACTCCAAACTCATCAGGCAGTGCTTATTCTTTCAAAGGTATTTTGTGACTGTGCAAGCAAATATAAATGTATATGTGTATGTTCTTTCTCCCTTTGCACACAAATTTTAGCAAACTACATATGCTTTTCTGTACCTTGCTGTTTTCCCTTACCATTGTATCACGGAGACCATCCCATGAAGAAATATCAAGAACTACACTATGTCTTTCTTTTTTTTGTTCAAAAATTTCTTGGCAATCCACTGTATAGGCATGCATTTTTTAAAATAGAGATTACCCTTTTTGAATGCAATGCTTTTTAACCAGCTCCCTACTGATAGGCATTTGGATTATTTCTTTCAGAGAACAATTTGACATCATGTAGCATCATATGGGAAGGGTGCAGTGACCCCACTCTTACATGCATATCCTAGGGGAGCTCACATATTCTTGGAACCAGAAAGCAATGTCCCAGCATGTTCATTGCAGCAGTGTCTTTAATAAAGACTATGTAGAGGTCAATGAAGTGGGGAAGAGATAAATTGTAGCATATTCCTCCCATGGAATACTATCTAGCAATGAAAACAAATGAACTATTTGTGTGAACATTGATCCATCTCATAGACCATGTTAACGGAAAAAGCAAGCAAATGCATAACAAAATCAGCAAGAAACAATTTATAAAAAGTCTAAAAGTAAAGCCAGGCAAGGGGGCCTATACCCATAATCCTAGCATCTTGGGAGGCCAAGGTGGGCAGATTGCTTGACCCCAGGCGTTCCAGACAAGTCTGGGAAACATGATAAATCCCTTTCTCTACAAAAAATACAGAAATTAGCCAGGCATGGTGGCGCAAACCTCTAGTCCCAGCTACTCAAGAGGCCTAGAAGGGAGGAATTGCTTAAGCCTGGCAGGTAGAGGCTGAAGTGAGTTGTGTTTGTGCCACTGCATTTCAGTCCAGGTGACAAAGTGAAACCATGTTAAAAACAAACAAACAAACAAACAAACAAAAACAAGAGACTTTTTAAAACTTAGTAAGAATATAGGGGCATACAGCAAATTCAAGACACACATTCACCAACAGTTCTTGCTTTGCTCAGTACAGTATTGACTGAAACACATGCATAACAGAACTGTGGAAAATCAGGGCTATCTACACGTGTTTCTGTTATTTTCTATGTATACTACATACAGCCAATAATATTAAAATGTCACAAATTGACAAACCTGGGTGGCAGCTTCACAAAGATTTCTTATAATTCTCTATTTTTTCTTCTAGCTAGAACTACCTTATAATAAAATTTGTGAAGTGAATCCACAGAAATTGAGCAAAATAAAAAGGAGTCGTTGAGTGTGAGGAAAGCTACAGAGAAGTAAAGACAGGTGGAGACATGACAATACTGAGCATGTTAGTGACCTTCACAGTAACTGACTTCCTGGAGGAGTGTGAGCTTAAGCCAGAATGAAGTGATAGACCGTGAAAGACGGATGAAGGAGTAGGAGCTTCTGGAGGCAAACATGGTATGTGGTTGGCTGGATTGGGATATGTGGAGGGACTCTGAACATTCTGCTTTAGGTCCAGCACTAGAGAAAGAGGACTCATCTTTATTTAGCACCTTCCACAATCTGTAGAGAAATCTGAAACATTGCAAAAGAAGATATATGAATGGCCAGTTCAGGGAAAAATGCAAAGTAAAACCACAGTGAGAAACCACTAAGCAACCATTAGAATGGCTAAAATTAAAATGATTAATAACTATAAATGCTAGCAAGGAAGTGGAACAATCTGTACTCTCCTCCATTGCCTATAAGAATATAAAACATCCATTTTGAAAATCAATTTCATATCATCTAATAAAGTTAAACAAGCTAGTCCTCTACAGCTACCATTTCCACTCCTAGGTATATACTCAAGAGAAATGAAGATTTTGTCGATAATCCCTGCATAAAAATGTTCATAGTTTCTTTATTTATAATAGTAAAAAACAAGAAATAACTGCCAATGTACAAAAATCATGATTCAGTCATACAATGGAATATTATCAGCAATGAAAATGAAAGAACTACTGATACGTGCACCAACATGGATTGATCACATAGGTATTACAACAAGCGCAAAAAGCCAGATACAAGGGAGGCCATATGGGATGAGTAGATTTGTATGAAGTTTTAAAACAGGAAGAACTGTGCTATCCTGACAGCCGTCAGATCAATGGCTGCTGGAGGCATGGAAGCTGAGTTGAAGGGAGAAAAAGGGATCTTTATGTACATTGATAGTGGCAAGAGTAATATGCTGTATTGGTCAAAATTCATTGATAAATTTGATGAAGATCTGATTATTTTGGTATATGTACATTTTATAAGCTTAAAAAGCTTATAATAAAAATTATAAAGTTGCTGATAAAAATAATAATTAAAAATATTAGCAACAAAATCCAACAGTATACCAAAAGAATAATACACCATGATATGTCCATATATGGCAAACACACAGCTAACATTATACTGAATAGGGACAAGCTTATAGCCTCTCCTCCAAGATCTGGAAGAAGGCTAAGACTCCCACTTTCATCACTTTTATTCTACACAGCACTAGAAGTCCTAGCAAGAGCAATCAGCCAAGAGGAGGAAATAAAGGGCATCCAAATTGGAAAGGAGAAAGCCAACTTAGCCTTATTCGCAAATGGCATAATCTTTTACTCAGAAAAAACTAAATATTGGCCGGGTGCGGTGGCTCACGCCTGTAATCCCAGCACTTTGGGAGGCCAAGGCAGGCGGATCACGAGGTCAGGAGATCGAGACCATCCTGGCTAAAATTGTGAAACCCCGTCTCTACTAAAAATACAAAAAAAAAAAAAAAAAAAAAATTAGCTGGTCGTGGTGGCGGGCGCCTGTAGTCCCAGCTACTCAGGAGGCTGAGACAGGAGAATGGCATGAACCCAGGAGGTGGAGCTTGCAGTGAGCCGAGATCGCGCCACTGCACTCCAGCCTGGATGACAGAGCGAGACTCCATCTCAAAAAAAGAAAAAGAAAGAAAGAAAGAAAAATCTAAATATTCCACCAAATAAATGGTGAGAACTAATAAGCAAATTCAGTAAAATTACAGGATACAAAATCAATGTGCAAACTTTCAGAGCATTTATATATACAAGCACCATATAATCTGAAGAAGAAATCAAGAAAGCAAAACTATTTACAAATCATAAAGAGGATAAAATAACTAAGAATCAATTTACCCCAGGAAGTAAAACAAAAACTATAAGGCACTGATGAAGGAAATTGAAGAGTACACAAAACTGGAAGAGCCAGGCGCAGTGGCACATACCTGTAATCCTGGCACTTTGGGATGATGAGACAGGAGAATTGTTTGAGCCTGGGAGTTCAAGACTAGCCTGGGAAACATAGTGAGACCTTGTCTCTAAGGAAAAAAAATAAAACACACAAATTGGGAGAATTAATATTGTTAAATATTAATTTAAAAAATGAAACACATAAATTTCATGCACATAAATTGGGAGAATATTGTTAAAATGTTCATACTACCCAAAGCAATTTACAGATTCAATTCAATCCCTATCAAAATACCAATATCATTATTCACAGAAATAGAAAAAATTATGAAATTCATATGGAATCATAAAATATCCCAAATAGCCAAAGCAATCGTGAGCAAGAAGAACAAAGCTAGAGGTATCACACTTCCTGAATTCAGAATACAATATAAAGTTATAGTAACCAAATCAGCATGGTGCTGGCATAAAAACAGACACATAGACTAATGGAATACAAAAGAGAACTCACAATAAATCCATGCATTGATAGCCAACTCATTTTTGGTAAAGAATATACAATGGAGAAAGAACAAAAGCAACAATGGAGAATAAATGGAGCTGGGAAAATGCTACCAGATGCAGAAGAATACCACTAGAACCCTGTCTCCCACCATATACAGAAATCAACTCAAAATGGATTAAAGATTTAAATGTAAGTCCCAAAACTATAAAACTACTAGAAGAATGCTTACAGGAAACACTCCAGACATGGGTCTGGGCAAAGACTTTATGGCTAAGACCTCAAAAGCACAGGCAACAAAAATAAAATAGACAAGTGGGACTATATTAAACTAAATAGCTTCAGCACAGCAAATGAAACAATCAACAGAATGAAGAGGCAACCTGTTGAATAGAGAAAATATTTGCTATGTATTCATCCAGCAAGGAACTAACATCTAGAATATACAAGGAACTTAAAAAACTCAGCAGTAAAAACACAAATAATCCAATTAAAAAATGGACAAAGTGTCTGAATAGATGTTTCTCAAAAGGAGACATACAAATGGTCAACAGGTATACGAAAAACACTCAACCTTATTAAATATCAGGAAAATGCAAATCAAAACTATAATGAAATATCATCTTATCCTATTTAGAATGGCTACTAATAGGAAATAAAAAATAATGGATAGTGGTGAGCATGTGGAGAAATGGGAACTGTTGTACACTCTTGGGAAAGTAAGTACAGCAATTATGGAAATCAGTATAATGATTTCTCAAAAAACAAAAAATAGAACTACTATTGGATCCAACAACTCCACTCATGGGTATTTATATAAAGGAAAAGAAATCAATATATCAAAAGACTACCTGCACCCCCAGGTTTATTGAAGCACTATTCACAGTAGCGAAGTTATGAAATCAATGGGTGAATTCATCAATGGGTGAATGAATAAATGGTGGTATATATATACACAATGGAATGCAATTCAGCCATAAAAAAGAATGAAATCCTGTCAGTTGCAGAAACATGGATGTAACCAAAGGTCATTACGTTAGGTGAAATAAGCCAAGCAAGGAAAGACAAATACCACATGTTGTCACTAATATGTGCGAGCCAAAAAGGTTAATCTTAGGGAGGTAGAGAGAGTAGAATGACAGTTCCCAGAAACTGGGAAGAATGTAGGGGTGGGAAAATATAGAGATGCAGGTTAATGGATGCAAATGTCCAATTATATAGAGAAAATAAGTTCTAATGTTTGATAGCACAGCAGACTGACTAAAGTTAACAAAAATGTATATTTCAAAATAGCTATAAGAGTGGATTTGGCTGGGCGTGGTGGCTCATGCCTGTGATCCCAGCACTTTGGGAGGCCGAGGAGGGTGGATCATGAGGTCAGGAGATCGAGACCATCCTGGCTAACATGGTGAGACCCCGTCTCTACTAAAAATACAAAAAAAAAAAAAAAATTAGCCGGGCGTGGTGGTGGGTGCCTGTAGTCCCAGCTACTCGGGAGGCTGAGGCAGGAGAATGGTGTGAACCCGGGAGGCGAAGCTTGCAGTGAGCCGAGATCGTGCCACTGCACTCCAGTCTGGGTGATGGTGTGAGACTCCATCTCAAAAAACAAAACAAAACAAAAAAGAGTGAATTTAAAATGTTCTCAACAGAAAGAAATGATAAATGCTTGAGGTCATGGATACCCTAAATATCTTGACTGATACACACATTCTATGCATGTATCAAAATGTCACATGTATCCCATAAATATGTACAAATATTATGTACCAATTTTAAAAAATTTAAAAAATAAACAACACAATATGGGGCATTTAAAAAGGTACAAAAATTATGAGCATGATAAAAATTTGGCAAATATTTTCCTTTTTATTAAGATCTTTTTCATTCCATAAGTTTAAGGAGAATAAAGCCCATAAAGCATCAGAAGAAGTTGCTCTCCTGAAAGAGACTCTTCTGCTCAGTTAAAAAGACAGAAACAGAATCACTGGAGTGAGTAGGACTTTGGAGAACTGCACAGCACCATGTCTTAGTGTCTGGGATTACACAGACTTAGGGAGGAGGCCTCACCTTCCGGGAAGAACTAAACTTTGGTTCTCTTTCTTGTTTTTTCTATTGCAAGACCAAAATTTTAGAAAACCAAGAGAAAGATTTCAGCCAAAGGGTTGTACTGTCTATTACTCTCTTTTATTTTTTAGAACATCCATTGTCAAAGACGATCCAGACTGTTACAAGAGGAATTGTGTTCCTACGCCACCAAAATCCACATGTTGAAGCCCTATGTTGAGAAGGCAGAAGAAGTGGCCATCTACAAGCAAAGGAAAGAGGCCTCAGAAGAGATCAACCCTGCAGCACCTTGACCTTGCACCTGTGGCCTCTGGAACTGTGAGACAACACATATTTATTATTTAAGTCACCCAGCCTTTGGTACTTTGTTATGGCAGCCCTAGCAAATTAAAACAGAAATATTACCTTTTCTACCTTGTCCTATGTATGAACATGAGATTTTTTTAGGAGTATGAATTACCTGAGATTTCAAAAGATAGAGTGAGGCAATTGAAAATAGATGATATAGGGTCATTTCCAAGCCTCTGAGTGTCCCCTGGCCACCACAGAAAAATGAAGATGTTCCCATTCCCTTTCAGTTTCACACAAAGCAAAAGTTGTAGACCTAAACTGACACAGAATTGCCAACTGCATTAATTTATTTGAGATAATGAGGCAGCTAGTTTTGCCCAAATTTCACAGAAAGACGATGAACAAGTAGTAAGCTAAAGAGGCTTCTTTTGCAGGGGATTGCAGGTATTATATGTTTTTCTCCTACTTTTAAGATACATTTTCCTAAAAAGTTTTGTCTAGGAGTAAATGTCATCACTTTGCTTTTTTTCCTCCCAATTGAATCACTTGTTCCTCCCTGCATTTCAGTAATGTTGCTAGCATGGAGGTGTTTGTCCATGATTCACAGATGATTCAAAGAGCAGAGAGCTTCTCCTGAGGTCACACAGCACGTAAGCGGTGGAACAATGGCAGGCACATGACTCTCTAGGCCCCTAGTCCAGTTTTCTGGGTTCTATGAGAATTGTAGCCCTTGGTTTCTGTTACATGTGGTTCTCTTTTGAGCCAGAGAAGGAGGACGCACAGTGAGAAGAAAGTGCCAGAGCCCCAAGTCCTGGCTTAGATTTACTGGGCTGGGGCATGGAGACAGAGGCTGCCACTGATTCTCTTAACTCCAGCTTCTATTACCAGTCACTAAGCTGAAAGCAGGAAAGTTTATCTTCTGCACTTGGTCCATCAGAACTAAGATGGCAGAAAGCCCCACTATCTACCACGGAAAAGACAAGGGTCCCTCTTACCTTGAACCATGACCCAGCTTTCTAACTACATATGTTTTTCTGCACATGTAGCTATTTTTCTTCTCATCAAGCTCCAGTACTCACAGTGCAAACACAGGAGATACTGAGCCTGATGCTCTGATGGAAGCTCTGAGTTGAGATTTTATTTTATACTTAGGTGCCTCTGAGTCATTAGAGTTTTTTGCCTGACTCCACTCTGGCCCCATTTCAATCAAGGTCTATATGCTCTGGGACCTCTCCAGGTTCTCATCAGAAATGAAAAAAAAAAAAAAAAAAAAAGCCATGTCCAGCTCCTGGGTCCTCCCTGATAGCAGTGAGAGGCAGCTCCTAATGGGAGAGAGCCTTGGGGTGACCAAGGCCTCACAGACTTCATTATTCCTGGACCACATGGCTCCAGCCTCCTGATCACAATGGATCAGTGGTCTTAGATTCCGCTCCAATATTTGAAGTTTTTTGTTCTTCGGCCTCGGCAAATGCTCTCTGGTTGAGATGAAGGGAAAAGACACAGAGACGCAAAAGCTGTGATTGCATGGAACTCTGTCCAAGGTACCTCCCGGTGTTCTCTTACTTATGTTGGCCATGTCCTCATGAATTTAGTGAAATGGGCATGTTGTCTCTGAGTGGAAGTGAGGGGACACTACTGGGCAGAGCTCCATCAAAGGGTGGCTGGTGTCCTCTATACCATTTATCTACACATGTTGGGGTTTTTCTAGCATGAAATGTCCCAGAGGCAGCCAAACCCGAAGCTTGGCTCCTCCAAGGAATGAGTGTGAGTATCATAGCCCTGGCCAATGAGCACTGAACTCTAGAGAGACCAAGAGACCTTCTAAATATTGGGACACTTTAGTTCTGAATCCCAGAAGTTGGCTTCTTGCCTGGGAGGCAGGTGTCACTGCATCTGATCCAAAAAAGCAGCCCCATAGCTCAAGATGCTCTTCTGGATTTCTGCCTCTTCCTGGTTCCTGGCCAAGCAAATCTTCACTGCTTTGCTAGCCCATCTATAAATTCAACCAGACTTTTCAAATATGTATTTTCCTCCCATTTTTCTAGTTGTACTCAATGGGAGAAGTGGTCCAAATGACCTAATCAGCAATTGCTGGAAACCAAAGTAACAGTATACAATTCTATGTGTTAATATCATATACCAAGAGAGAAAATGTATAGATATCAGTAGTAGCCATTTAAGCACTGTAATAATATCTATCTATATCCCATGAGTATAATATATATAAATAAATGATAACAAGAAAATAATCTTTATGTGTAATACATGACTATGACTCTGACAGACAAACCTGAGAGCATAGTACGACACTTATCACCTTCACTCATGAGCCAGATAGTGTGAAATGAGAAGCAGAGATTTGAAATGTGTTGCAAAACTCTCTCAAAGAAAGTAGAGTAATATTTTTCGTGAGCAAATCAAAGCAATCTCCTCACAAATCACATTGGACTTATAATGTGTGGGATGTGTCTTTATTAAAATGGAGGTAATCCTAGGTATGTGGTCTTTTTTACATGAACCGTACTGTCACTGGCTCACTAGCTGTCACTTCACCAACAATCATTCCATTTAATAAAAGGGAGATCGCCCCATGGGCCAGCATTTCCCAGGTGGAGGCCTCTTGCAGGCATAATCTTCCAACAGAGAATTTCCCTGGGAACCTAGAAAGAAGAGAAGAGGCTCAAGCAAAAAGGATGAAAGAAATAGCAACAACGGCGGGGCATGGTGGCTCACACCTGTAATCCCAGCACTTTGGGAGGCCGGAGAGGGTGGATCACCTGAGGTCAGGAGTTCAAGACCAGACTGCCCAACATGGGGAAACTCCGTTTCTACTAAAAATACAAAAAATTAGCTGGGTGTAGTAGCGGGCGCCTGTAATCCCAGCTACTCTGGAGGCTGAGGCAGGAGAATCGCTTGAACTCAGGAGGTGGAGGTTGCAGTGAGCCGAGATGGTGCCACTGCACTCCAGCATGGGCAACGAGAGCAAAACTCCATCTAAAAAAAAAAAAAAAAAAAAAAAAAAACCAACAGCGATAATATCATACACTGTCATGGTGCTATGTGTTAATCCGTGTCCTTAGCACTTTCAAAATATGAATTCATTTAATTGTCACGATACATCTATGGGGTGTGCCTGCTAATTTTCCGTTTTCAGGTGATACAATAGGAAAGAAGGTCGCCTACAAGTCGTGGTGGAGCTGGGCTTGCACGCAGACAATCCTGCCCCAGGGCCATGCTCACATCTCTGCACTATCCAGAATGTGAGGGTGGGTGGAGAGTCCAGCTCAGGGAGAGTGATTGGAGAGACAGAATAATAAGAAGAGTGGGCAGACTGGATCACTCTGATGGTTCTGGGGCTTCTCTTCCAGGAGAGAAGACAAAAATTATGTCACCATCAAGGAAAGTATCCAAAATCTCTGGCTTAAACCTGGGCGTCTCCAGCTCTGGGACAGGTGGCTGGGCAGGGAAGACAAACTAAGCCAAGGGCCCAGCTCGGAAGAGTTTCCTTTCCTGAGAATTCTGCAGGAGTTTCCCTGACCTCATGGCCACCTCTCATACTTTGCTCTTGTTTTTTCCCCAGGGCCGATGAGGGCGTCGTATCTGGTTTCCAGTGGGGTCTAAAGACGCCATCACAGTGAGTGGAGATTGGGCTTCATAAAGTGGGAGATCTCCAGGATCCTTCCTGGAATCCAAGATTCCCAGAGAAGCCGGATCCCGCGTCCCGGAACCCAACTCCTGCTGCTCTATGAGCCCTGACCTTGGGGAGACCTGGGCTAGTGAGGAGAGGATCAAGATGAACTGGGCTGGGGAGGCAGGAGGTAAAGGGCGGCCTGGAGAGCTCAGCAGCTCCTCCCACGGCTCTTCTGCCCCGGTCTGGGGTCTGCAGACTCCTCAGGTCATATCTCCAAGTACGCCGCCCCACGCCACCCTCCCGTGGTCCCTGTCCCTCTGTCCCCTCCCCAGCTCCCCCTACACCGTAAGAAGCTCCCAGGTAAGCGGCTCCAGGGCCGGGCGGTAGGCAGGAGGGAGCCCGGGAGGCTGGGTACCCGCGGGGAGGCGGAGAGAGCGCGTCAGGGAGACAGGGAGCGGGCGGGGTCCCTCTCCAGCCCTCAAGGTGCCGGTTCCCGGGGCCCAGGCTCGCACTCCCGGGTACTTGGAGGCCAGGGGAGAGGGAGGACTGTGGCAGGTGAGGCAAGGAGCTGTCTGAGCCGCTCAGCAGCCTCCAGGAGTCAGCTCTCTCCAGGCCTGTCTTCACTCCAGTGCCTGGTCCTGCCCAGGCCCCCACTCCCACTCTGCTCTCAACCTGGCCCCAGACAGGATCCCAAACAACTCCTGTTCCTAATGTGAAAAATGTTTCTGCCGCTTTAGGCAGAACTTGCTTTAGAGCACTGGCGCAGACTTCCGCAGGTCTTGTGTCTGAATTTCTTGGCACTGTGTCTTTTCTCACTTATTCTTCTGCAAGGAAGGAATTATATCACTGGTTGGATGAGACAATTGGCTCAGATGGGTTCATTGAGCACTCACCCACTGGGCAAGTGTCTGTCGGGGCCAGCTCTGGGCCAGATGTGCCCAAGGCTCTATAGCTAGTTGGTGGAAAGGCCTGGAGGGTTCATATTCAAGTCCACCTGACTTGAAAACTCATATTGACCTTACTTAAGTACTGATTCCCCCTTTATAATCCATGCCATAAACTTCATTGTCTTATTTTAAGAAATTGCCACAGCAGCCTTTAGCAACCACCCTCTTGAACAGCCGGTAGTCATCAACATTGAGGCAAGACCCTCCCCCAGCAAAAAGATTAAAATTAGCTGAAGCCTCAGACGACCGTTAGCATTTTTTAGCAATAGAGTAATTTTAAATTAAGGTATGTACATAGTTCTTTCATACATAATGCTATTGTACACTTACTAGGCTACAGTAGAGTGTGAATATAACTTTTATATGTACTGGAAAAACAAAAATTTGTGTGGCTTGTTTGTTACCATGGTCTGAAACCAAATCTGCAGTATCTCTGAGGTATGTCTATAATTTCCCTTTCCCTCTTTTGAACTTGTTCTTGTCCTTGTCTGGTCCTGCAAGCTGTATGAGTTTGCTTTCTCTGGTAGGTCTGGGGACATTGTATCCCTTATAACCTTGGTTCCTGGCATATGACACTGGTACCAAGCTCTGTTGGACTAGTGAGGCTCCCCACACACCTCCTGAACTAGAGCAAAAGCTCTGTGCACACACCGTGCATGTGTGAGCCTGTGAGGAGACGGGGCCTTCCTGCAGGCTGTTCTGAAGGGGTGTTCTGTTGTGACTGGAGGAAATAGCAATGGGCCCCTGGGCAGAAGTGGCTCAGAATGGAATGGATGGCCCCAGTTTTGATCATCTGGGAACAGGAAGATTCTCAGATAAAAACCCATGTTTTAGAAGACAAAACTGCCCAAGAGTGGACAGCAGCTAACCAGTAAGCTATCTGGGATATCACTGTACACTGGGAGGGAAGATGGCCTCTGCCATGGTGTAGGGTGCCTGACCCAGACAAGGAGGCCTTCCTAGGGGTCAGTGCTTCTGAAGCACCTTTAAATGAGGACAAATACCTCATGTTCATGATTAGCCGACTTGTGCCCACTCAGTGGAAAAAGAACCCAGAATTTTGCAAAATTTTCAGAGAGAGGGATTCCCCTCTTGTCTCTTAGTGCTAGGGTTATGCATGACTCGTGCTTGAATTACAGTGTGTACACAGCTGAAAGTCTTAATTATTAGAATATAAGAGGCCCAAACTACTGCTGTTACAGATATGTAAAACTACACAGTATAAGTTTAAACAACCCACAACCAATTAACAGTGAAGATAAATTAACAACCTTTGTAAAATTTAAAACAAGATTGGCAACCCTTTAGAAAAAAAATGAGACTTTTGCAAAACAATCTAAATGATACACTAATAACAAACCTTCATGAAAATGACATTTCAACCATCTGAATTTCTGCTTTAAGTTATAAACTCCAAAATGAACTAACTCCTAATAATTTACAGTAGGGAGCTCTAAGCCACAAATAAAGGTGTCAGGACAGACCTGAGACCTGGAGTGAGCACATCCCTCAGGGTCATGAGTCAATCCTGTAAGACCCTTCCTCCCTCAGACACTCCATCCAGTCATCAGGAGGTCAAGAAAAGTTCCCCACAGCACTAAGACCCAACCACCTCACTGTCCTCACCTCCATGGACAGAGCCCAGGTGAAAGCCACCCCTGCTCCTCCTCCCGCATCTCCCACAGGCTCAGCACCATCGTCGGCCTGGAGTGCACCTGGACTGAGCTCATCATGCTCTGTCCCTGTTTGTGTCAGTCACACTGGGTCCCCCACATACTCTGCACTTGCATCCCCACAAGGCTCTGCACACCTCTATTCTGTCTCCCCGACCTCCCCAGCCACAGAAATCTTCCCAGTGCACCCCCTGGATTTCTCAGTCCACATCAGCAAAACCTCCTCAGCCTCTCTCAGGATGTTCCTGCATCTCGCAGCTCCAGCAGCAACCTGGGTCTCCCTGAGGACATGACCCCCTCCGAAGTCCTCCCACATGGGGGAGTTTCCCCAGGGACTTGTACCCCTGGGTTCAGAGGTGAGGTGGGGTCCTTGCTCCTCATTGTGGTTCTCAGAACTTTCTGCCTCCCTCCTCCCTAAAACCCCTAGGCTGTCATCAGATTAGAGCCCCATTTGCCTCACTGTAACCATTCCCTGTGGGCCCCAGGCTGTTCTTCTCAATCCTGAGTCTTGTAGCTCCTGGTTCACTGTCACCCTCTCCAGCATTGCTGTCTCCTTGACTCTTGGTGACTTCAACATACGCAGATGTGGTGGGCTGAGTAATGGTCCCCAAAGATGTCCAGTCTTAATCGTTGGAACCTGTGAACAGGTTGCATTGCGTGGCAAAAGGGATATTACTCATGTAATGAAGATTAAGGACCTTAAAATAGGGAGATTCTGCTGGACTCTCTGTGTGGGCCCAATCAAATCACAAGAGCCATTAAAAGCAGAGAGCCTGCCCTGGTTGGAGTCAGATTCTGCAGAGGAGGAAGGCAGAGGAGAAGCTGGAGAGGGGAGGTCAGAAGTTCCAAGCAGGAGGATTGAATGTGCCTTAGGCACCGTGTGTGAGTATCTGAGAGAAGGCTCTAGGAGCTAAGGGTGGCTCTTAACAAGGAAGTGGAAACCTCTTTTCTATCTGCAAGGAAGTGAATTCAGGCAAGAACCTGAATGAGCTTGGAAGTGGATTCTTCCCCAGAGTCTATGGAAAGGAATGCAGACCTTCCCGTATGTTGATCTTAGCCCCATGAGACTGGGTGGACTTGCAATCCACACGACTGTGCCATGATACATAGGTGCTGTTTAAAGCCATTTGGTTTGTGGTAATTTTTATGGCAGCAATAGACACCCACACAGCAGAGAAGATGCCCTCGCTTCCTGGCCTCTCAGATCCTGGAACTCCTCTCCTCCATGATCTTCTCCTGTCTGCCTGAATCTCATGCCCTTGTTATCCCCTAGGCCTCATCATGGCTAAGAACCCCAGCCCTTCCATACTCTCTATCTCACACTTCCCACTCTCTGACCATCTTTCCACTCATCCCCTTGCAAGGTGGCCACAGGCTCTGAGGACACAGATACTATCATTTTATCATATGCTGTGATGTAATATCAGTGGACCACTCATTGCATATGTGCTTGCTTTCCACGCTTGGAGTCTACCCTGTAGTACATCAATTCCAACAATCGTTCCACCCTCCTGGGATTCCCAATCCAGTGATCCTGCCATCTACTCACTGTCCCTCACCCTGGGTGTCCTGTCCTCCCTCCTCACCCATTTTGAATTCTATGGTAAATAATTTCCATCCCTCCCTTCCCTCTCCCTTGAATTGTCACACTCACCTGGCAAAACTACACAGCTGGTGGGTTCCACCTCTGCCTATGCTGAGCCTGCCCCCATGAGCTGCAGGAGGCTGGAGAGCAGCACAAGGTACGCTGACTGGTCTCTTAAAATTTAGGATTCCAAACCACATAGGAAGTCCCTACCATGGCCAGCAATCACCCTCTCCCTGCATGGCTCACCCTCAGCCTCCTCCTGGCCTGGGTGACTCTTACACACCTTTTCTTTGTGCTCACACATCCAACCTGCCTTCCCCATTCTTACTTCAGCTGATGACCTTGCTTCCCACTTCACTGAGAAAACTGAACACATTAGAAGACAACTTCACAGATTCCACCACTGTCTGCTCATGCATTTGCAGCTGCACCACATGTCAGGCGTTTTACCATGTGAGGGACTGTTGTGGGTTAACCCTTCTGCTCCCAGCCAGAGCCAGACCCTCTTCTGGTGCCCCAATTGCCATCCCTTATCATCTACTTAAAGGTGTCAGTTCATCAATTAATACCATTTTTATCTTTATCGTCAACCTTTTTCCTCTCTCCCCACTGGATCATTGTGGCAGTCATGAGAATGCACATCCCAGCCCCTCATCTAGAAGAAGCAGAATTGATGATGGCCCCAGCTCTTGAAGTCTGAAATCTATTGCCACATTTGCTCTGAGACTATGCCCACCCCTGGATTTTTCCAGCCAATGATTGAGGAAAGTAGGGCAGAAACTAAGGCAGGACATTCCTCTTCTGAAGGCTGACTGAAGCTCCAGGGCTCCCTGCCACCCTTACTGAACTTCCCTTAGCCTGCACAGGGTCTAGGATGCTTCCAGCTGACCTTCCTGCACTCTCTACATCACTGAGGCTCAGAGTTGCTTTGTGGTCCAGTGGCTTTCCCAACATTTTCTGTCTCATGAATTTCTCTCACAAGTATTTCCCCTAATAAATCCTTACATGTTTACTACTGTATTGGGGTCCGCTTCTCAGGGGACCCTAACTAACACAAGTGGCATGAAGGGTGATCCATGAAAACAGGCAAAAATGGGAATTTGAAATAAGCTTCCCACTGCCTGGCAGGCCAAGAGGATGCCACCCGGGTTGGTGGCAGACACAGAAAGTCCATGGCACAAGGTGCGGCTGAGCAGCTGGGGGTCTCACCAGTGCTGAGCTGAGAAGTTGCCTTGGTTAGGGAGTGCTATGGCACATGCAGTGATAGAATGCCCTGCATAATAAGGACAGAGTTGGAAGAAACCTACAAAGACAGTGGCTTTGGCTAGTTACTTCTCAGCTGCATCGATGCTGTGTCAAAAGATAATGAGAATCTGCGGATTGTTGACAGCTATGACTGGCTACATTTGACACCCTCGGCAGTGTCTCATGGACAGGTCTTTATCTCCTGTAGCAAAAGGGCAGATAGCAAGGAATGTTAGCTCTACATCACTATGAGGGCCACAGTGCTCCAGAGATGTTTGACACTCAGCCAAGGCAGGCCTGTTACAGGAAAGTCAGGGCTTTGGTGGGGAAACCTGAGATTCTGCAAACTGGAACAGGATTATGCGATGCGTGCCCTCCAGGATCTTCTGGGCATGCAGAGGAGGCTCACCCTTCTCTAGTAATGGTTCCCACTTTCACTGCTGGAAGATGCTACAGAATCCTCACCCCTATGATGCCGCGGGAATCCCACTCAGGAGGTTTGCAGGAACTAGCCAGCACGTCCCCATAGGAGCCCAGGGACTACTTCTGGGATTGGAATTTGAGGGTGTTTGATCAAGGAACCAGAATTTCAGGCTGGATGAATATAATCCTTTGGCTTGAAGACACTTTCTCAGGGCATGGATTTATCAAACACTCCAGGACTTTGATAAGTGGAGTAAACCCACTGCTGGGGTGTATCCACATAGTCTAGAAAAAAACATGCCCAACTCTCAACAAGGTAGACATGTCTTAGTTGCCCTGGAACATGTAGAGGATGGAATAACAAGCTGAGGGGAGTGGGCTTGGTGAAGGCCTACCAAAACCATGCTCTACAAGAGGGCCCAGAGGACACACCTTCCACCAGAGCCTCAGGAACTTGATGGTGAGAGGGACCTGCATCACTAAGAAGTGTCAGGGTATTGTCCTTTGTAGGCTGGGGGTGATGGTAGTAAAGATAGTCCCAGAGTTTCATTTCTAATATCACTGGGGAGAGTGTGGCCCTGAAGAGACAAAGACCAAGTGGTGGCAGTGACTTGCAAAAGCCAGAGGGCACGGTTACTATGGCAACCTCGGAGGAGAAGCCAAGAGGACTCAAGCTGCAGGGAATGTGGGGAAGTATAATAGAGGGTGGTGTCCCAGGGTTAGGACAGGCAGCTGGTTGATATCTATGATAAGAAAGCAAGAATTGAGAAGCAGGAGGGTGAAGGTGTTTGACTCAATACAAAATCATGATCCCATCCTCAATGCCTAGACCTCAGCCAAGATGCAGATTCAGATCTCAGTGACAGAGGAAGAGTCCATATCTCTAGGCGGAATACTCTGCAACCCCGTGGAAGTATATGCTGGGACAATTCCCTCAGTCCTTCGGCAAAGGACCATATAGCCATTTACTCAGGAGATTGTACACTGGGGAAAGGAAACAGGCAGAACTGGGGGGATTATTGACACTGGGTGTGAACTGACATTGATGCTCAGATGCCCACAGCACTATCATGTCTCTCATCACAGTGGGGCTTATGGAGCTCAGGGAGTAAACCTGGACACATTATGGCCCACAATGGAACTACTGGATCCATAGACCCAGCCCTGGTTATCTTCCTATACCCTGAGTGCATAATTGACACTGATGCACTGCTAAGTGGAGTTACCCCCACCCTGGGTCCCTAGTCTGTGGAGTAAGGACTTTCATTGTGCTGAAAGCCAAAGGGAAACCTCTGACACTGCCCCCATCCTGGCCAAATCAAAAATCATAGTGTGTCCCAGGGTGGGTCTTGTGTAAGATACTTCAAGTATTGTGGGGATCACATCACCATTACAGAGCTGAAGGATGTGGGATGGTGTTGGGGCTGTCTATTGTCTCTACGTAATCCAGCAACCTGTCCCTGAAGAAGCCTGATGAAGCCTAAAGAATGAACTAGATTACTCCAGGTCTGGCCAAGTAGGAGTTATAATTGCAGCTTTTGTGCTGTCTGGATATCACTGGTAGAGCAGATTAATAAACCCTTGGACACAGAGCATGCAGCTGTGGATTTGGTGACTGCATTTCTTTCCACTCCAATTAGAAAGTGGATATGGAGTGATTCACATTCATGTGGGATCCTCAAAACATTGATTTATCATTTGTCTCAGGGCTATTGTAACTCCCCTGACCTCTATAGTATAGTCTTAAGACTATACTAAACATACTGGATATCCAATAGGATATTAAATCAGCTCATATCATTGACAACTTCCTGTTGATCTGGCTGGATGAGCAGCAGGTAGAAAGTGCACTGTAGTGCTTGGCAAAACACGGGCACTCCAGAAGGTGAAGATAAACCTTACAAAGCTTCCAGAGTGGCCACTCGGCCAGGTGCAGTGGCTCACGCCTGTAATCCCAGCACTTTGGAAGGCTGAGGTGGGTGGATCACCTGAGGTTGGGAGTTGGAGACTAGCCTGACCAACACAGAGAAACCCCGTCTCTACTAAAAATACAAAATTATCCAGGCATGGTGGCCCATGCTGGTAATCCCAGCTACTTGGGAGGCTGAGGCAGGAGAATCACTTGAACCCAGGAGGCAGAGATTGCAGTGAGCCAAGATCGTGCCATTGCACTCCAGAGTGGGCAACAAGAGCAAAATTCCATCTCAAAAAGAAAAAGATAGTGGGCATTGAAGTAAAGTTTTATGGGTGAACAATGGCCAAGTGTTTAGGGGAATGCAGGTGTGTCCCCTCCAAGGTAACAGACAAACTGTTTCATCTTGCATCCTCACCAGAAAGAAGGAAGCACACTGCCTGATGAGCCTCTTCCAGTTCTGACAACACCACTTTCCACATCTAGGTATGTTGCTTTGGCCCACACTCTAGGTGACATAGGAGGAGGCCAGCTTCAAGTAGGGCCCACACAGAAAAGGACCCTGCAGCAGATCCAGGCCATGGTGCGAGCAGCCACCATCTCTCAGACCCCCTGGTGCTGGTGATGCCATTGGTAGGGAAAGATGCAGGATGGAGCTGAACCAAGCACCAGTGGGAAAGTCACAGTGAAAGGCCTGGGATTCTGGAGTAAGGTCATGTCATTCACAGCAGAGACATATGCCACCTATTAGAAGCAACTTTTAGTGTCCCTTGTCCTGATTAGACAGAATGCTTGACCACGGGACACCAAGCAACTATGTGGTTCCGAGTGCCTGTGTGACCCACAGAGTCATAGATTAGACAGGCCCAACAGCATCCATCGTGAGGTGAAAATGGTCCACCTGGGTTGAGCTTGAATCCCATGTTTACACCCAGAGAAAATACCCAAGTCTGAAGTGGCACTGAACAACCAAACAGACAAATGGAAGTTAGCCAGCCTTCACCATGGGTCAGCCCTGGTTTGGTAGGATGAGTTCATGAATGGAGCAACCACAGTGGCAGGCATGAGGCTACGTATGGGGCCAACAGCACTGACTCCCCCCTACCAAGGCAGATCCAGCTGCCGACACCTCTGAATGTCCAACTCATTAGCAATTGAGGCCCATGATGTGCCCCAGTGGGGCACTATTTCTTTAGGTGACTAACTAGCCACTAAGTAACAAGTTGACTACATTTAGCTACTTCCATCCTGGAAGGGCCAGAGGTTCATCTTCACAGGGATAGGCTCCTATTCCATGGGTGTTTTCATGTCCTGCTCTCAGAAACTCAGCCAGCACCTCTCCGGGTGCTGTTGACATTCCTGATCTGCAGGCTAGGCGGTGCTCCTAGCCCATTATCTGCCTGAAGGACCCACTTGGCTGGGAAAGTTTCAGTGTTTCCATGGCTGTGGGTTCCACTAATCCTATCACCATCTGCACCATCCAGAGGCTGCCAGCCACAAGGAATGCTGGACAGGTCTTCTACAGGCAAAACTCAGTGCCAGCCTGGAGGAAGCACTCTGAGAGGTGGGTGCCATCTTTTAGGACACGGTGCATTGTTTGAATCAGAGATGTCTCTAGAGTGCTGTGTTCTCAATAGGAAGAACATGTGTGTCCAGGGATCAAAAGATGGAAGCAGGTTTGGCTCCACGTCCAATCCCTTAGATTCACTCAATGGGGTATTTTGCACGTTTTATCTTCCAACACTGGGCTGTGCAGGGTACGAGGTCCTGGTTTCCAAGGAGGGTACCCTTAAAAGGAGACAAAAGACAGCCCACTGAACTACACATTATGGCTGTCACGAGAGAAGTTTTGATAGTTTGTGCCCAGAGACCACCTGGTGAAAAGAGGATTCTCCTCCTCTCCAGGCCCAGGTAATAGATCCTCATCTTCAGGAGAAGGCATGGCTACTTTCACACAATGAGGGCGGAAGTGTGTGTGGAAACCAGAGATCCACCTGGGGGCCTTCTGGTTTCCCTTACCTCATTGTAAGTGTGAGCAGAATCATCCAGCAATTCAGCCTGAGACAGCTTGATTTCCAAGGACCCAGACCCGTCAGGGCAGAAGGTTTGAGTAATGCTCGGTAATCTCCCAAGGCCCTGCACCTGTGCTCTGACATCCTCAGTAGCATTGGTGCTGAGGTCCTGCTTCCAATGGGCTGTTCCCAACCAGTGACAGATCACACCAGTGACACGAAAGCAGGACATTCCTGGGAGACCAGGGACTCCTCTGATGGCCAACTGTAGCTCAAGGACTCCTCCATGGCCTTGCTTAACTCTCCTTAGATTGCCTGTGGTCTATGGCACATCCAGTAAACCTTGTCTCCTTCTGTCCATCACTGGGGATCACCTTTGCATCTTGTTGCCTTTCCCAGGGTAACCTACCTCCCTTGCCATATCACCTGACAGGTGTGTCCCCTAATAAAATGCTATAACTTTAATCCCATGATGGAACTTGCTTTTTGGAGCATTTGGACTATAAAATCATTTTCATCTGCCCACTAGTGATCTCTTACTTATTCCAAGGTGTAAAATCTTTTTGTTTATTCAACTTCTACCTGCATTGGCTCCATTTTGCTGGTATTTGTATTATGCTTTTGAGTTCCTCAATGTTTATTGTTTAATCACTAAATTTGGGGGTAGTTTGTTACACAGCAATGGATAACTAATGAAGCCCTCTTACATTTCCATTATTCTATAGAAGTTAACTACATCTCTTTTATTTTCTCCTATTTTGATAATATTAGCCACACATAGGGTTTCTAGTTTCTCAACACCTATTCTTTTCTTTATTTTAGTTTCTTTTCTCCTTTATTCCTTCCCTTTTTTTTTTTTTTTTTTTTGAGATGGAGTCTCACTCTCTTGCCCAGGCTAAAGTGCAGTGGCTCAATCTCAGCTCACTGCAAGCTCTGCCTCCTGGGTTCATGCCATTCTCCTGATTCAGCTTCCCAAGTAGCTGGGACTACAGGCACCTGCCACCACGCCCAGCTAATTTTTTTGTATTTTTAGTAGAGACGGGGTTTCACCATGTTAGCCAGGAAGGTCTCTATCTCCTGACCTCATGATCTGCCTGCCTCAGCCTCCCAAAGTGCTGGGATTGCAGGCATGAGCCACCACACCTGGCCTCTTCCTTCCCTTTCTCCTTCCTTCTAACCCTCCCTCCCTCTCTTTCTTCTCTATTTCCATTCAACCTATCACCTTCCCTCCTTCTTGCTCCCTTTCCTTCCCCTTCCCCTTCCTTCTTTTCTTCTTTCACTTTTTCCTCCATTCCTCCTTCTTTCCCTCCCTTCCTCCATTTTTTCCTTTTTATTATAAAATTTTCCTAAAATATAAAATAACCCTATGTGATTGGGCTGTAAGTAAGCATTTTCTGAATCTATATGTCAAAAGCATAATGTCTTTTATATGAGAAACAAGTAAACAACAGGAAGTTATTAACAGAATAAAAATGCTTGCTATAATTCTACCACCAAGACGGTGACTTTTAACACAATTCCTTCAACTCAGTGTTTTCAGAACACATCATCAACATAAGTATTACACATTTATTGTAAAAGTTTAAGTAGCCACAATTACTTTGGAAATCATATTATCATTATCTAGTATGGTTAAAGTCCATACAATGTATCATGCAACCAACCCATTCCTAATCATCCACTCTGGGGGCTTTGGGGCTTTCTTGCCTATGTGCACAGGAGACATGCACACTAATATTTATGGCAAAAACTGGAATCGGCCACATGTACATCAATAGGAAACTGGTGAAATTGTGGTAAAACGATATGTAAGCCTTCAGCCGTAAAAATGAATGAATGACAGCCTCCCACACCACAGATAACTCCTACACATAATGTGTATCATGGGAAAATACATGCAGTAGGAATTTGCTGTACAGGAAGCTTAAAAACCAGCAAAACTAACTGAGGTTTGTTTTGGGGAGATATAGATATACTTATTGCACAAATCTTTGAAGGAATACAAAGGAATACGTATCAGAAGACTCAGGATGGAGTCTCCTGCCGAGACCAGCTCGGTCAGGAAGACCCTAACCCAGTGGTGCTAGAGGACTTAAAGACACACACACAGAAATATAGAGGTGTGAAGTGGGAAATCGGGGGTCTCACAGTCTTCAGAGCTGAGAGCCCCAAACAGATATTTACCCACATATTTATTAACAGCAAACCGGTCATTAGTGTTGTTTCTATAGGTATTAAATTAACTAAAAGTATCCCTTATAGGAAGCAAAGGGATGGGCCGAATTAAAGGAATAGGTTGGGCTAGTTAACTGCAGCAGGAACACACCCTTAAGACACAGATCGCTCATGCTATTGTTTGTGGCTTAAGAATGCCTTTAAGCGGTTTTCCGCCCTGGGCAGGCCAGGTGTTCCTTTCCCTCATTCTTGTAAACCCGCAACCTTCCAGCTTGGACATTAGGGCCATTATGAACATGTTACGGTGCTGCAGAGATTTTGTTTATGGCCAGTCTTGGGGCCAGTTTATGGCCAGATTTTGGGGGACTTGCTCCCAACGGTCTCCTTCTATGGGGTGACTGGGTAGCAGCCCAGGGTAGCTTTACAGGTTTGTGTTTTACACCAGTGCTGGGCACCCTGGTAGATACTTGATTATAATTCCTTAAACAGAGTTTTCCAAATTAAAATATACCTGTTTTTTATAGAAATGAAAAAGAAAAGAATTTCAAAGTTCATTGCAAAGATTCTTAACAAGAACTACTTACATTGGAAGAAAACCACAGAGAATTGTAAGGAGCCATGTGACAGAGAGGACCAGGATGCCATGAAAATGGCATTGGCTACAAATAGGTCATTTGATCCTTGGCTCCCTGGCATCTCTCTAGATTTTCAATGATACAATGTTCAATCTGCTGTGCAAGATAATTTCATCTTCCAAAGATTTGATGTTACATTTTACCACACATTAAACTGAAATAAACTTTTACAGATTGGAAATGCACATCATTGATCAAAATAAATGAAACATGAAAAGAGTAGGGAGGAATACCCAGTGATGGAATAGCAAATATGAATGGAAAACAGAATAGGACTGCTAAAAAGAAAAAAAAATTCAGAAGCATGTAATAGCAGCACTATTTAGAATCATAGTGGTGTCCAAATCACTTCTATCACATCTCATTCAATACCACAACAAAAGATGTTAAGTTTATTATAGAATGCCCGTCAAATAGCCAGTTTTTGAAAAAAACTTGTTTCTCAATTAGAACTAACCATTTCGGGCTACAGCATCAAGCCAAAATTATTGGCATCATGCTAATAATTTTTACTAAAGTAAAATAAAGTTTACTGAAGTATGAGATTCACATTTTTGTAAATGAAAAGCAATTTGATTAGGCATTTTTTTCTGCACAGCAAAAGAAACTATCATCAATCACAGTGAACAGACATCCTACAGAATGGGAGAAAAATTTTGCAGTCTATCCATCTGACAAAAGTCTAGTATTCAGAATCCACAAAGAACTTAAGCAAATTTACATGAAAAAAAAACTTCATTAAAAAGTAGACAAAGAACTTGAACAGACACTTCTAAAGAAGACATACATGTGGCCAACAAAAATATGAAAAAAAGCTCAACATCGCTGATCATTGGAGAAATGCAAATCAAAACCACAAATGAGATACCATCTCATGTCAGTCAGAATGGCAATTATTAAAAAGTCAAGAAACAACAGATGCTGGCGAGGTTGCAGAGAAATAGGAATGCTTTTACACTGTTGGTGGAAAAGTCAATCGGTTAATCCATTGTGGAAGACAGTGACAGTGTGGTGATTCCTCAGAGATTTAGAATCAGAAATACCATTTGATCCAGCAATCGCATTACAGGGTATATACCCAAAGGAATACAAATCATTCTATTATAAAGATACATGCATGTTTACATTCATGGCAGCACTATTCACAATAGCAAACACATGGAATCAACCCAAATGCCCATCAATGATGAACTGGATAAAGAAAATGTGGTACATATACACCATGGAATATTATGCAGCCATAAAAAGGAATGAGATCAAGTCCTTTGCAGGGATATGGATGAAGCTGGAAGCCATTATCCTCAGCAAACTCACACAGGAACGGAAAACCAAACACCACATGTTCTCATTTATAATTGGGAACTGAGTAATGAGAACACATGGACACAGGGAGAGGAACAACACACACTGGGGCCTATTGGGGCAGGGTGGTGGTGGGAGGATCATTAGCAAAAATAGCTAATGCATGCCAGGGTTAATACCTAGGTGATGAGTTGACAGGTGCAGCAAACCAACATGGCACATGTTTACCTATGTAACAAACCTGCACATCCTGCACGTGTACCCTGGAACTTAAAAAAAATTAAATTAAAAGACAAGCTTAAAGAAAAAGACAAGCTGAAAGAGTTAATGAAAAATAATTAGATAAAAGAAGTCTTTGATTTTCAAAAACCTGAAACAATAGTTATAATTTTGCTTTTAACATATATTCAAAACATTTGATACTGTTCCCTTCCAGAGGTGCATCTTAATTCCCTCTCCTGAGTGTGGCTTGGACTTAATGAGGCACTTCTGATATGGCCTGGTTCTGTGTTCCCACCCAAATCTCATCTTGAATTGTTATGCGAATTGTAATCGCTACCTATTGGGGGAGGGACCACATGGGAGGTGATTGGATAATGGGGGCGGTGCCCCCATGCTGTTCTCGTGATACTGAGGGAATTCTCATGAGATCTGATGGTTTTATAAGGGGCTTTTCCCTGCTTCATTCTGCACTTCTCTCTCCTGTCATCATGTGAAGAAGGATGTGTTTGCTTCCACTTCTGCCATGACTGTAAGTTTCCTGGGGCAGGCTCCTCAGCCATGCAGAACTGTGAGTCAATTAAACCTCTTTCCTTTATAAATTACCCAGTCTCAGGTATTTCTTCATAGCAGTGTGAGAATGGACTAATATAACTTCTAACTTATAGAATAATGCTGACATAATGGTTTGTAACTCTGGGTGTAGAACCTAAAACTCACTGCGGCTTCCACCTTCTCTCTGTCTCTGGGATCATGAGCTCTGGGGGAAGCCAGCTGCTGTGCCACAAGCAGCCCTGCAGGAAGGTCCATGTGGCTGAGAACTGAGGCCTTCCGGGACCAGACAACAAAGAACTAGGCCTTTTCCAACAGCCATGTGACTGATCCATGTTTCATGTGAATCCTCAGCCCCAGTGAAGCCCTCAGATGATGCAGCCCTTGGCTGACAATTGGACTGCAACCTTGTGAGAGGCCCCGAGCAAGAAGCACTCAGGGAAACCTCTCCTGGACTCCTGACCATTGGAAACTGTGGCAGATGAGGAATATTTGTTGTTTTAAGCTAAGTTTTACATAATTTGTTATGCAATAGTAAATAAATAACACATTTTCACAAGAGAGGATGTATTATTACACATTAAATTGCATTTGCTTTAAATGTATCATCGTCATCATTATTATTTTTGAGACATGGTCTCGCTCTGTCACCCAGGCTGGAGTGCAGTGGCATGATCACCATGCACTGCAGTGTCGACCTCCTGGGTTCAAGGGACCCACTGATCTCAGCCTCCTGAGTAGCTGGGACTACCATCATGAACTACTATGCCTGGCTAATTTTCTAATTTTTTGTATAGATGGGGGTTTTGCCCAGGCTGATCTTGAACTTCTGGAGTCAACAAATCTGCCTTCCTCTGCCTTCCACAGTGCTAGGATGGCAGGCGTGAGCCACCATACCTGGCGTAAATTAATTATAAGATATTAAACATGTAACTTAGTTTTAAAAGGTAAGGAGAATTTCCATGGCTGAAGAGGATGTATTTTATGACCATTCACAATGATCACTTTACTTGAACTTCAATTTCCAACTGTGTCCGAAGTAAACACAAAAGGAAGATCCAACCCTTGCTAGGCTGATTCTATTATGCCCTCAACAACCAGCTCCTGGTCATTCACCATCCTCCAGTTATTCAATCAACTCTAATGTAGGTGCTGCTGTGAAGGGAGTTAGTGGATATAATTAAGGGTCTCAATTAGTTGACTTTAGGCTGGGTTTATCCTGCTTGGACTGTCCTAATCAGGTGAGACCTTGAAAGGACTGGGTTCTTCCTGAGCATAGAGACTCACAGTGTGAGAGGGACTCAGCATGAGGGGTTTCCTCCAGCATGGGCTTTGAAAATGAAAGGGCTGTGGGCCGGGTGCGGTGCCTCACGCCTGTAATCCCAGCACTTTGGGAGGCTGAGGCGGGCGGATCATGAGGTCAGGAGATCGAGACCATCCTGGCTAACATGGTGAAACCCTGTCTCTACTAAGAATACAAAAAAAAAAAAAAAAAAATTAGCCAAGCGTAGTGGTGGGTGCCTGTAGTCCCAGCTGCTTGGGAGGCTGAGACAGGAGAATGGCGTGAACCTGGGAGCCATAGCTGGCAGTGAGCCGAGATCCGGCCACTGCACCCAAGCCTGGGCTACAGAGCAAGACTCCATCTCCAAAAAATAAATAAATAAAATAAAAAATGAAGGGGCTGTGTAGGAAAGAATGCTGGTGAGGACCAGGAATCGAGCACAGCCCTCCCTGTTCTCTACATTGACAGCCAGCAAGGAACAGGGACCTCAGTCTTACAACTGCCAGAAACTGCATTCTGCCACCTCTGTATAAGCCTGAAGGAGGATTCAAAATGAAAACACAGCTTTTGGAAGCCCAGAAGAGAGATTCCATCCACAATTTTGCCCAGATTTCTGATCAAGGAACTATAAGCAGATAAATGGGTGTTGTTTCGCCAGGCATGGTAGTGCACGAATGAATTGATGAATTGATATGCACACTAGTTACATAAAATAAAAATTTTCTGAACTTTTTCCGTGTTTTGCACTTTATAATTATCTGTAATGCAATTTAATACACTCATATTTCATTCATTCAGTCGACAAAAATTAATTTAGTCCCTACGATAAACCAGATATCCCCTCATATGCTCACGTGCCTGACACTCCAGAAGTTTCTCAAGACCGAGGTGGAGACACTGGAGTGTTTTAAGTGGAGAGATGACACACTCCGACTCCCAGGAGCAGGACCACTGTGAAAAGAACAGTCACGTAACAGGTCATGGGACAGTGCTAGTGTCACAACTCACAAGTGACAGTGTGGTGGGGACTAAGGGGACAGGAGGGCCTGAAGGATGAAAAGGACGGAGAGAAGGGCTGGAGAAGCAGGAGGTGAAGAAAAGGAGCAGAGGAAAGAATTCGAAAGCAGCAGAATTCTTAGGTTTAAATACATTGTTTTATGGATTTTAATACATCCATCTACAGAGCCTAGCAGGGTGTCCTTGGCAGTTGGCCTTTAATACCTCATGTGGGTCTGCCTAAAAACTAATTTTTTAATGTTAATCAGGTTTAAAAATTACTAAGTGTTCCTATAAAATATACACAACACTTAGCAGTGGATACTTCCTAAAAACAGGCAGTGCATGAGCACTAGTGAGGGGCATTGCGACTACATTGAACAGTTGCAACTTTGAGGTGAATAAAGCCTGTACTGACTCCTGGTTGCAACGTACCTGGTTGCAAAGTACACAGTGTGCTACTTTGTATTGAGGAGATATCCTGGACTCACACAGAAACTCAGAGCTATGGAATGATGGCAGATTTAAAATATGACAAGCGGGAGTCACAGGTACACTGCAAAAGTGAAACTTAGAAGCTTTGTGAGTCCTGTTGTAACGCTTTTGGGCACATTTATACATCATGGGGCCAAAGTCACATTTTTTACCGATTAGATTCCTGATCATTCAGGGGTTACCAAGGTTCTGCTATCCAATGTATTTAATAAACAAATAAATAAATAAACTGGTCTCTATTCTGTCTCATGCACTCAGGCACAACTTTTCCCAGTAAAAAAAAAAAAAAAAAAAGGAAAACAAAAAACAGTTTCTACACCTCCATTCCCAGAGCAAGCTCACTCTCTGTCACCAAACTCCGTGGGTGACTTTTCTTCTAGAAGAGTCCAGGTGGACAGGGAGTCCAGTTCAGGGACGGAGATTCCTGGATGAAAAGTGAAGGGAGAGGGACAGGGCCCATGCCGAGGGTTTCTTCCTGGTTTCTCAGACAGCTCCTGGGCCAAGACTCAGGGAAACACTGAGACAGAGCGCTTGGCACAGGAGGAGCGGGGTCAGGGCGAAGTCCCAGGGCCCCAGGCGTGGCTCTCAGGGTCTCAGGCCCCGAAGGCGGTGTATGGATTGGGGAGGCCCCGCCTTGGGGATTCGCCACCTCCGCAGTTTCTCTTCTTCTCACAACCTGCGACGGGTCCTTTTTCCTGGATACTCAGGAAGCGGGCACAGTTCTCATTCCCACTAGGTGTCGGGTTTCTAGAGAAGCCAATCGGTGCCGCCGCGGTCCCGGTTCTAAAGTCCCCACGCACCCACCGGGACTCAGATTCTCCCCAGACGCCGAGGATGGTGCTCATGGCGCCCCGAACCCTCCTCCTGCTGCTCTCAGGGGCCCTGGCCCTGACCCAGACCTGGGCGCGTGAGTGCAGGGTCTGCAGGGAAATGGTCGGGAGGAGCGAGGGGCCCGCCCGGCGGGGGCGCAGGACCCAGGGAGCCGCGCAGGGAGGAGGGTCGGGCGGGTCTCAGCTCCTCCTCGCTCCCAGGCTCCCACTCCATGAGGTATTTCTACACCACCATGTCCCGGCCCGGCCGCGGGGAGCCCCGCTTCATCTCCGTCGGCTACGTGGACGATACGCAGTTCGTGCGGTTCGACAGCGACGCCGCGAGCCAGAGGATGGAGCCGCGGGCGCCGTGGATGGAGCGGGAGGGGCCGGAGTATTGGGACCGGAACACACAGATCTGCAAGGCCCAGGCACAGACTGAACGAGAGAACCTGCGGATCGCGCTCCTCTACTACAACCAGAGCGAGGGCGGTGAGTGACCCCGGCCCGGGACGCAGGTCACGACCCCTCCCCATCCCCCACGGAGGGCCGGGTCGCCTCGAGTCTCTGGGTCCGAGATCCTCCCCGAAACCGCGGGACCCCGAGACCCTTGACCTGGGAGAGGCCCAGGCGCCTTTACCCGTTTCATTTTCAGTTTAGGCCAAAATCCCCGCGGGTTGGTCGGGGCAGGGCGGGGCTCGGGGGACCGGGCTGACCGCGGGGGCGGGGCCAGGTTCTCACACCATGCAGGTGATGTATGGCTGCGACGTGGGGCCCGACGGGCGCTTCCTCCGCGGGTATGAACAGCACGCCTACGACGGCAAGGATTACATCGCTCTGAACGAGGACCTGCGCTCCTGGACCGCGGCGGACATGGCAGCTCAGATCACCAAGCGCAAGTGGGAGGCGGCCCGTCGGGCGGAGCAGCTGAGAGCCTACCTGGAGGGCGAGTTCGTGGAGTGGCTCCGCAGATACCTGGAGAACGGGAAGGAGACGCTGCAGCGCGCGGGTACCAGGGGCCACAGGGCGCCTCCCGGATCGCCTGTAGATCTCCGGGGCTGGCCTCCCACAAGAAAGGGAGACAAATGGGACCAACACTATAATATCGCCCTCCCTCTGGTCCTGAGGGAGAAGAATCCTCCTGGGTTTCCAGAGAGTGACTCTGAGGGTCCGCCGTGCTCTTTGACACAATTAAGGGATGAAATCTCTGAGGAAATGAAGGGAAGACAATCCCTGGAATACTGATGAGTGGTTCCCTTTGACACTGGCAGCAGCCTTGGGCCCCGTGACTTTTCCTCTCAGGCCTTGTTCTCTGCTTCACACTCAATGTGCCTGGGGGTCTGAGTCCAGCTCTTCTGAGTCCCTCAGCCTCCACTCAGGTCAGGACCAGAAGTCGCTGTTCCCTCCTCAGGGACTAGAATTTTCCACGGAATAGGAGATTATCCCAGGTGCCTGTGTCCAGGCTGTTGTCTGGGTTCTGTGCTCCCTTCCCCACCCCAGGCGTCCTGTCCATTCTCAAGATGGCCACATGCGTGCTGGTGGAGTGTCCCATGACAGATGCAAAATGCCTGAATTTTCTGACTCTTCCTGTCAGACCCCCCCAAGACACATATGACCCACCACCCCATCTCTGACCATGAGGCCACCCTGAGGTGCTGGGCCCTGGGCTTCTACCCTGCGGAGATCACACTGACCTGGCAGCGGGATGGGGAGGACCAGACCCACACACGGAGCTCGTGGAGACCAGGCCTGCAGGGGATGGAACCTTCCAGAAGTGGGCGGCTGTGGTGGTGCCTTCTGGAGAGGAGCAGAGATACACCTGCCATGTGCAGCATGAGGGTCTGCCAGAGCCCCTCACCCTGAGATGGGGTAAGGAGGGAGATGGGGGTGTCATGTCCCTTAGGGAAAGCCGGAGCCTCTCTGGAGAGCTTTAGCAGGGTCAGGGTCCCTCACCTTCCCCTCTTTTCCCAGAGCCATCTTCCCAGCCCACCATCCCCATCGTGGGCATCGTTGCTGGCCTGGTTCTACTTGTAGCTGTGGTCACTGGAGCTGTGGTCGCTGCTGTAATGTGGAGGAAGAAGAGCTCAGGTAAGGAAGGGGTGAGGAGTGTGGTCTGAGATTTCTTGTCTCACTGAGAGTTCCAAGCCCCAGGTAGAAGTGCCCTGCCTGGTTACTGGGAAGCACCATCCACACTCATGGGCCTACCCAGCCTGGGCCCTGTGTGCCAGCACTTACTCTTTTGTAAAGCACCTGTTACAATGAGGGACAGATTTATCACCTTGATGACTGTGGTGATGGGACCTGATCCCAGCAGTCACAAGTCACAGGGGAAGGTCCCCGAGGACAGACCTCAGAAGGGCGGTTGGTCCAGGACCCACATCTGCTTTCCTCATGTTTCCTGATCCCGCCCTGGGTCTGCAGTTGCACATTTCTGGAAACTTCTCTGGGGTCCAAGACTTGGAGGTTCCTCTAGGACCTTATGGCCCTGGCTTCTTTCTGGCATCTCACAGGACATTTTCTTCCCACAGATAGAAAAGGAGGGAGCTACTCTCAGGCTGCAAGTAAGTATGAAGGAGGCTGATCCCTGAAATCCTTTGGATATTGTGTTTGGGAGCCCATGGGGGAGCTCACCCACCCCACAATTCTTCCTCTAGCCACATCTACTGTGGGATCTGACCAGGTCCTGTTTTTATTCTACTCCAGGCGGCAACAGTGCCCAGGGCTCTGATGTGTCTCTCACGGCGTGAAAGGTGAGACCTTGGGGGGCCTGATGTGTGGGGGGTGTTGGGGGGGAACAGTGGACACAGCTGTGCTATGGGGTTCTTTGAATTTGATGTTTTGAGCATGCGATGGGCTGCCAAAGTGTCATCCATTACTGGGACAGATATGAATTTGTTCATGAATATTTTTTCTATAGTGTGAGACAGCTGCCTTGTGTGGGACTGAGAGGCAAGATTTGTTCACACCTTCCCTTTGTGACTTGAAGAACCCTGACTTTCTGCAAAGGCACCTGAATGTGTCTGTGTTCCTGTAGGCATAATGTGTGGAGGAGGGGAGACCAACCCACCCTCATGTCCACCATGACCCTCTTCCCCACGCTGATCTGTGTTCCCTCCCCAATCATCTTTCCTGTTCCAGAGAGGCGGGGCTGAGATGTCTCCATCTTTTTCTCAACTTTATGTGCACTGAGCTGTAACTTCTTACTTCCCTCTTAAAATTAGAATCTGAGTAAACATTTACTTTTTCAAATTCTTGCCATGAGAGGTTGATGACTTAATTAAAGGAGAAGATTCCTAAAATTTGAGAGACAAAATAAATGGAACACATGAGAACCTTCCAGAGTCCATGTGTTTCTTGTGCTGATTTGTTGCAGGGGAGGAGAATAGATGGGGCTGTGCCTAGTGGGTGCTCAGGCCAGTATGGACTTTATGTGGTCACTGCTCAGCTGGGTCATCTTTGCTCCTTCATTCTCCTTGGCCCTTCAGTAGAACCTTGTCCCACCACCACCTGTGATCACAGGGAGTTGGATGTCACCTAGGGTGGTCCCTGCATACAAATCTCATTGTGGTATCAAGAGACTAATTTTCAGACCTGTCCAGCTCTTGCCCTCCTCCCAGGGCTCTTTCCTGGATTGTAGTTTTCATCTTGTCTCCAATCTTTTTAAAGGAAGCAGATTCTGAAATTTGCAGAGAGGAGGGGTCCCATAGTTTCTCATCATAGTGAACTTTCTGTTGGAGCTCCTCTTCTGCTCTCCTACTCTTCTTCCTGCCCTGAGTTGTAGTAATCCTAGTGCTGGCTCCAATCCAAACTCATGGATTTACAAAGCAGAGTCTAATTTAGATTCATACGTGGTTGGAAAATTGTACCCATAAGCCTAGGGTTATCTTTCCTGAAGAGAAAAATATGGTTGTGTGCTGCAGTGTGCAGGAGGGTTGGTGTGGGAGGAGGTAGGGAGGGAGGGAGGACACACAAGCAGTCCTGGTGAGAAAAGCACTGGCGGCATCGATGTCCACATGAGATGATGTTGTTCTTTAGCTGCCACAAAACAGCATTTGCCCTGAGGCTACCTTAACAAAGATATTGGCTTTAGAATAGAGAAGTGCTCTACAGTGATCATTCATTCAACTGACATTTGTTGTCTGCTAGGGATATGACTGCTTTTGCGTTTAGAAAGCATCATTAAGGTGAAAACAGAAAAATTTCTGGTGTTGTGGTACATATGTTCTAGATGCTAGCTTGTCTAACCCGTAGCTCGCAGGCTGAATGTGGCCCAGGACAGTTTTGAATGTGAGGAGTTTTTGCTTTTCTGTGGCGGACCTGAGACCTGGAGTGAGTGCACCCACCTCCCTCAGGATCAGGAGTGAATGCTTTAGGAACCCTCCTTTGCAGTGACCTGCAAAAGATAGAGGGCACGGTTACTGTGAGAACCCAGAGTAGCAGCCAAAGGGGCTCAACCTTCATGGAGTTTTGGGAAAGGTTAGTAAAAGGTGGTGTCCCAGCGTCAGAACAGATGGGCAGCCAGCGAGGGCACTGCTTCATATCTATGATGGGAATGCAAGAATTGAGGAGCAGGAGACTGAGGGTGTTTGATCAAATACAAAGTCATGATCCCAGTCTCAATTCCTAGACTTCAGCCAAGCTTCAGATTCAGAATCTACAGTGGGGCTTAAGGAGGCCAGGAAATAAACCTGGACACATTATGGCCCACTGTGGGACCACTGGGTTCATAAACCCAGTCCTGGTTATCTCCCCATTCTCCACATGCATAATTGGCCTTGATGCACTGGCAAAGGGAGTCACCCCCACACTACATCCCTAGTCTGGAGAGTAAGGGCTATCATTGTGCTGAAGCCCAAAGGGAATCATCTAAAACTTCCCTCATCCCAGCCAAGCCAGAAGCAATATTGCGCCCCAGGTGGGACTTCAGGAGGGTACTGCAGGTATTGTAGGGGTGGCACTGCCATTAGAGAGCTGAAGGATGGGGGATGGTGTTGGGATTGCCTATTATCTCCATATAATTCAGCAGTCTGTCCCTGAAGAAGCCTGATAAAGAATGAATGGAATTACTCCAGACTTGACCAAGTAGGAGTCCTGATTGCAGCTGCCATGCTGGCTGGATATCACTGCTTGGGGAGATTAATAAGGCCTCAGGCACATGGCAAACAGCCATGCATTTGGTGAGTGCATTCTTTCCCATTCCATTTAGAAAATGGATATGGAATGATTCACATTCACATGGGATTTATAATACATTTATTGATAGCTTGCCTCAGGGCTACTTTAACTCCTCAACCTTCTATAAATATCACCTTAAGAGATCTGGACAAATCAGACATCTCACAGAATACTAAATCTCTTCATTTCATTGGCAATATCACATAGATTGGGATGGATGAGTAAGAGGAGGAAAGTACGCTGAATTCTTTGGCAAAACGTGTGCACTACAGAAGGTGAAGATTAACCTTACAGAGCTTCAAGAGTGGCCACTGCAGTGAAGTGTTATGGGTCCAGTGGTTAGGGGCATGCAGGGCTGTCCCCTCCAAAGTAAAAGACAAACTTGCATCTTGCATCCTCAACAGAAGGAAGGAAGCACACTATTTGGTGAGCTTCTCTGGGTCCTGGCAACACCACATTCCACATCTAAGTATATTGTTTGGCCCACTGTCTGGGTATAATATAGGAAGAGGTCAGCTTTGAGTGCGGACTAGACAGGAAAGGACACTGCAGCAGATCCAGGCGGTGGTGTACCAGGTCATCAACTCTCAGTCCCCTGGTGCTGGGGGTGACAGCGTGGGGAAAGATGCTAGATGGAGCTGAACCAAGCAGCTGAGATCAAGTGAGCTGAGATCCCGCCCCTACACTCCAGCCTGAGCAACAAGAGTGAAACTCCATCTCAAAAAGAAAAAAAAATTAAAAGGATAAGCACCCTCCCACATCAGAGATAACTCCCCAACACATAATATACATGCGGTGTGAGTTCTCTGTATGGGGAAGTTAAAAAAATACAGGTCAAACTGTGATTTGGGTATTATTGCAAAAATCTTCAGTGACAATGCCAAGGAATAGCAAATACAAGACTCAAGACATAGGTTCCTTTTAGGGGATAGGATTGGACAACAGCCTAGGGTGGCTTCATAGGTTCTGTTTCTTATGCCAGGAGGGGATATCCAGGTAGTTAGTTACTTGATCATAAAACTTTATTTATTTATTTATTTATTTATATATTTTGAGTCTCGCTCTTGTTGCCCAGGCTGGAGTACAGTGGCATGATCTCAGTTCACTGCAACCTCCGCCTCCCAGGTTCAAGGGATTCTCCTGCCTCAGCCTCCTGAGCAGCTGGGATTGCAGGCAAATGCCACCACTCCCAGCTAATTTTTGTATTTTTAGTAGAGACGGGCTTCACCATGTTGACCAGGTTGGTCTGGAACTCCTGACCTCAGGTGATCCACCCACTTCAGCCTACCAAATTGCTGAGATTACAGGCATGAGCCACCACTCCTGGCCCACAAATCTTTAAAGTGGTATTTTTCAAAATGCACCTTGTGTGCCATTCCTGATTGATTATTTGGAAATGAAAGAGAAAAGAAAATGCCAAAGTTCATCACAAGCATCCTTTGCGATAACTACTCGTAGTAAAACAAAGCCGCAGCTGGCCGGGCACGGTGGCTCACTTCTGTGATCCTAGCACTTTGGGAAGTCGAGGCCTGTGGATCACGAGATCAGGAGTTCGAGACCAGCCTGACCAACATGGTGAAACCTCGTCTTTACTAAAAATACAAAAATTAGCTGGGCGTGTTGGTGCGTGTCTGTAATCCAAGCTACTCAGAAGGCTGATGCAGGAGAATCGCTTGAACCTGGAAGGCAGAAGTTGCAGTGAGCTGAGATCCTGCCATCGCACTCCAGCCTGGGTGACAGAGCCATACTCCATCTCAAAACAAACAAACAAACAACCACAAAAAACAAGCCACAGCCAATTTTAAGGAGCCATGTGAGAGGACCAGGATGCCATGAAAAACAGCCTTGGCTACAAATAGGTCATTTGATCCTTGGCTAGTTGGCAACTCTCTACATTTTCTGATACACAGTGTTCAATCTGATAGGTAAGGCAATAGTATCTTGCAAAGAATTTGAGAATTTGATATGTTGCTCACATTTTACCACACATACAAGTGAATTAAACTTTTACAGAATAGAAAAAAAGCATTGTTGAGCAAAATAAATTAAATGAAAAGACATAAATGAATAACTAGTGATGAAATAGCAATAAGAATGGAAAACACGAAAGAGCTGCTTTTAAAGCAACATTAGAAGCACAAAATAACAGTGTTTTTCAGAATCATACTGGAGTCCAAATCACTTCTACCACATCTAATTAAAAACCACAGTGAAAGATGTTAAACTGATCACAGGATGCCCACTGAATAGCCAGTTACTGAAAAATCTTGTTCCTAGATTGAATTTAACCATTTCCACCTACCACATCAAACCAAATCATTGTCATGATGCTAAGCCAGTTGTACAGACAAAGATGTGAGACTCACATTTTTCTAATTGCAAAGCACCCTGATTAGGCAAATATTTTTGTAGATGCTTGAGTCAGAAAATTGTCATTTTGGGCATTCTTTTTTTTTTTTTTTTTTTTTGCCTTCAAGCATCTGTTTAACAAAGCACATCTTGCACCGCCCTTAATCCATTTAACCCTGAGTGGACACAGCACATGTTTCAGAGAGCAGGGGGTTGCGGGTAAGGTTATAGATTAACAGCATCCCAAGGCAGAAGAATTTTTCTTAGTACAGAACAAAATGGAGTCTCCTATGTCTGCTTCTTTCTACACAGACACAGCAACAATCTGATTTCTCTGTCTTTTCCCCACATTTCCCCCCTTTCTATTCGACAAAACCGCCATCGTCATCATGGCCCCTTCTCAATGAGCTGTTGGGTACACCTCCCAGACGGGGTGGCGGCCAGGCAGAGGGGCTCCTCACTTCCCAGACGGGGTGGCCGGGCAGAGGCGCCCCCCACCTCCTGGACGAGGTGGCTGGCCGGGCGGGGGCTGCCCCCCACCTCCCTCCTGGACGGGGCGGCTGCCGGGCAGAGACGCTCCTCACTTCCCAGACGGGGTGGCTGCTGGGCGGAGGGGCTCCTCACCTCTCAGACAGGGCGGCCGGGGAGAGACGCTCCTTACCTCCCAGACGGGGTGGCTGCTGGGCGGAGGGGCTCCTCACATCCCAGACAGGGCGGCGGGGCAGAGGTGCTCCCCACATCTCAGATGATGGGCGGCCGGGCAGAGACGCTCCTCACTTCCTAGACCGGATGGCGGCCGGGCAGAGGCTGCGATCTTGGCACTTTGGGAGGCCAAGGCAGGCAGCTGGGAGGCAGAGGTTGTAGCGAGCCGAGATCACGCCACTGCACTCCAGCCTGGGCAACATTGAGCACTGAGTGAGAGAGACTCCGTCTGCAATCCCGGCACCTCAGGAGGCCAAGGCTGGCAGATCACTCCCAGTTAGGAGCTGGAGACCAGCCTGGCCAACACAGTGAAACCCCGTCTCCACCAAAAAAATACGAAAACCAGTCAGGCATGGTGGTGCGCGCCTGCAATCCCAGGCACTCTGCAGACTCTAAATTATTCAATGCCTCAGACACTAACTTTCCAAGGAATAGGAGATTATCCCAGGTGCCTGTGGCCAGGAGGTGTCTGGGTTCTGTGCTCCCTTCCCCACCCAGATGTCCTATCCATTCTCAGGATGGTCACATGGGTGCTGCTGGAGTGTCCCATGAGGAATGCAAAGTGCCTCAATTTTCTTACTCTTCCCTTCAGAATCCCAGAATACATGTGTGATCCACTACCCCATCTCGGACCATGAGGCCGCCCTGAGGTGCTGGGTCCCGGGCTTCTACCATGTGGAAATCACAGTGACCCAACTGTGGGATGGGGAGGACCAAATTTAGGACGCAGAGCTTGTGGGGACCAGACCTGCAGGGTATAGAACCTTCCAGAAGTGGGCAGCTGTGATGCTGTCTTCTAGAGACAAGTAGAGATACACATGCCATGTGCAGCAGGAGGCACTGCCAGAGCTCCTCACACTGAGATGGGCTAAGGAGATGAATGAGGGGCCATGTCTCTTCTCAGGGAAAGCAGGAGCCCTTCTGGAGGCCTTCAGCAGGGTCAGGGCTGAGGCCTGGGGGTCAGGACCCCTCACGTTCCCCTCCTTTCTTAGGGCCATCTTCCCAGCCCACATTCCTCATCATGGGCATCGTTACCGTCCTGGTTGTTCTAGGTGCTGTGGTCACTGCTGTGATGTGGAAGAATAAGACCCCAGGTAGGAAAGGGGTGAGTTCCAAGATTTCTTCTTCCATTCGTGGATTTCAAGCTCCAGATGGAAGTTGGCTCATTTCCTGCCTAGTTGTGAGACACCATCTCCACACACATTTACCCTGTTCAGATGCCCTGTCAACTCTCACTCTTTTGTAAAGCACCTGTGAAATTGAAGGACAAATTTATCACCTTGATTGTGATCATGGGAACCTGACTCCCAGCAGTCACAAGTCAGGAGAATGTTCCTGCTGAGGACAGATGTCAAAAGGACATTTGGTTCAGCTTCAACACATCCTCTTCCCTCGGGTTTTCTGATCCTGACCTGGGTCTGCAGTCACAGTTCTGGAAACTCCTCTAGGATCTCATGGCCCTGCCTCTTCCCTGGCCTCTCACAGTTTGTTTTCTTTCCTCATATGGAAAAGGAGTCAGCTATGCTCAGGCTTCAAGTAAGTGTGGTAGGGGTGGGAGAGTGATTCCTGAGATCCTTGGAATAGTGTAGACAGGAGCCCATGGGGGAGGTCACCACCCCACAATTCCTCCTTTAGTCACATCACCTGTGGGCTCTGACCAGACTTTGTTTTTGTTCCACCCCAAACAGGAACAGTACCCAGGGCTCTGATGTGTCTCTCAAGTCTTGTAAAAGTGACACCTTAGAGGGCCTGAAGTGAAGGAGGAGTTGGGGCAGATGGGACACAACTAGGCTCTAGAGAGTCTTTGATTTGGAATTTTTCAATGTGTGGTGGGCTGTTCAGTGTCACCACTTACCATGACTGACTTGAATTTGTTCACGACTATTTTCTTTCCAAGACTCCCTTGTGAGGGACTGAGATGCAAGATTTGTTCATGGCTCCACTTTGAGACTTCAAGGGCCTCTGTTTTCTCTTTCTGCCAAGGCATCTGAATGTGTCTATGTCCCTGGTAACATGTGAGAAGTGGAGAGACCAGCCCACCCTCATGTCCACCATGACCCCTGATATTGTTTGGATCTGTGTCCCCACCCAAATCTCATGCTCACTTGTAATCCCTAATGTTGGAGGTGGTGCTTGGTGGGACGTGATTGGCTCATGAGGATGGATGATTCATGAATGGTTTAGAATCATCTCTTTCATGCTGTTCTTGTGATAGTTCTTGGAGGCATTGTGCCACCTCCCTAGGGATCTGTGGAACTTTAAACTTGAGAGTGATGATTAAGGGTATCTGATGGAAGAAATTTCTCAGTAGCATAGAATTCAGGATTTGGTCTGGCTGCCTGTAATAGCCTATGTGCATATGTGTGAGCAAAGAAATGACCCGAAACTGGGACTGATATTTAAATGGGGAAATTTAATACCCAGGAAAATTCTTAGCGGAGCTGCAGCAACAGGACCCCTGCCAGGACTACTAAATGGTAGAGCCACTGGCTATGTGCAACCTCAGCCTGGAAAAGCCATAGGCATTCAATTTTCTCCCATGACAGCAGCTATATGGGTTATGTTCAGCAAAGCCATAAATGTGGAGCTGCAAATGGCATTAGGAGCCCAGCAGTTGCACCAGCCACTGTGCTCTGGATTCAAAATATAGAGTCAAAGGAGATTCTTTTAGACCTTTAAGTTTTAATGTCTGCCATGATGAGTTTCAATCTTATGAGGAAACTGCATTCATTTCTTTTGGCCCATTTATATACCTTTTGGAATGGAAATGTACAAGAAATGTCTCTTCCACTGTTTTATTAATATTTTAGATGCAAATAACATTTTTTAAAAAAATTTTACAGGCTCAAAGCTATAAGAATTTACCTTGCGTCTCAGATGAGACTCTAGAATTTTGAGTTGATGCTGGAACAACCTAACACATTTGGGACAATTGGGAGTAGATTATTATATTTTGCAATGTGAGAAGAACATGACCTTTGGCTGGCTAGGGAGGGGATGCAATGATATAAACATTTATCCCCTGATACCTCATGTTAAAATCTAACGCCCACTGTGGGACTTGGGGCCTAATGGCCACCATTTGGGTCATGGTGACCAATCTTTTATGAATCGAGAGATACTGCCCTCTCTCGGGAATGAATGAATTGTTGCTCTATTATTTTCCAAGAGAGCTAGTTGTTAAAAAGACCCTGGCAACTTCCTACTCTCTGTGTTCCTCTGTTACCATGTGATCTCTGCATATACCAGCTCCCCTTTGTCTTCTGCCATGAGTGGAAGCAGCCTGAGGCCCTCACTAAATGCGCAAACATTTCCAGACATCAGAATCTTGAGCCACATGAACCTCGTTTATATAAATTAGTCAGTCTCAGACATTTCTTTATAGCAACACAAAATGGAAAAAGATAACCCTCGCATCACAGGTATGTGTCTCTGGCAGCTAGCCACCGTTCTTAAGATATCCAGGATCCACTCAGCCAAGAGTCTTCTCATCAGTACTCTAAAGACACTCTTATCACTCAAGAGAGTCTAAGGTTTTTAGGAGAAACCAGGGACAAAGACTAAATGTTTTTGTGATAACTCAGATTGCCCACTTTTCTTTGACCACATATCTTTTACAGGAAAAAGGATTGTAACAGTAAAGAGGTATTGGCATATTATCAGAGTCTCATCCATTCATTCAAAATTAGGCCAGTTTATCATCCTCTTGTATGAATATGTCTCCCAGAATGAAATCACTCAGCTTTGCTGACAACACTCAATCTTACCAGGTTCCAAAAACAAGGATGGTCTCAGGGACATACAGCTTCACTCTTTTAGGCATCCCGTATAATTGACCTAAGTGACAATATCTTCTCTTGCTCACACCACCTTTGAGGAGTTAAGCTAATATTGAATTTTTCTCATTATATAACCCTTTGATTTATTCACTTACCCTCAGCCACTATTCCTCCCTCTGTCCTTTTATATCAGTTGTTTCCAGGTTTGGGAGTGACATTAGGTTTGTCTGCTGGGCTGGCCTAGACTGCAGGCAGCAATAGTATTCTAGCATGTCTTCCCTCAGTCTAGTCTTGATCATAGAGGGTAGGTTATATAGGTAAGGAACTAGTGGGGGCTATCAGACCACCAGGCTATATAACTCTACTTACTGTTAATCCTAACTTTTCAGATGAAATGAATACTTGAGAATTCTTACATAAAGGTGTAAAAATATAGTTATGGTTTTTCGCTTAGGGATAATTCCTGTTTCTGGCACTTTTATTTACATCCCTATTCCTGGTACTATGGCATAACATATGAAAAAATAAATTTGAGGTGAAGTGTAGTCTTTATTCCAGCATCCTCTCCCCTTCAGAAGAATTGTATGTATCGTCGTAACAGCATCGTCCTGATCCATCAGGTAAAAGAGAGGATGCTACCTAGTGGAGTTATTCTTGCAGCCCCACTCATGTTGACAGCGAGCACATTCATGAAGATATAAAAGCCAGTCCTTCATGTTTATATTGCCCAACAATTAGATTGGCAGTTTTTAGACAAACAATGTTTCAATTGACCATTTCAATTTTCTATCAAATTTTCCCCTGAGGAGGACATGTCCCTCTGCATTGTTGGCCGTTTGAGGCTGTAAAGTGTGTTTTCTTGTGTAAAGAAGTGTGACTCGGCAGTCCAAATTGGTGCAACCTCTTCTTTTCTGGTCCTTGTATAGCCCTTGAAGCATTGACATCTACCCCTGGTTGAGCATAGCCCAATCCAGAGTCAGTGATTTTCCTGTCAAGATCCATTGGCAGCTCCTTTGGGGTTGCTGGCATCATTCTGGCTTGCCAGGTATTATGATCAAAGCCTTCCCACTAGAGAATCTGTCACATCTCCATCTGCTGCCTCTGTCTGTTTTCTTGACCAACAGTGAAAAAAGAGATTATGAGAAATAAGATAAATTACCAAAATTGTGAACAAAAGAGATTATCACTAATGACCCTTAGGAAGTTAAAAAACATTATAAGTGAATACTCTGAAAAACCTGAAGCCAATAAGTTAGACCACTTAGATAAAAAGGACCAATTCGTGCAGAGATAGAAATTGCCAAAACTGACCCAAATTAACTGGAAAACCTGAAGAGAACTGTGAACTAAGTCAGAAATTGAAAAACCTTCTCAAAAAGAAATGCCAAAGCCCAGATATCTTCACTGGTGAATTCTATCAAATATTTTGAAAGCTCTTTCAGACAAGAAGAGAGGAGGGAAGACTTTCCAGCCCATTTACAGAACTGGCATCACCCTCATATCAAAGTCACAGCAAGACTCACAGGAAAAGAGTGCCATACACCAGTGTCACCAATAAACATAAATGAAAACATCCTTAACAAACATTGGCAGATAATACAAAGCCACATAAAAAAGGATTACACTCCATGACCAATGGGATTCATCCCAGGAACATATGGTTGGATTAACATTTGAAAATCAATTCATGGAATGCACTGTATTAATGGAAAAAAAGACATAATTATCTCAAAAGATGCAGAAGAAACAGTTGACAAAAATGTTAACATCACTCATGTTCATAAGTTTCAACAAAATAGGAATGGAGGAGACCTTCTTCACTCTGATAAAGCGCATCTATAAAAAACCCACAGCTAAAATCAAACTTAATGAAGAAAGACTGAAGACTGAATGCTTTTCTCCTAAGATGGGGATCAATGCAAGGATGTCCAATCCCACCACTTTTATTTAATATTATACTGGAGATTGTAGCCAGTGCAATAAGGCAGAAAATTAAAAATTAAAGGCATCCAGATAAAAAGGAAAACATACAATTCTATTCACAGATAACATGACCCTGTCTGTAGAATTCACAAGCAGATAAAAACTGGCTAGCACTAATAAATGAATCCAGAAGGGCCCATAGGATATCAAATCAATATAAAAATTAATTATTAACATATTTCTCTATAGAAGCAATGAAAATCTCAACTTTCCTATCACAGTAGTTACCAGAAGAGCGAAATAGGAATAAATTTAGGAAGACAGCAGTGTTTGTTCACTGAAAATAAAAAAACATTCCTCAGAGAAATTAAAGGTCTAAATAAATGGAGAGATGCGAGTTGGAAAGCTTGATAATACTGTTAAGATGGCAATTCTCCCCCAGTAGATCTATAGGTTCAACACAATCCCTATCAAAATCCCAGCAGGGATTTTATAGAAAATTGACAAAATAGGCCGGGCGCGGTGGCTCATGCCGGTAATCCCAGCACTTTGGGAGGCTGAGGCAGGCGGATCATGAGGTCAGGAGATCCAGACCATCCTGGCTAACACGGTGAAACCCCATCTCTACTAAAAATACAAAAAACTAGCCGGGCGTGGTGGCGGGCTCCTCGGGAGGCTGAGGCAGAAAAATGGCATGAACCCGGTAGGCGGAGGTTGCAGTGAGCGGAGATCATGCCACTGCACTCCAGCCTGGGTGACAGAGCGAGACTCCGTCTCAAAAAAAAAAAAAAAAAAGAAAAGAAAATTGACAAAATAATCCTAAAAATGTATATTAAAATGCAGAGGATGCAGAAGGGCCAACACAAATTTGAAAAAAAAATGGAATGTCATATGAAACTACAATAATCCAGACAGTGTGAAACTGAGAGACATAGAGATCAATGAACAGAAGTGAGAATCTAGAAAGATATTCTTACTTTCTTTGTCAATTGATTTTCAATGAAGTTGCATAGGTAACACAATGTTACATTTAACACCATATAAAATATCAGCTCAAACAAATTAGAGACCTAAACAGCTAAAATTTATGAGTTAAAACTATAAAATTTCTAAAAGAAAACACAGGAGAAAATTTTTATTACTTTGGGTAGTTAGGCAAAAGATTCTTAGATAAAATACCAAAAGCATGATCTACAAATAAAAAAAAAAGAGAGAGAGAAATTGGGCTTAGTTAAAATTTAAAACTTGAGTGCTCCAAAAGACATTGAGAGAATGAGAAGACAAGCCATAGACAGGGAGAAAATATTTCACAATTTATCACAAATTACATTTGTGTTGAAGAACATGTTTCCAGAATAATGTGGCAAGTTCTTAAACTCAATGTGTAAGAAGATGAGCAACTCAACTGAAAATGAGCAAAACACACAAATATGCTCAACTGACATTTACAAAAGCACAAACACAATTCAATGAAGGAAGGAAAGCTTTCCCAACAAATGGTGCTGGAGCAACTGGACAACCACAGTGGAAAAAAAATAGGCTGAGCCCAAACCTCACGCTTTATACAAAAAAAAAAAAAACTCAAAATGAATCACAGGCTTTAATGTAAAACACACAGTTAAAATTACAAACATTGAGCCAGGTGTGGTGTCACAGGCCTGTACTCTCACCTACTCAGGAGACTGAGGTGGGAGGATCCCTTGAGCCCAGGAGTTCAAGGCCAGCCTAGGCAAGATTTTTTTTTAAATAAATAACAAATACATTAAAAAATTAAAATTACAAATCTTTTAACAAAAAGCCATCAGAACTAAGACTAGACAAAGAGTTCTTACACATAACACCAAAAGTATGATCTGTAAAAGAAAAAGTTACTAAACTGGATCTTATCAAAATTAAAACTGTTGCTCTGTGAGAGACCTATGAAGAACATAAAAAGACAAGCTACAGAATGAGAGAAGATATTTGCAAACCACATATTCAATAAAGACTTGCATTCACAATATATGAAGAAATGTAAAAACTCAACAGTAAAAATGAAATCCAAATAAACAATAGGCAATGAGCAAGACATGAACAGACGTTTCACTGAAGAGGATAAACACCAGGCTAACAAGCAGATGAAAAGACACTCAACATCACTATCCAGTAGGAAAATACAAATTAAAACTGCAGTGATGAGAATGGCTGAAATACAAAATAAAGGTAGCAACAGATGCTGGCAAGGTTACAGAGAAACTGGATCATTCATATTGCTGGTAGGAATGGATTTTAAAATGGTACAGCCACTCTGGAAATGGATATTGCAGTTTTCTTCAAACTGAACATGCAATTTACCATATGACTAGAAATTGCCCTCCTAGGCACTTATTTCAAACAAGGGAAAACTTTATGTTCATGAAAAACCTGTATACAAATACTCTTGCAGCTTTATTCATAATACTCCTGGAAGTAATTATTCATAATTACTTCCATAAACTGGAAATAATGCAATTGTCTTTCAGTGGGTGAAGGAGATCTGCTGGTTGAACTCATAACTGAGTCTACACAAGTGCCCTTTCTCAAGACTACTATCCTGCTTCTCTTTGCATATCTCCCATTTTCTCACAAAGAATATTAAAGACATGTACTCAAGGATCAAAATTTAATGAACATAAATATTTTACTGCTCCATCAAAGGCATTCTTAAATGGGACTGCAGTTTGGAGCCACTGCCTTGGTTCTGCTAAGGTGCTGGGTGTGCTACCGACCTTGGCATTTGCAGCATTAATGGAAAAGTCAACATAATGAAACAGGCAAATGGCATCTTGGTATTACTGTGAAAACAGGTTTCCCTCCAGGACTCTCTGAAGGCAGCTCAGGGGGCCACACTTTCAAAATGGCAGAGATCAATTATAGTTCCTAGTGAGACCCAACCCCTAGCCTATTCAGATTCAGCACTCTCTCTCGCTCTTTTTTTTCCCTCATTCTTCCAACTTATAATTGTATATATTTTCAAATGTGCAAAGAAGCTGAAAGAATAGTGCAGTAAAATTCAAGTTATCACTCTGATATATCTGATTAATATCTCTTTATATGCATGAAAGCAGCGTGTGGAATGATAGACAATAGAGACCCAGAAGGGTAAGAGTGGTTGGCAGTGGGTGTATCGTAGAGGAGTTTCTTGTTGGGGTCAATGTATCTGTCTCCAGTGGTGGATGCACTGAAGGCCCTGACTTTACCACAACTCAATATAGCAATGTAGCAAAACTGCACCTGTGCCCCATGAATATATACGAATTTAAAAATTTAAAAATAAAATAACATCTCTCTTTGTAGATACAGGTAGACATGTTTGCATAGCATGTGTGTGAATGTGTGTGTATGTGTGTGTAGAGAGGCAGCAGGAATGAAGAGATTAAGATTTTGTGACTGAGCCATTCTAAAGTAACAAACATAAAACACGCATGGATAAATGTCTATGTGACAACAAACCTGAATATAAACATGAAAGAACATGTCTATAAACATATCTCTGGCTAGATAACCTATGAAAGAATTCCCTACCCCAGCTCCCTTACTGGTTACCCTGCGAACACAGGCAGGCAGGGAACAGGACCTAACTAGGTTCCCTCATCCTCTTGCTTCCAGGCAGGTCCTGCATCCACTCCTGCTGCACAGAGGGCTCCCATCTCTGCCTTGGTCGGTTTCACAGGTGCTCCCCTAACTCTCTCTGCCACCACTGCCTTACCTGGGTGGAGCTGAGGCTGCCTTGACCAAGAACAGCACCACCCATCTGTGTGCCCCAAGACCAGGAAGTTAGGAGGAACCACGCAACAGAGTCAATAACTATCCCACCTCCCCAGTCAGTCTGAACTGATGGCGGGAGATGCTGATGCTTGCTTATCCTCATTCCCCGTTTATTTATTCTTCGTTAATTCAGTCCAAACTCCCCTCAGTCTGAACTGATGGCGGGAGATGCTGATGCTTGCTTATACTCATTCCCTGTTTATTTATTCTTCATTAATTCAATCCAAACTCCCCTCAGTCTGAACTGATGGTGGGAGATGCTGATGCTTGCTTATCCTCATTCCCCGTTTATTTATTCTTCATTAATTCAATCCAATCTCCCCAGCAGTCACTTCACCCAGGAAGCAGACTGACCTCTGCTCTTCATAATCAGGAAACCCCAAAGCACTCTCCATCACCTCCCTGATATCACCCTTCAGCTCTACATCATCACATGTGGGCTCTAACTCTGAAGGCAGGTGTCCTCCCACAGGGTCAACCCCTGAACATTGGCCCCAGATGTCTCCCCATCTCTTCCCAGCCCTTTCAGTACTGCTGTGAATCTGTCCCTCACTGAGAACTGGCGGGGCGATGTGGGGGAGGAGGGGAAATTTCTTGGTGCTGTGTCAAAGCATCAAGACAGACCTCTCCTTCTCTCCTGAACCTCACACTCTATCTCTTCCCAGACACTTGAAATAAAACGCAGACCAGAAATGTCTATTTAAGAGTCAACACAATTTCTTTTTCTAGACAAGTTTCTCTTATTCTCAGGGCTCAGCTATGACTGTGGGTGACCAAACAACTATTCACAAAGGACAGAACTCGCTTCAATGCCAGCTTATGAATCCACACCTTGCCACCTGCAGAGGTGGAAAAAGGCACCTAAATCCACGATCCAATAGTTCTTCCTGCCCTTAACTCCTCACACACATCTGGACACTTGGAGAGTGTGGAGGGCACCCAGGGTGCAGGGTGGCAGTGGAGGCCTTGGGAAAACTGGCCAGGAAACCAAGATATGCACCTCAGGTGACTAAATTTTTTTACTGTTCTGCACTTGCTGGAGAATGACCCCAAAAGATAAGATCAATTTGTTGACTACCAACTTATTTGGCTGAGCCATGGACATGGAGCAGATGAGCATTGCCTTTACCTATGACATGCATGAGGATTCTGAGACCTACCTGCAGCAGTTAAGCCCCACACCCAGAGGGACACCCACTCTCCCACCTCCTTACTTTCTGTATCTTTTCACACTTTACATCCTCATCCTTCCCTCTGAGAGTCTTCCCTCTTTGGGTCTTCTAGTCCTATCCTACCCTCTATCCCCTTCCAGGTGGCACAGGGCTTGACCATCACATTTGTGTCAGGTGACAATAATGCCAGGATCCTCAGTATGGGCAGCATCGCTTTGAGGTCAGTGATAGTGAGCTGCCTGATGAGACAGACATCTCCTCCACAGTGAGTGCTGATGTCATGAAGCCCTTTAGTTCTTCCTAGTTCCTTAATATGTTTGTCTTCAATCCTGTCATGGGCACCTGATGCATAATGGACACTTGGCTGCTTCATGCACCCTGGTCTTTGATGCCGTGTTGGGATGTTTTTCTGACCGTTATGTGGGGTATCTGTTTTCTTTCATCATATTACATCTCTTCCCCCACTCCCAAGTCTGTCCTCTGAACCCACACAGTACACCAGCATCTGCATGTGTGCCGTGTGCTCCTGCCTCACTTTTTCCTTTTCATGCCTTATTCTCACCATGCCACATTTTCCCCTTAGTTGAACAGACACAGTAGGGGACTAGCCCATTCTGGCATGTGACCGCGCTTCAGGAGGAGACTGCAGGTTGGGGGTGAAGGAGACTCTACTGACCCCACCCCTGACATCCTCTTCCCCCACCCCCTGGCTTCTGCCCTCTGCCTCAGCACCACTCCTGAACCCCCATTCCTGATTGTCAGAATTTTTAACATAACTAAAAATGAAACACAAGTGCATCTGCATTATGTGTGGGTGCTCTCTCCCTTTATTTTATTTGGGGTGAGGTTATTTTAGGGCATGGCCCAGGGTAAATTCCTGTAAGGCCTTGGTGCCCTGCTGTGAGGTCAAAGAGGGATGGGACTAAGACTGCAGAGCCCTGGCTCCCCCACTACCTGCCAATTGCCAGCCCTTTGTGGGGTCTCTTCTGCTTTCTCTGGCCTGGGAGATGCTGGGGTGTTTCTGATCCTGGGGCTCCTGGGGGTGGTGCACATTAGTTCCAGGCATGGAGGGTGCTGTGGGCACTGCTGGGAAGCTTGGGTGTCCCCTCCCAGGCTCTCTCCTCCCAGGCTCTCTCAGTGCCTCCTCATCTGTTTCTTTAGCTTTTGGATCTTGAGCACCAGGGCCTGGGCCCCCACCGACTCCTTCCCTTCCAGGAGGGCCTGGTCCAGCTCCAGCTGCTGTGCAAGCAAGTCCTCAGCTTGGGCCAGCTCAGCTGTGTGGGGGGCTCAGGGCCCTGGTCAGAGGGAGTGGAGGAGGGAGCATCAGCCAGGGTAGAGGGGTTGAGGCCCTTGGAACCTGTGTTGCAAGATCTCATGGTAAGTGAGGAATTCGACCTCGTTTTCTCTTTTTCCAGCCCATTAGCTTAAGTCCACCTGTAGTGAGAATCCCAGGGAGCAACCTGTCTTGGGCATAGGCCTCTGGAGGGCAGATACAGATCCCTGGCTCAGGGGCTATATCTGGATGCCTTGAATGAGGATATGGGGTCACCGGAAAGAGACAACCAGGTGTCTGTCCCCACTAATAAATGATTAACTGTTAGATGAGGGGGAATTCCTGTTCAAGGACTCTGGACTGTGCTGCTCTGGGCAGAGGGAGGGCTGGAGAGAGGGAGCCCTGAGGGCTGGGCTGGGGTGGGGGTGGAAGGAGCTGAGAGTTGGAAATAGGCAAAAAGCTGCAGAGGTGAGGGTAATGCAGGGTGGGATTGAGAGAATTTCCCCCGACTACTGTACTGATCCCTTCATCTCCTCCACCCGAGCACTTGGAGCCACATAGCGGGTGGCCTCATCTTCCCACTGTCCCAGAAGCTGTTCTGCCCTTCCATACTTGCCTTGGAGTTTTGGGAGCAGCATGTTTATGAGCCCTGGGGTGCCAGGGACCAGGAGGGCAGGAGGAGGTGAAGAAAACAGCACCGAGAGAGCCAGGGGAGTGGGAGGACTGTGGCAGGTGAGGCAAGGAGCTGTCTGAGCCGCTCAGCAGCCTTCAGGAGGCTCTCTCCAGGCCTGTCTTCACTCCAGTGCCTGGCCCTACCCAGGCCCCCACTCCCGCTCTGCTCTCAAGCTGGCCCCAGACAGGATCCCAAACAACTCCTGTTCCTAATGTGAAAAATGTTTCTGCCGCTTTAGGCAGAACTTGCTTTAGAGCACTGGCACAGCCTTCCGCAGGTCTTGTGTCTGATTCTCTTGGCACTGTGCCTTTTTTCACTTATTCTTCTGCAAGGAAGGAATTATATCACTGGTTGGGTGAGGCAACTGGCTCAGAGGGGTTCACTGAGCACTCACCCACTGGGCAAGTGTCTGTCGGGGCCAGCTATGGCCAAGATGTGTCCAAGGCTCTATAGCTAGCTGGTGGAAAGGCCTGGAGGGTTCATATTCAGGTCCACCTAACTTGAAAACTTATATTGACCTTACTTAAGTACTGATTCCCCCTTTATAATCCATGCCGCAAACTTCATTGTCTTATTTTAAGAAGTTGCCATAAGAGCCTTTAGCAACCACCCTCCTGATCAGCCAGCAGTCATCAACATTGAGGCAAGACCCTGCCCCAGCAAAAAGATTAAGATTAGCTGAAGCCTCAGATGATCCTTAGCATTTTTGAGCAATAGAGTAATTTTAAATTAAGGTATATACATAGTTCTTTTATACATAATGCTATCATACACTTAATAGGCTACAGTAGAGTGTGAATATAACTTTTCTATGCACTGGAAAAACAAAAATTTGTGTGACTTGTTTGTTGCCATGGTCTGAAACCAAATCTGCAGTGTCTCTGAGGTACGTCTGTAGTTTCCCTTTCCCTCTTCCTGCTGGCCCGGAATGACCTTGTTTCTTGCCCCTGTCTAGCCCTGCATGCTGCAGGGGTTTGCCTTCTCTGGTAGGTCTGGGAACTTTGCATCCTTGTAACCTTGGCTCCTGGCATATGACACTGGTACCAAGCTCTGTTGGACTAGTGAGCCTCCTCCCCACACACCTCCTGAACTAGAACCAAAGCTCTGTGCACGCACCGTGCATGTGTGAGCCAATGACAAGATGTTGTCTTCCTGCGAGTGTTCTGAAGGAGTGTTCTGTTGTGACTGGAGGACACAGCCGCAGGCCCCCCAGGCAGAGGTGGCTCAGAAGGGAGTGGATGGCCCCGGTTTTGATCATCTGGGGACAAGAAGGTCCTGAGATAAAAACCCATGTTTTGGAAAACAAAACTGCCCGAGACTGAAAAGTGGCTAACCAATTCGCTATCTGGGACATCACTGCACACTGGGAGGGAAGATGGCTTCTGCCATGGTGTAGGGTCCCGGACCTAGACAAAGAGGCTTTCCTATGGCTCAGTGCTTCTGAAGCACCTTTAAATGAGGCCAAAGACCTCATGTTCATGATTAGCTGACTAGTTCCCACTCAGTGGAAAAAAAAACCCAGAACTTTTGCAAAATTTTAGGAGAGAGGGATTTCCCTCTTGTCTCTTAGTGCTACGGTTATGCATGACTCATACTTGAATTGCAGTGTGTACACAGCTTAAGGACTTAACTATTAGAATACAAGAGGCCCAAACTACTGTTGTTATAGATATGTAAAACTATACGGTATAAGGTTAAACAACCCACAACTAATTAACAGTGAAGATAAATTAACTACATTGCAAATTTAAAACAAGATTAGCAGCCCTTTAGAAAAAAAACAAAACACATGGGAGGTTGCAAAGGCAATCTAAATGATACTCTAATAAAAATCCTTCATGAAAATGACATTTCAACCATCTGAGTTTCTGCTTTAAGTTATGAACTCCAAAATGGACTAACACCCAATAATTTACAGTAGGGAGGTCTAAGCCACCAAGAAAGGTGTCAGGGCAGACCTGAAACCTGGAATGAACACGCCCCCTCTCTCAGGGTAATGAGTAAATCCTCTAAGACCCGTTCTATCTCAGACAGACCATCCACTCATAAGGAGGTCAAAAGAAAGTTCCACACAGCACTGAGACCCAACTACCTCATTGTCCTCACCTCCATGGACAGAGCCCAGGTGAGAGCCACCCCTGCTCCTCCTCCCTCATCTCCCACAGCCTCAGCACCATTGTCTGCGCCGAGTCCACCAGGACTCAGCTCATCATGTCCTTTCCCTGTTTGTGTCAGTGACACTGGGTCCCCCACATACTCTGCACTCACATCCCCACAAGGCTCTGCACACCACTATTCTGTCTCCCCAACCTCCCAAACCACAGAAATCTTCCCAGTGCACCCCCTGGAATCTCAGTCAATGATCAACAAAACCTCCACACCCTCTCTCAGGATGTTCCTGCACCTCCCAGCTCCAGCAGCAACCTGGTCTCCCTGAGGACATGACCCCCTCTGAAGTCCTCCCACATAGGGGAGTTTCCACCATGGACTTGTACCCCTGGGTTCAGAGGTGAGGTGGGGACCTTGCTCCTCACTGTGGTTCTCAGAACTTTCTGCCTCCCTCCTCCCTAAAACCCCTAGGCTGTCATCAGATTAGACCCCCATTCCCCTCATTGTAGCCATTCCCTGTGGGCCCCTGGCCTTTCCTCTCAATCCTGACTCTTGTAGCTCTTGGTTCACTGTCACCCTCTCCAGCAGTCTCCTTGACTGTTGGTGACTTCAACATGTGGTGGGCTGAGTAATGGTCCCGAAAGAGGTCCAGTCTTAGTCCTTGGAACCTGTGAACAGGTTGCATTACATGGCAAAAGGGACTTTACTCATGTAATGACGATTAAGGACCTTAAAATAGGGAGATTCTCCTGGACAATCTGTGTGGCCCCATTCAAATCAAATGAGCCACTAAAAGCAGAGAACCTGCCCTGGCTGGAGTCAGATTCTGCAGAGGAGGAAGGCAGAGGAGACATAGAAGAGGGGAGGTCAGACGTTCCAAGCAGGAGGATTGGATGTGCCTTAGGCACCATGTGTGAGTAGCTGAAAGAAGATTCTAGGAGCTAAGCATGGCTCTTAACAAGGAAGTGGAAACCTCTGTTCTATGTGCAAGGAAGTGAATTCAGACAAGAACCTGAATGAGCTTGGAAATGGATTCTTCCCCAGAGTCTCCAGGAGGGAACACAGACCTGCCCATACCTTGATCTTAGCCCCATAAGACTGTGTGGACTTGCAACCTACAGGACTGTAACATGATAATTAGGTGCTGTTTAAAGCCACTTGGTTTGTGGTAATTCTTATGGCAGCAATAGACACCTATACAGCAGAGAAGATGCCCTTGCTCCCTGGACTCTCAGATCCTGGAACTCCTCTCCTCCATGACCTTCTCCTCTCTCTGCCTGAATCTCATGCCCCTGTCATCCCCTAGGCCTCATCATGCCCAAGAACCCCAGCCCTTCCATACTCTCAATTTCACACTTCCCACTCTCTGGCCATCTTTCCACTCATCCCATGCAAGGTGGCCACAGGCTCTGAGGACACAGACTCTATCATTTTATCATATGCTGTGAGGTAATATCAGTGACTACTCATTGCATATGTGCCTGCATTCCAGGCTTGAAGTCCACCCTTTAGCACATCAATTCCAACAATCCTTCGACCCCCACCCTGGGAATACCAATCCAGTGATTCCGCCATCTACTCACTGTCCCTCATCGTTGGTGTCTTCTCTAACTTCATGACCCAAACCACATGGGGAGCCCCCACCAGGGCCAGCAATCACCCTCTCCCTGCATGGCTCACCCTCAGCCTCCTCCTGGCCTGGGTGACCCTTACACACCTTCTCTCTGTGCTCACACATCCAACCCTCCTTCCCCATTCTTATCTCAGCTGACAACCTTGGTTCCTACCTCACTGAGAAAACTGAACACATTAGAAGACAGATTCCATCACCATCTGCTCATGCATTTGCAGCTGCAACACATGTCAGGTGTTTTACCATGTTGGGGACTGTTGTGGGTAAACCATTCTGCTCCCATCAGAGCCAGTCCCTCTTCTGGTGCCCAAAATGTCATCCCTTATCATCTACTTAAAGGTGTCAGTTCATCAATTAATACCTTTTTTTCTCTTTATCATCAACCTTTTTCCTCTCTCCCCACTGGATCATTGTGGCAGTCATGAGAATGCACATCCCAGCCCCTCAGCTAGAGTAAGCAGAATTGATAGTGGCCTCAACTTTTGAATCCTGAAACCTATTGCCACATTTGCTCTGAGACCACACCTGCCCCCTGTCTTTTCCTGCCAATGACTGAGGAAAGCAGGGCAGAAACTAAGGCAGGAACATTTCTTCTCTGAAGGCTGACTGAAGCTCTAGGGCTTCCTGCCACGCTTACTGAACTTCTGTTAGCCTGCACAGGGTCTAGGATGCTTCCAGCTGACCTTCCTGCACTGTTTACCTCACTGGGGCTCAGAGTTGCTTTGTGGTCTGATGACATTCCCAGCATTTTCCGTCTGTGTCCTGAATTTCTCTCATAACTATTTCCTCTAATAAATCCTTGCACATTGAATACTGTATTGGGGTCCGCTCCTCAGGGGACCCTAACTAACACAAGTAGTATGAAGGGTGATCCATGAAAACAGGCAAAAATGAGAATTTGAAAAAAGCTTGCCCACTGCCTGCCAGGCCAAGAGGATGCCACCAGGGTTGTGGGAGACACAGAAATTCCATAGCACAAGATGCAGCCGAGCTGCTATGGGTCTCACCAGTGCTGAGCTGAGAGGATGCCCTGGTTAGGGGAAGCTATGGCAGGTGGGGTGATAGAATGCCCTGCACAATAATGACGGGGTTAGGGGGAAACCTACAAAGACAGTGGAGTTGGCTGGTTACTGCTCAGCTGCAATGATGCCCTGTGAAAGTATCATGAGAATCTGCAGATTGTTAACAGCTGTCACTGGCTACATGTGACAGCCTCTGCAGTGTCTCATGCACAGGTCTTTATCTCTTGTAGCGAAAGGGCAGATACCGTGGAATGGTAGCTGAAGACATCACTATGAGGGCCACAGTGCTCCAGAGAGGTTTGCCACTCAGCCAAGGCAGGCCTGTTACAGGAAAGTCAGGACCCTGGTGGGGAAACCTGAGATTCTGCAAACAGGAACAGGGTTATCCGATGGGTGCCCTCCAGGATCCTCTGGGCATGCATAGGAGGCTCACCCTTCTCTAGTAATGGTTCCCACTTCCTATGCTGGAAGATGCTACAGAAGTCTCACCCCCATGATACAGCAGGAATCCCACTGAAGAGCTTTGCAGGAACTAGCTGGCACGTCCCCATAGGAGGCCGAGGAGCACTTCTGGGATTGGAATTTGAGGGTGTTTGATCAAGGAACCAGAATTTCAAGCTGGAAGAATAAAAATCCTTTGGCTTGGAGGCACTTTCTCAAGGCATGGGTTTATCAAACACCCCAGGACTTTGATAAGGGGGGGGCCAAACCCACCGCTGGGGTGAATCCATATAGACTAGAAAAAATGATGCCTAACTCTCAACAAGGTAGACGTGACTTAGTTGCCCTGGAACTTGCACAGGATGGAATAACAAGGCTGAGGGAAGTGGGCATGGTGAAGGCCCACCAGTACCATGCTCCACAAGACGGTCCAAAGGAAACACCTTCCACCAGAGCCTCAGAAACGTGATGGTGAGAGGGACCTGCATCATTAAGAAATGTCGGGGTGTTGTCCTCTGCAGGCTGGATGTGATGGTAGTAAAGATGACCCAGAGTTTCATTTATTAATATCCCTGGGGAGAGTGTGGCCCTGAAGAGACAAAGACCAAATGGTGGCAGTGACCTGAAAAAGCCAGAGGGCAGAGTTACTATGGCAAACTAAAAGGCGTAGCCAATAGGACTCAAGCTGCAGGGAATGTGGGGAAGGATAGTAGAGGGTGGTGTCCCAGGATTAGGACAGGAAGCCAACAAGGGCGCTGCTTGATATCTATGATAAGAAAGCAAGAATTGAGAAGCAGAAGGGTGAAGGTGTTTGACCCAATACAAAGTCATGATCCCATCCTCAATGCCTAGACCTCAGCCAAAGTTCAGATTCAGATCCCAGTGACAGAGGAGGAGTCCATATCCCTAGGAGGAATACCCTGCAACTCCGTGGAAGTAAATGCTGGCACAATTCCCTCAGTCCTTCAGCAAAGGAACCTATAGCCATTTACTCAGGAGATTGTACACTGGCGAAAGGAAAGATGCAGAACTGGTCAGATTATTGACACTGAGTGAGAGCTGACATTGATGCCCAGATGCCCACAGCACTATCATGTCTCCCATCACAGTGGGGCTTACGGAGGTCAGGGAGTAAACCTGGACACATTACGGCCCACAATGGAACTACTGGATCCATAGACCCAGCCCTGGTTATCTTCCAATTCCCTGAGTGCATAATTAACACTGATGCACTGTTAAGTGGAGTCACCCCCACACTGGGTCCCTAGTCTGTGGAGTCAGGACTCTCATTGTGCTGAAAGCCAAAGGGAAACCTCTGACGCTGCCCACATCCTGGCAAAAAAAAAAAAAAAAAAATCATAGTGTGTCCCAGGGTGTGTCTTGAGGAAGACACTGAAAGTAATGTGGGGGTCACACCACCATTAGAGAGCTGAAGGATGTGGGATGGTGTTGGGGTTGTCTATTGTCTCTACATAATCCAGCAACCTGTCCCTGAGGAACCCTGATGAGGACTAAAGAATGAATGAGATTACTCCAGGCCTGGCCAAGCAGGAATTATAATTGCAGCTTTTATGTTGTCTGGATATCACTGCAGAGCAGAATAATAAAGCCTTGGGCACACAGCGTGCAGCTATGGATTTGGTGAGTGCATTTCTTTCCACTCCAATTAGAAAGGGGATATGGAGCGATTCACATCCATGTGGGATCCACAACACATTTATTTATAGTTTTTTCTCAGGGCTATTGTAACTCCCCTGCCCTATATAGTATGGTCTAAAGACAATACTAGACATACTGGATATTCTATAGGATATTAAATCAGCTCATTTCACTGACAACTTCATGTTGACTGCGGTGAATGAGCAGCAGGTAGAAAGTGCACTGGAGTCATTGGCAAAACACACGCACTCCAGTATGTGAAGATAAACCTTACAGAGCTTCAAGAGTGGCCACTGAAGTGAAGTTTTATGGGTTAACAAGTGCCAAGTGTTTAGGGGAATGCAGGTGTGTTCCCTCCAAGGTAAAAGACAAACTGTTTCATCTTGCATCCTCACCAGAAGGAAGGAAGCACACTGCCTGATGAGCCTCTTTGAGTTCTGACAACACCACATTCCACATCTAGGTACGTGCTTTGGCAAACACTCTAGGTGACATAGGAGGAGGCCAGCTTCAAGTAGGGCCTACACAGGAAAGGACCCTGCAGCAGATCCAGGCCATGGTGCGAGCAGCCAGCGTCCCTCAGACCCCCTGGGGCTGGTGGTGCCAGTGGTGGGGAAAGATGCAGGATGGAGCTGAACCAAGCACCAGTGGAAGAGTCACAGTGAAGGGCCTGGGATTCTGGAGTAAGATCGTATCATCCACAGCAGAGACATATGCCCCCTGTTAGAAGCAACTTTTAGTGTTCCTTGTCCTGATTTGATAGAAAGCTTGACCACAGGACACCAGGCAACTATGTGGTTCCAAGTGCCTTTGTGACCCACAACATCATAAATTGCACAGGCCCAACAGCATTCATCATGAAGTGAAAATGGTCCACCTGGGTTGAGCTTGAATCCCACGTTTACACCCACAGAAAACACCCAAGTCTGAAGTGGCACTGAACAACCAAACAGACAAATGGAAGTTAGCCAGCCTTCACCATGGGTCAGCCCAGGCCTGGTAGGATGAGTGCATGAATGGAGCAACCACAGTGGCACGCATGAGGGCCAGCAGCACTGACTTCCCCCTACCAAGGCAGATCCAGCTGCTGCCACCTCTGAATGTCCAACTCATCAGCATTTTAGGCCCATGATGTGCCCTAGTGGGGCACTATTTCTTTAGGTGACTAGCCATTAACTAAGAAGTTGACTACATTTACCTACTTCCATCCTGGAAGGACCAGAGGTTCATCTTCACAGGGTTAGGTACCTATTCTAGGGGGGTTTTTCTGTCCTGCTCTCAGACATAGCCAGTACCACTCTCTGGGTGCTGTTGACATTCCTGGTCTGCAGGCTAGGTTGTGCTCCTAGCCCATTATCTGCCTGAAGGACCCACTTGGCAAGGGAAAGATTCAGTGTTTCCATGGCTGTTCCTTCCACTAACCCTATCACCAGCTACTCTCCCCAGGGGCTGCCAGCCACAAGGAATGCCCCATATGTAGCCTCACACCTGCCACTGTGGTTGTTCCATTCATGTGCCCATCCTATCATGCATGGGCTGACCCATAGTGAAGGCTGGCTAACTTCCATTTGTCTGTTTCGTTGTTTAATGACACTTCAGACTTGGCTGTTTTCTGTGGGTGTCAACATGGGATTCAAGCTCAACCCAGGTGGACCATTTTCACCTCATGATGAATGCTGTTTGGCCTGTGCAATCTATGACTTTCTGGGTCACACAGGCACTTGGAACCACATAGTTGCTTGGAGTCCCGTGATCTTCCACAGGCACAACTAAGTGCCAGCCTGGAGGAAACACTCTGAGGGTTGCATGCCATCTTTCAGGACATGGTGCGTTGTTTAAATCAGAGATGTGTCTACAGTTCTGTGTTCGCAAGAGGAAGAACATGTGGGTCCAGAAATCAAACGGTGGAAGCAAGTATGGCTCCATGTCTAATCTTTTAGATTCACGTAATGGGGTATTTGACATGTTTTATCTCAGAACACTGGGCTGTGCAGGGTACGAGGTCCTGGTTTGCAAAGGAGGGTACCCTTAAAAGCAGACAAAAGACAGCCCACTGAACTACACATTAAGTTTGTCACCAGAGAAGTGTGGACAGTATATGCCCAGAGACCACCTGGTGAGAAGAGAAGTCTCCTCTTCTCCAGGCCCAGGTAATAGATCCTCATCCCCAGGAGGAGGCATGGCTACTTTCACACAATAAAGGCAGAAGTGTGGAAACCAGAGATCCACCTGGGGGCCTTCTGTTTTCCCTCACCCCATTGCAAGTGTGAGTAGAATTATCCAGCAATTCAGCCTGAGAGGATTTGATTTCCAGACCCATCAGGGCAGAAGGTTTGAGTCACACTCCTGGGTAATCCTCCAAGGCCGTGCTCCTGTGCTCTGACATCCTCAGTGGCATTGGTGCTGAGGCCCTGCTTCCCATGGACTATTCCCAACCAGTGATGGGTCACACCAGTGACACTAAGGCAGGACATTCCTGGAAGACAGGGGACTCCTCTGATGGCCAGCTGTGGCTGGAGGACTCCTCCATGGCCTTGCTCAACTCTCCTTAGATTGCCTGTGGTCTAGGACATGTTAAGTAATCCTTCCTTCCTTCTTTCCATCACTGGGGGTCACACTTGCATCTTATTCTATTGCCTTTCCCAGGGTAACCTACCTCCCTCGCCATATCGTCTGACAGGTGTGTCCCCTAATAAAATGCTGTAACTTTAATCCCATGATGGTACTTGCTTTTTGGAGCATTTGGACTACAAAATCATTTTCGTCTGCACACCAGTGACCTCTTACTTATTCCAACGTGTAAAATCTTTTTGTTTATTCAACTTCTTCCACCTGCATTGGCTCCATTTTGCTGGTATTTGTATTATGTTTTTGAGTTCACCAATGTTTGTTGCTGTAAGTCACTAAATTTGGGGGTAGTTTTTTACACAGCAACAGATAACTAATGAAGCCTTCTTACATTTCCGTTATTCTATAGAGGTTAACTACGTCTATTTTATTTCCTCCTATTTTGATAATATTAGCCATACAGAGGGTTTCCAGTTCCCAACGCCTATTCTTTTCTTTATTTTAGTTTCTTTTCTCCTTTGTTCCTTCTTTTTCTCTTTCCTTCTGTCCCTCCCTCCCTCTTTATTTCCATTCAATCTCTCGCCCTCCCTCCTTCTCCCTTCCTCCTTTCCGTCCTTTTTCTTCCCCTCCCCCTTCCTTCTTTTCTTCTTTCACTCCTTCCTCAATTCCTCCTTCTTTCTCTCCCTTCCTCCATTTTTTCCTTTTTATTATGAAATTTTCCTAACATATTAAATAACCCCTACGTGATTGTGCTATCAGTAAGCATTTTCTGAATCTATATGTCAAAAGTATAATACCATGGTATATGAGAAACAAGTAAACAACAGGAAGTTATTAACAGAGTCTGAATAAAAATGCCTGCTATAATTCTGCAGCCAAGACAGTGGCTTTTAACTCAATTCCTTCAACTAGGTGTTTTCAGAACACATGAGTTTAAGTTGACACAATCACCTTGGAAATCATATTATCATTATCTAGTATGGTTAAAGTCCATACAACATATCGTCCAACCCTCCCACTCCTAACCATACACTCTAGCGGGCTTTCTTGCCTATGTGCCCAGGAGACAGGCACACTGATGTTTATGGCAAAAACTGGAATCAGCCACATATACATCAATAGGAAATATACATCAATAGGAAATTGTGGCATAAAATGTAAACCTTCAGCAGTGAAAATGAATGAATGACAGCCTCCCACACCACAGATAACTCCTGTACGTAATGTGCATCATGGGAAAATAAATGCAGTAGGAATTTGCTGTACAGGAAGCTTAAAAACCAGCAAAAGTAAATAATTTTTTTTCGGATATATATATGTACATATATATATATACTTATTGTGCAAATCTTTAAAGAAATACAAAGGAATAAGGATCACAAGACTCAGGATGGAGTCTGTCTCTGGGGGATGTGACTGGGCAGCAGCCCAGGGGAGCTTTACAGGTTTGTGTTTTACACCAGTGCTGGGCATCTTTTTAATTACATGATTGTAATTTGTTAAACAGAGTTTTCAAATTAAAATATACCTGGTATTTATAAAAATGAAAGAGAAAAGAATACCAAAGTTCATTGCAAGGATCCTTAACAAGAACTACTTACATTGAAAGAAAACCACAGAGAAATGTAAGCAGCCATGTGACAGAGAGGACCAGGATGTGATGAAAATGGCCTTGGTTAATAATAGGTCATTTGATCCTTAGCTCACTGGCATCTCTCTGGATTTTCAAGTATACAATGTTCAATCTGATGTGCAAGGTAATTCCTTCTTGCAAAGGATTTGGTGTTACATTTTACCACACATACAACTGAATTAAACTTTCACAGAATTGGAAATACACATCACTGATCAAAATAAATGAAACAAGAAAAGAATAGAAAGGAACAACCAGTGATGGAATAGCAAATATGAATGGAAAGCAAAATAAGACAGCTAAAAAAAAAAAAAAAGCTTCAGAAGCACATAATAGCAGTGCTATTTAGAACTGTAGTAGTGTCCAAATCACTTCTACCACATTTCATGCAATACCACACCCTAAAATGTTAAGTTTACAATAGAATGCCCCTGAGCCGTTTTTGGAAAAAATTTGATTCTCAATTCGAGTTAAGCATTTTGGGCTACTGCATCAAACCAAAGTTACTGGCATTATGCTAAGCTAGATGTGTTGACTGAAGTATGAGATTCCCATTTTTGTAAATGAGAAGCAATCTGATTATGCAATTTTTTCTAAGTAAAAGCAAGTTTATTAGAGAAGTAAAGAAACAAAAGAATGGCTACTCCATAGACAGAGCAGTGTGTGTGTATTTTTTTTTTAAGTGTAGGCAAATGTTTTCTGAAGATGATAAGTCAATAAGAAAATTGGCACTTGGGGCATACTTCCACTAAATTTGAGACATCTTAGACAAAACAAAGACTTATTTTCAAGGCATGATTCTTATGGCACTGAAGTCTTGGAACTATTTGATCTAGTTACTCTATGTTCTCAACTGTGTTAACTTATTGAAGAACATTGTTATTAAAGGTATTTACAAGAGAAACGCAGAGATACTGTTGTTTCTCCTTTCTCTGTCTCAAACTGTTTTCCCTGCAGCACCCAAGGCTCTGTCATGTCTCAAACATTTAATCATTAATTTAAAAAGAGAAGCTTATCACAGAATTAGAAAAAAAAATTTGAAAATTCATATGGATCCAAAAAAGAGGTTGTGTAGCCACGAGAATGCTAAGCAAAAAGAATAAAGCTGGAGGCATCAGGCTATCCTACTTAAAACTATACTATAAGGCTAAAGTAACCAAAACAGCATGGTACTGGTAGAAAAACAAGCATATAGACCAACAGAACAGAATAGAAAACTCAGAAATAAGACCTCACATCTACAACCATGTGATCTTCAACAAACCTGACAAAAACAAGCAATGGGGAAAGGAAACGCTATTTAATAAATGGTGCTGGGAAAACTGGCTAGCCATATGCAGAAAATTGAAACTGGACCCCTTCTTTACACCTTACACAAAAATTAACTCAAGATGGATTAAAGACTTAAATGTAAAACCCAAAACTAGAAAAACCCTGAAAGAAAATCTAGGCAATACCATTCAGGACATAGGCATGGGCAAAGATTTTATGATGAAATTGCCAAAAGCAACTGCCACAGAAGCAAAAATTGACAAATGGGATCTAATTAAACAAAAGAGCTTCTGCACAGGAAAAGAAACTATCATCAGAGCGAAAAGGAGACAACCTACAGAATGGGAGAAAATTTATGCAATCTATCGATCTGACAAAGGTCTAATATTCATAATCTAAAAAGAACTTAAGCAAATTTACATGAAAAAAACAACTTCATTAAGAAGTGGACAAAGCACATGAACAGACACTTCTCAAAAGAAGACATACAGGTGGCCAAAAAACATATTTTAAAAAGCTCAATATCACCGATCGTTAGAGAAATGCAAATCAAAACCACAATAAGATACCATCTCATGCCAGTCAGAATGGCAATTATTAAAAAGTTAAGAAACAACAGATTCTGGCGAGGTGTAAAGAAATAGGAATGCTTTTACACTGTTGGTGGAAATGTAAATTGGTTCAACCAATGAGGAAGGCAGTGTGGTGATTCCTCAAAGATTTAGAACCAGAAATACCATTTGACCCAGCAATCCCATTGCAGGGTATATACCCAAAGGAATATAAATCATTCTATTATAAAGATATGTGCATGTGTTTGTTCATTGCAGCACAATTCACAACAGCAAAGACATGGAATCAACCCAAATGCCCACCAATGAGGGACTAGATAAAGAAAATATGATACATATATGCCATGGAATATTATGCAGCCATAAAAAGGAATGAGGTCAAATCCTTTGCAGGGATATGGATGAAGCTGGAAGCCATTATCCTCAGCAAACTAACACAGGAACAGAAAACCAAACACCGCATGTTCTCACTTATAATTGTGAGCTGAACAATGAGAACACATGGACACAGGGAGAGGAACAACACACACTGGGGCCTGTTTGGGGAGGGCAGTGGTGGAGGGAGCATTAGGAAAAATGGCTAATGCATGCAGGGGTTAATACCTAGGTTATGGGTTGATTGGTGCAGCAAACTGCCGTGGAACCCGTTTACCTGTGTAACAAACCTGCACATCCTGCATATGTACCCTGGAACTTAACATTAAACTAAATTAAATTAAAGGACAAGATTAAAATGTTAAGGAAAAATAATTAGATTAAAAGCCTTTAACTTAAAAATCCTGAAATAATAGTTTGAATTTTGCTTTTAACATATATGCAAATCCTTTAATACTGCTCCCTTCCAGAGGTGCAGCTTAATTCCCTCTCTTGAGTGTGGCTTGGACTTAATGATGCACTTCTGATATGGCCTGGTTCTGTGTTCCCACCCAAATCTCATCTTCAATTGTCATGCGAATTGTAATCCCCAGTATTGAAGGAGGAACCTCATGGGAGGTGATTGGATCATGCTGTTCTAATGATAGTGAGTGAATTCTCATGAGATCTGATGGTTTTATAAGGGGCTTTTCCCCGCTTCGCTCTGCATTTCTCTCTCCTGCCACCATGTGAAGAAGGACGGGTTTTCTTCCACTTCTGCCATGATTGTAAGTTTCTTGGGGTGGCCTCCTCAGCCATGCAGAACTGGGAGTCAGTTAAACCTCTTTCCTTTATAAATTACCCAGTCTCAGGTATTTCTTTATAGCAGTGTGAGAACAGACTAATACAACTTCTGATAGAGCAATGCCGACATAACAGCTTGTGACTCTGGGTGTAGAACCTAAAACTCCCTGCAGCTTCCACCTTCTCTCTCTCTGTCTCTGGGATCATGAGCTCTGGGGAAAGTCAGCTGCTGTGCCATGAGCAGCCCTGCAGCAAGGTCCATCTGGCTAAGAACTGAGGCCTTCTGGGACCCAATTACAATGAACTAGGCCTTTTCCAACAGCCATGTGACTGATCCATGTTTCATGTGAATCCTCAGCCCCAGTGAAGCCCTCAGATGATGCAGGCCTAGACTGACAACTGGACTGCAACCTTGTGAGAGGCCCTTAGCAAGAAGCACTCAGGGAAACTTCTCCTGGATTCCTGACAACTGGAAACTGTGGGAGATGATCAATATTTGTTGTTTTGAAATGGTACATTTTACATAATTTGTTATGCAATAGTAAATAACTAATACATTTTCACAAGAGAGGATGTATTATTACATGTTAATTTGCATTTGTTCTAAATTTATCATCATCATTATTATTATTTTTGAGACAGGGTCTCACTCTGTCACCCAGGCTGGAGTGCAGTGGCATGATCACCATGCACTGCAGTGTAGACCTCCTGGGCTCAAGGGACCCTCTGACCTCAGCCTCTTGAGTAGCTGGGAGTACAATCATGAACCACTGTGCCTGGCTAATTTTCTAATTTTTTGTAGAGATGGGGGTTTCCCCATGTTGCCCAGGCTGATCTTGAACTTCTGGAGTCAACAAATCTGCCTTCCTCTGCCTTCCACAATGCTAGGATTGCAGGTGCGAGCCACCAAATCTGGCCTAAATTAATTAAAAGATATAAATATGTAACTTAGTTTTAAAAGGTAAGGAGAATTTCCATGGCTGAAAAGGATGTATTTTATTACCGTTCACAATGATTACTTTACTTGAACTTCAATTTGCAACTGTGTCCCAAGTGAACACAAAAAGAAGATCCAGCCCTTGCTAGGCTGATTCTATGATGGCCTCAACAACAAGCTCCTGGTCATTCACCTTCCCCCCATTATTCAACCAACTCTAATATAGGTGCTGCTGTGAAGGGATTTAGCAGATATAATTAAGGGCCTCAATTAGTTGACTTTAGGCTGGGTTTATGCTGCTTGGACTGTCCTAATCAGGTGAGTCCTTGAAAGGATTGGGTTCTTCCTGAGCATAGAGATTCACAGTGTGAGAGGGATTCAGCATGAGGGGTTTCCTCCACTGTGGGCTTTGAAAATGAAGGGGCTGTACAGGGAAGAACACTGGTGGGCACCAGGAATTGAGTACAGCCCTCCCTGTTCTCTACATTGACAGCCAGCAAGGAACGCGGACCTCAGTCTTAGAACTGCAAGAAACTGCATTCTGCCACCTCTGTATAAGCCTGAAGGAGGATTCAAAATGAAAACACAGCTTTGGGAAGCCCGGAACAGAGATTCCATCCACATCATGCCCAGATTTCTGACTAAGGTACTATAAACAGATAAATGGGTGTTGTTTGGCCAGGCGTGGTAATGCACACCTGCAATCCTAACATCTGAGGAGCTGACACAGGAGGATCACTTGCATCCAGGAATTTGAGACCAGCCAAGATCAAACAGTGAGACACTCATCTCTACAATTTCTTTTTAATTAGCTGGGCGTGGTGGCACTTGTCTGCAGTCCTATCTATTCTGAAGACTGAGGCAGGAAGATCCCTTAAGCCCAGGAGTTTGAGGCTGCAGTGAGCCATGATCATGTGACTGCACTTCACCCTGAATGACAGAGGGAGACTCTGTCTCTAAAAACAAATAAATCAACAATAATTGGGTGTTGTTTAAAGTCAATGTTTGTGATAATTTGTTATGCAATCTTATAAAATTCATACACAGGCTGAACAGACTCGGAATGAATTGATATGCACACTAGTTACACAAAATAAAATATTTCTTAATTTTTCAGTGTTTTACATTTTATAACTTTCTGTGATGCAATTTAATACATTCATATTTCATTCATTCAGTCAACAAAAATTTAGTGCCTAAGATGAACCAGGTATGCCCTCATATGCTCACGTGCCTGACATTCTAGAAGCTTCACAAGACCGAGGTGGAGCCACTGGAGTGTTTTAGGTGAGGAAATGACACACTCTGACTCACAGGAGCAGGACCACTGTGGAGAGAACAGTCACGTAGCAGGTAATGGGACAATGCTAGAGCCACAATTTAGAAGTGACAGGGTGGTGGGGACTAAGGGGAGAGGAGGGCCTGAGGGATGAAAGGGACAGAGGGAAGGGCTGGAGAAGCAGGAGGTGAGGAAAAGGAGCAGAGGGAAGGAATTGGAAAGCAGTAGAATTCTTAGGTTTAAACACATTGTTTTATAGATTTTTATTACATCCATCTACAGAGCCTCGCTCAGTGTTCTTTGCAGTTGGCCTTTAATACCTAATGTAGGACTGCCTAAAAACTAATGTTTTTTATGTTAATAAGGTTTAAAAAATACTTAGTGTTCCTTCTTTGCAGTTGGCCTTTAATACTATATTTGGGACTGCCTAGAAACTAATTTTTTTTAATTAATCAGGTTTTAAAAATACTAAGTGTTCCTATAAGATATACACACCACTTAGATGTGAATACTTCCTAAAAACAGGCAGCACATGAGCACTGCTGAGGGGCATTGTGACTGCATTGAACACTTGCAACTGTGAGGTGAATAAAGTCTGTACTGGCTCCCGGTTGCAACATATAGTAACGCAGTGTGCTACTTTATATTGAGGAGATGTCTTGGACTCACCCAGTAACTCAGGGCTGTGGAATGAAGGTAAATGTAAAAGACAAGCGGGAGTCACAGATACATTGTCTGCGAAAGTCAAACTTAGTAGCTTTGTGAGTCCTGTTGTAATGCTTTCAGACACATTTATATATCAAGGGGCCAAAGTTACATTTTTTACCGATTACATACCTGATCATTTAGGGGTTGCCAAGATTCTGCTACCCACTGTAGTTAATAAACAAAGAGAAAACTTGTCTCTATGCTGTCTCATGTACTCAGGCACAACTTTTCCGGATTTAAAGAAAAAAAAAACAAAAACCTGTCTCTACGCCTCCATTCCCAGGGCGAGCTCCCTCTCTGGCGGCGAGCTCCCTCTCTGTCACCAAGCTCCCTGGGGTGAGTTTTTTTCTAGAAGAGTTCAGGGAAATAGGTAAGGAGTGGGAGGCAGGGAGTCCAGTTCTGGGACGGGGATTCCGGGATGAAAAATGAAGAGGGACGGGGCCCATGACGAGGGTTTCTCCCTGGTTTCTCAGATAGCTCTTGGGCCAAGACTCAGGGAGACATTGAGACAGAGCGCTTGGCACAGGAGGAGCGGGGTCAGGGCGAAGTCCTATGGCCCCAGGCGTGGCTCTCAGGGTTTCAGGCCCCGAAGGCGATGTATTGATTGGGGAGGCCCAGGGTTGGGGATTCCCCATCTCCGCAGTTTCTCTTCTCCCTCTCCCAACTTATGTAGGGTCCTTCTTCCTGGACACTCAGGATGTGGACTCAGTTCTCACCCCCATTTGGTGTCGGGTTTCTAGCGAAGCCAATCGGCGTCGCTGGGGTCCCTGTTCCAGAAGTCCCCGCGAACCCATTGGGACTCAGATTCTCCCCAGACGCCGAGGATGGGGTCATGGCGTCCCGAACCCTCCTCCTGCTGCTCTTGGGGGCCCTGGCCCTGACCGAGACCTGGGCGGGTGAGTGCGGGATCCGGAGGGAAATGGCCTCTGCGGGGAGGAGCTAGGGGCCCGCGCACTGGGGCGCAGGACCCGGGGAGCCGCTCAAGGAGGAGGGTCGGACGGGTCTCAGCCCCTCCTCGCCCCCAGGTTCCCACTCCATAAGGTAGTTCAGCACCGCCGTGTCCCGGCCGGGTCGCGGGGAGCCCCGGTACATCGCAGTGGGCTACGTGGACGACACGCAGTTCGTGCGGTTCGACAGCGACGCGGCGACTCCGAGGACGTAGCCGCAGTCGCCGTGGTTGGAGCAGGAGGGACCGGAGTATTGGGACCGGAGCACACGGAACATCAGGCCCGCGCACAGACTGACAAGAGTGAACCTGCCCATGCCGCGCCGCTACTACCACCAGAGCTAGGCCGGTGAATGACCCCGGCCTGGGGCGAAGGTCACGACCCCTCCTCATCCCCCACGGACGTCCCGGGTCCCCCCCGCGAGTCTCCGGCTCCGAGATCCACCCCGAGGCTGCGGGACCCGCCAGATCCTCGACCCGGGAGAGGCCCAGGAGTCTTTACCAGGTTTCATTTTCCGTTTAGGCCAAAATCCCCGCGGGTTGGTCGGGGCGGGGGCGGGGCTCGGTGGGCGGGGCTGACCGCGGGGGCGGGGCCAGGGTCTAACACCCTCCAGATAATGTATGGCTGCGACTTGGGGCTGGAAGGGCGCCTCCTCCGCGGGTATGAACAGCACGCCAACGATGGCAAGGATTACATAGCCCGGAACTAGGACCTGCGCTCCTGGACCGCGGCGGACATGGCGGCTCAGATCATCAAGCGCAAGTGGGAGGCAGAAGAATTTGCAGAGCAGATCAGGGCCTACCTGGAGGGCACGTGCGTGGAGAGGCTCGCAGACACCTGGAGAACGGGAAGGAGACGCTGCAGCTCACTGGTACCAGGGAACACAAGACGTCTCCCTGATCGCCTGTAGATCTCCTGGGCTGGCTTCCCACAAAGAGAGAAGGAAAATGGGACCAACACTAGAATGTCGTCCTCTCTCTGGTCCTGAGGGAGAGGAATCCTCCTGGGTTTCCAGATCCTGTACAAGAGAGTGACTCTGAGGGTCTGCCCTGCTCTCTGATACAATTAAGGGATGAAATCTCTGAGGAAATGAAGGGAAGACAATCCCTGGAATACTGATGAGGGGTTCCCTTTGACACCAGCAGCAGCCTTGGGCCCCGTTACTTTTCCCCTCAGGCCTTGTTCTCTGCTTTACACTCAATGTGTGTGGGGGTCTGAGTCCAGCTCTTCTGAGTCCCTCAGCCTCCACTCAGGTCAGGACCAGAAGTCACTGTTCCCTCCTCAGGGACTAGAATTTTCCACGGAATAGGAGATTATCCCAGATACCTGTGTCCAGGTTGGTGTCTGGGTTCTGTGCTCCCTTCCCCACCCCAGGTGTCCTGTCCATTCTCAGGATGGCCACATGCGTGCTGCTGGAGTGTCTCATGAGAGATGCAAAGTGCCTGAATTTTCTGACACTTCCTGTTAGACCCCCGCCCCCAGACACATATGATCCACCATTCCGTCTCTGACTATAAGGCCACCCTGAGGTGCTGGGCCCTGGGCTTCTACCCTGTGGAGATCACACTGACCTGGCAGCAGGATGGAGAGGACCAGACTAGGGACATGGAGCTTGTAGAGACCAGGCCTGCAGGGGATGGAACCTTCCAGAAGTGGGCAGCTGTGGTGGTGCCTTCTGGAGAGGAACAGAGATACCCGTGCCATGTGCAGCATGAGGGGTTGCCCAAGCCCCTCACCCTGAGATGGGGTAAGGCAGGAGATGAGTGGAGGGGGGGTCATGTCTCTTAGGGAAAGCAGGAGCCTCTCTGGAGAACTTCAGCAGGGTCGGTGCTGGGGGCTGAGGGTCAGGGACGCTCACCTTCCCCTTTTTTCCCAGAGCAGTCTTCTCAGCCCACCATCCCCATCGTGGGCATCATTGCTGGCCTGGTTCTCCTTGGAGCTGTAGTCACTGGAGCTGTGGTTTCTGCTGTGATGTGCAGGAAGAAGAACTCAGGTAAGGAATGGATGAGGAGTGGGGTCTGAGATTTCTTGTCCCACTGAGGGTTTCAAGCCCCAGTTAGAAGTGTGTCCTGCCTGGTTACTGGGAAGCACCATCCACACTCATGGGCTTACCCAGCCTGGGCACTGTGTGCCAGCACTTACTCTTTTGTAAAGCACCTGTGACAATGAAGGACAGATTTATCACCTTGATGATTATGATGATGGGGACCTGATCCCAGCAGTCACAAGTCACAGGGGAAGGTCCCTGCTGAGGACAGACCTCAGGAGGGCAGTTGGTCCAGGACCCACACCTGCTTTCCTCATGTTTCCTGATCCTGTCCTAGATCAGCAGTTACACTTTCAGGAAACTTCTCTGGGATCAAAGGCTAGGGGGTTTGTTTAGGGCCGTATGGCCCTGACTCCTTTCTGGCCTCTCATAGGACATTTTCTTCCCACAGATAGAGTGAGCTACTCTGAAGCTGCAAGTAAGTATGAAGTGGGCTGATCCCTGATCCTTGGGATATTGTGGTCGGGAGCCCATGGGGGAGCTCACCCAACCCCAGATTCCTCCTCTAGCCGCATCTCCTGTGGGCTCTGACCAAGTCCTGTTTTTGTTCTACCCCAGGCAGCGACCATGCGCAGGGTTCTGATGTGTCTCTCACGGCTTGTAAAGGTGAGAAGCTGGGGGACCTGATGTGTGGGGGGTGTTGGGGGCAATAGTGGATGCAGCTGTGCTATGGGGTTTCTTTGAATTGGATGTATTGAACATGTGATGGGCTGTTTAAAGTGTCATCCCTCACTGTGACGGATATGAATTTGTTCATGAATATTTTATTTTATAGTGTGAGACAGCTGCCTTGTGTGGGACTGAGAGGCAAGATTTGTTCACGCCTTCCCTTTGTGACTTCAAAAACCCTGACTCTCTTTCTGCAAAGGCACCTGAATGTGCCTGTGTTCCTGTAGGCATAATATGAGGAGGTGGGGAGACCAACCCACCCCCATGTCCACCATGACCCTCTTCCCTCATGCTGACCTGTGTTCCGTCTCCAATAATTAATCATTCCTGCTCCATAGACGTGAGGCTGAGATGTCTCCATCTCTGTCTCAACTTTATGTGCACTGAGCTGTAACTTCTTACTTCCCTATTAAAATTAGAATCTGAGTATAAATTTACTTTTTCAAATTCTTGCCATGAGAGGTTGATGGGTTAATTAAAGGAGAAGATTCCTAAAATTTGAGAGACAAAATAAATGGAAGACATGAGAACCTTCCAGAGTCCACATGTTTCTTATGCTGATTTGTTGCATGAGAGGAGAGTAGATGGGGCTGTGCCCAGTGGGTGCTCAGGCCACCGTGCGCTTTATGTGGTCACTACTCAGCTGGGTCATCTTTGCTGCTCCGTTGTCCTTGGCTGTATGATCCAGCCCTACGGGACTTAGAGGGTTTTCTCCCCGTGTGCGGAGATAAGAGATTGTAATAAATAAAAGCACAAGACAAAGAGATAAAGAGAAAACAGCTGGGCCCGGGGGACCACTACCATCAAGATGCGGAGACCGGTAGTGGCCCCGAACAGCTGGGCTCGCTGATATTTATTGCATACAAGACAAGGGGCAGGGTAAGGAAGGTGAATCTTCTAACTGATTGACAAGGTGAAGCAAGTCACGTGATTACAGGATAGGGGGCCCTTTCCTTTTAGGTAGCATATGTCACCATTTTCTTTTCTGCACTTAAGATCAAAGACTTTAAGACTTTCACTATTTCTTCTACCATTATCTACTACGAAATTCAAAGAGGAACCAGGAGTACAGGAGGAGCATGAAAGTGGACAAGGAGCATGACCACTGAAGCACAGCACCACAGGGAGGGGTTTAGGCCTCTGGATGACTGCGGGTAGCTCTGGATAATATCCAGCCTTCTACAAGAAGCTGGTGGAGCAGAGTGTTCCCTGACTCCTCCAAGAAAGGGAGACTCCCTTTCGTGGTCTGCTAAGTAACAGGTGCCTTCCCAGACATTGGCATTGCCACTTGACCAAGGATCCCTCAAGCAGCCCTTATGCGGGCGTGACAGAAGGCTCATCTCTTGCCTTCTAGGTCACTTCTCACAATGTCCCTTCAGCACCTGACCCTATGCCCGCCGGTTATTCCTAGGTTATCTTAGTAATGCAACAAAGAGTAATATTAAAAGCTAATGACTAATAATGTTTATAATAATGATTGATAATTTTTCATGATCATCTCTATATCTAATTTGTATTATGACTATTCTTATTCTAACTATTTTCTTTATTATACTAAAACAGTTTGTGCCTTCAGTCTCTTGCCTCGGCACCTGAGTAATCCTCCGCCCACACTTGGCCCTTCAGTAGAACCTTGTCCCACCATGACCTGTGATCACAGGGACTTGGATGTCACCTATGGCAGTCCCTGCATACCAGGGTCCTTGTGGTATCAAGAGACAAATTTTCAGATCTTTCAAGCTCTTGCCCTCTTCCCAGGGCTCTTTCCTCATTGTATTTTCCATCTTTTCTGCAATCTTTTTAAAGGAACCAGATTCTGAAATTTGCCAAGAGGCAGGGTCCCATAGTTTCTCATCATAGGTAACTTTCTGTTGGAACTCCTCTTCTGCACTCCTACTCTTCTTCCTGCCCTGAGTTGTAGTAATCCTAGTGCTGGCTCCAATAGAAACTCATCAATTTATAAAGCAGAGTCTAGTTTAGATTCATATGTGGTTGGAAAATTGGACCCATAAGCCTAGGTTATCTTTCCTGAAGAGAAAAATATGGTTGTGTGCTTCAGTGTGCAGGAGAGTTGGTGTGGGGGGAGGGAGGGAGGGAGGGAGAACACACAAGCAGCCCTGGTGAGAAAAGCTCCGGTGTCACTGATGTCAGTGTGAGATGATGTTGTTCTGTAGCTGCCACAAAAATAAAGCATTTGTCCTGAGGCTACATTAATAAAGATATTGCCTCTAGAATAGAGTGGTTCTCTATGATCATTCCTTCAACTGACATTTGTTTCTGCTAGGTATATAACTGTTTTTGCATTTAGAAAGCATTATTAAAGTAAAAACAGAAAAATTTCGGGCCTTGTGGTGCATATGTTCTAGATGCAAGCTTGTCCAACCCGCGGCTCGTGGGCTGCATGTGGCCTAGGACAATTTTGAATGTGAGGACTTTTTTGCTTATCTGTGGTGCACCTGAGTCCCGGAGTGAGTGCACCCACCTCCCTCAGGGTCAGGAGTGAATGCTTTAGGAACCCTCCTTTTCAGTGACCTGAAAAAGATAGAGGGCACACTTACTGTGATAACCCAGAGTATCAGCCAAGGGGGCTTGACCTTCAAGGAGTTATGGGAAAGCTTAATAAAGGGTGGTGTCCCAGGGTCAGAAAAGATGGGCAGACAGCAGGAGCACTGCTTGATATCTATGATAAGCATGTAAGAATTGAGGAGCAAGCTTCATATTCAGAATCCAGTGGCTAAGGAAGTATCCATATCCCTAAGAGAAAGAACCTTGGGACACCATGACTGTTACATGCTGGGACAATTCCATCAGCCCTTCTGCAAAGGAGCCTATAGCCATTTAATCAGGAGATGGGATAAGTGTTAACATTGGGTGTGAGCTAACATTGCTGCCCAGATTCCCACAGCACCATTATGTCCCTATCACAGTGGGGCTTACAGAGGCCAGGGAATAAACCTGGACAAATTATGCCCCACGGTGGAATCACTGGGTCCATAAATCCTGTCCTGGTTATCTCCCCATTCTCTGTAAAAACGATTCTCTGTAAAAAGATTACATCGCCCTAAACGAGGACCTGAGCTCTTGGGCCGCGGCGGCCATGGCGGCTCAGATTACCCAGCGCAAGTGGGAGGCGGCCCATGAGGCGGAGCAGCAGAGAGCCTACCTGGAGGGCAGGTGCGTGGAGTGGCTCCGCAGATACCTGGAGAACGGGAAGGAGACGCTGCAGCGCACTGGTACCAGGGGCCACGGGGCGCCTCCCTGATCGCCTGTAGATCTCCCAGGCTGGCCTCCCACAAGGAGAGGAGACAGATGGGACCAACACTAGAATATCACCCTCCCTCTGGTCCTGAGGGAGAAGAATCCTCCTGGGTTTCCAGATCCTGTACCAGAGAGTGACTCTGAGGTTCCACCCCGCTCTCTGACACAATTAAGGGATAAAATCTCTGAGGCAATGACGGGAAGACGCAATTAAGGGATAAAATCTCTGAGGGAATGACGGGAAGACGATCCCTCATTTAGTGATCCCAAGTCACTAAATTTGGGGGTAGTTTGTTACACAGCAATGGATAACTAATGAAGCCCTCTTACATTTCCATTATTCTCTACAGGTTAACTACATCTGTTTTATTTTCTCCTATTTTGATAATATTAGCCACACATAGGGTTTCTAGTTTCTCAACACCTATTCTTTTCTTTATTTTAGTTTCTTTTCTCCTTTGTTCCATCCTTTTTTTTTCTTTTTTCTTTTCTTTTCTTTTCTTTTTTTTTTTTTTTTTTTTTTTGAGACAAAGTCTCGTTCTGTCGCCCAGGCTGGAGTGCAGTGGCTCGATCTCGGCTCACTGCAAGCTCCGCCTCCCAGGTTCATGCCATTCTCCTGCCTCAGCTTTCCAAGTAGCTGGGACTACAGGCACCTGCCACCATGCCCGGCTAATTTTTTGTGTTTTTAGTAGAGACAGGATTTCACCATGTTAGCCAGGATGGTCTCTATCTCCTGACCTCGTGATCTGCCTGCCTCGGCCTCCCAAAGACTGGGATTACAGGCATGAGCCACTGCGCCTGGCCTCTTCCTTCCCTTTCTCCTTCCTTCTAGCCCTCCCTCCATCTCTTTCTTCTCTATTTCCATTCAACCTATCGCCTTCCCTCCTTCTTTCTCCCTTTCCTTCCCCTCCCCTTCCTTCTTTTCTTCTTTTGCTTTTTCCTCCATTCCTCCTTCTTTCTCTCTCTTCCTCCATTTTTTCCTTTTTATTATGAAATTTTCCTAATATATACAATAACTATGTGATTGGGCTGTAAGTAAGCATTTTCTGAATCTATATGTCAAAAATATAATGTCATGTATATGAGAAACAAGTAAACAACAGGAAGTTATTAACAGAGTCTGAATAAAAATGCCCACTGTAATTCTACAGCCAAGACAGTGGCTTTTAACTCAATTCCTTCAACACAGTGTTTTCAGAACACATCATCAACATCAAGTATTACACATTTATTGTAAAAGTTTAGCCACAATCACTTTGCAAATCATATTATCATTATCTACTATGGTTAAAGTCCATACAACCTATCATCCAACCAACCCATTCCTAATCATCCACTCTGGGGGGCTTTCTTGCCTATGTGCACAGGAGACATGCACACTAATATTTATGGCAAAAACTGGAATCAGCCACATATACATCAATAGGAAACTAGTGAAATTGTGGTATAACCATATGTAAGCCTTCAGCAGTAAAAATGAAAGAATGACAGCCTCCCACACCACAGATAACTCCTACACATAATGTGCATCATGGGAAAATAAATGCAGTAGGAACTTGCTATACAGGAAGCTTAAAAACCAGCAAAACCAACTGATATTTGTTTTGGGGATATATATATATATATACATACATATATATATGTGTGTGTGTATATATACACATACATATACATATATATATATACATATATATATATATATATACTTATTGCACAAATCTTTGAAGAAATACAAAGGAATAAGTATCACAAGACTCAGCATGGAGTCTTCTGCTGAGACCAGCTCGGTCAGGGAGATCCTAACCCAGTGGTGCTAGAGGAATTAAAGACACACACACAGAAATATAGAGGTGTGAAGTGGGAAATCAGGGGTCTCACAGCCTTCAGAGCTGAGAGCCCCGAACAGAGATTTACCCACATATTTATTACAGTCATTAGCATTGTTTCTATAGATATTAAATTAGTTAAAATATCCCTTATGGGAAACGAAGTGATGGGCCAAATTAAAGGAATAGGTTGGGCTAGTTAACTGCAGCAGGAACATGCCCTTAAGACACAGATCACTCATGCTATTGTTTGTGGCTTAAGAATGCCTTTAAGTGGTTTTCCACCCTGGGCGGGCCAGGTGTTCCTTGCCCTCATTCCCATAAACCCACAACCTTCCAGCTTGGGTGCTAAGGCCATTATGAACATGTTATGGTGCTGCAGAGATTTTGTTTATGGCCAGTCTCGGGGCCAGTTTATGACCAGATTTTGGGGGACTTGCTCCCAACAGTCTCCTTCTGGAGGATGACTGGGTAGCAGCCCAGGGTAGTTTTACAGTTTCGTGTTTTACACCAGTGCTGGGCACCCTGGTAGTTACTTGATTATAATTCCTTAAACAGAGTTTTCCAAATTAAAATATACCTGTTCTTTATAGAAATGAAAAAGAAAAGAATTTCAAAGTTCATTGCAAAGATTCTTAACAAGAACTACTTACATTGGAAGAAAACCACAGAGAATTGTAAGGAGCTATGTGACAGAGAGGACCAGGATGCCATGAAAACGGCCTTGGCTACATATAGGTCATTCGATCCTTGGCTCACTGGCATCTCTCTAGATTTTCAATAATACAATGTTCAATATGCTGTGCAAGGTAATTTCATCTTGCAAAGATTTGATGTTACATTTTACCACACATACAACGGAATTAAACTTTTACAGAATTGGAAATGCACATCATTGATCAAAATAAATGAAACATGAAAAGAGTAGGAAGGAATACCCAGTGATGGAATAGTAAATATGAATGGAAACAGAATAGGACTGCTGAAAAGAAAAAAAAATTCAGAAGCACGTAATAGCAGTGCTATTTAGAATCATAGTGGTGTCCAAATCACTTCTATCACATCTCATTCAATACCACAACAAAAGATGTTAAGTTTGTTATAGAATGCCCATCGAATAGCTAGTTTTTGAAAATAACTTGTCTCTCAATTTGAGCTAACCATTTCGGGCTACAGCATCAAGCCAAAATTATTGGCATCATGCTAAACTAGATGTGTTGACTGAAGTATGAGATTCACATTTTTGTAAATGAAAAGCAATCAGATTAGGCAATTTTTTTTTCTGCACAGCAAAAGAAACTATCATCAATCAGAGTGAACAGACATGCTACAGAATGGGAGAAAAATTTTGCCATCTACCCATCTGACAAAAGTCTAGTATTCAGAATCCACAAAGAACTTAAGCAAATTTACATGAAAAAAAAACTTCATTAAAAAAGTGGACAAAGAACATGAACAGACACTTCTAAAGAAGACATACGTGTGGCCAAAAAAATATGAAAAAAAAAAGCTCACCCTCACTGATCATTAGAGAAATGCAAATCAAAACGACAAATGAGATACCATCTTATGCCAGTCAGAATGGCAATTATTAAATAGTCAAGAAACAACAGATGCTGGCGAGGTTGCAGAGAAATAGGAATGCTTTTACACTGTTGGTGGAAAAGTAAATGGTTAATCCATTGTGGAAGACAGTGACAGTGTGGCAATTCCTCAAAGATTTAGAACCAGAAATACCATTTGACCCAGCAATCCCATTACAGAGTATATACCCAAAGGAATATAAATCATTCTATTATAAAGATATATGCATGTTTACATTCATGGCAGCACTATTCACAATAGCAAAGACATGGAATCAACCCAAATGCCCATCAATGATGGTCTGGATAAAGAAAATGTGGTACATATACACCATGGAATATTATGCAGCCATAAAAAGGAATGAGATCAAGTCCTTTGCAGGGATATGGATGAAGCTGGAAGCCATTATCCTCAGCAAACTCACACAGGAACAGAAAACCAAACACCACATGTTCTCATATATAATTGGGAACTGAGCAATGAGAACACATGGACACAGGGAGAGGAAAAACACACACTGGGGCCTGTTGGGGGAGGGTGGTGATGGGAGGATCATTAGCAAAAATAGCTAATGCATGCCAGGGTTAATACCTAGGTGATGAGTTGACAGGTGCAGCAAACCAACATGGCACACATTTACCTATGTAACAAACCTGCACATCCTACACACATGTACCCTGGAACTTAAAAAAATTAAATTAAAAGACAAGCTTAAAGAGTTAATGAAAACTAATTAGATACAAGAAGACTTTGATTTTCAGAAACCTGAAACAAGTTATAATTTTGCTTTTAACATATATTCAAATCCTTTGATACTGTTCCTTTCTAGAGGTGCAGCTTAATTCCCTCTCTTGAGTGTGGCTTGGACTTAATGAGGCACTTCTGAAATGGCCTGGTTCTGTGTTCCCACCCAAATCTCATCTTGAATTGTTATGCAAATTGTAATCCCTACCTATTGGGGGAGGGACCTCATGGGAGGTGATTGGATCATGGGGACGGTGCCCCCATGCTATTCTCCTGATGCTGAGGGAATTCTCATGAGATCTGATGGTTTTATAAGGGGCTTTTCCCTGCTTCATTGTGCATTTCTCTCTCTTGTCACCACGTGAAGAAGGACGGGTTTGCTTCCACTTCTGCCATGACTGTAAGTTTCCTGGGGCAGCCTCCTCAGTCATGCAGAACTGTGAGTCAATTAAACCTCTTTCCTTTATAAATTACCCAGTCTCAGGTATTTCTTTATGGCAGTGTGAGAATGGACTAATACAACTTCTAACTTATAGAATAGTGCCAACATAACAGTTTGTGACTCTGGGTGTAGAACATAAAACTAACTGCGGCTTCCACCTTCTCTCTCTCTCTGAATCTGGGATCATGAGCTCTGGGGGAAGCCAGCCACTGTGCCATAAGCAGCCCTGCAGGAAGGTCCACATGACTGAGAACTGAGGCTTTCTGGGAACAGACAACAAGGAACCAGGCCTTTTCCAACAGCCATGTGACTGATCCATGTTTCTTGTGAATTCCCAGCCCCAGAGAAGCCCTCAGATGCTGCGGCCCCTGGCTGACAACTGGAGTGCAACCTTGTGAGCGGCCCTGAGCAGGAAGCACTCAGGGAAACCTCTCCTGGATTCCTGACAATTGGAAACTGTGGGAGATGAGAAATATTTGTTGTTTCAAGCTAAGTTTTACATAATTTGTTATGCAATAGTAAATAATACATTTTCACAAGAGAGGATGTATTATTACACATCAAATTGCATTTGCTCTAAATGTGTCATCATCATCATTATTATTTTTGAGACAGGGTCTTGCTCTGTCACCCAGGCTGGAATGCAGTGGCATGATCACCATGCACTGCAGTGTCAAATTCCTGGGGTCAAGGGACTCTCTGACCTCAGCCTCCTGAGTAGCTGGGACTACCATCATGAAGTACCATGCCTGGCTAATTTTCTAATTTTTTGTAGAGATGGAGGTTTTGCCCAGGCTGATCTTGAACTTCTGGAGTCAACAAATCTGCCTTCCTCTGCCTTCCACAGTGCTAGGATGACAGCCGTGAGCCACCACACCTGGCCTAAATTAATTATAAGATATTAAACATGTAACTTAGTTTTAAAAGGTAAGGACAATTTCCATGGCTGAAGAGGATGTATTTTATGACCGTTCACAATGATCACTTTACTTGAACTTCACTTTCCAACTGTGTCCCAATTAAACACAAAAGGAAGATCCAACCCTTGCTAGGCTGATTCTATGATGGCCTCAACAAGCAGCTCCTGGTCATTCACCTTCCTCCAGTTATTCAACCAACTCTAATGTAGGTGCTGCTATGAAGGGATTTAGCAGATATAATTAAGGGTCTCAATTAGTTGACTTTATGCTGGGTTTATCCTGCTTGGACTGTCCTAATCAGGTGAGCCCTTGAAAGAACTGGGTTCTTCATGAGCATAGAGACTTACAGTGTGAGAGGGACTCAGCATGAGGGGTTTCCTCCACCAGGGGCTTTGAAAAGGAAGGGGCTATGGGCCGTTCGCGGTGGCTCACGCCTGTAATCCCGACACTTTGGGAGGCCGAGGCGAGCGGATCATGAGGTCAGGAGGTCGAGACAATCCTGGCTAACAAGGTGAAACCCTGTGTCTACTAAGAAAAAAAAAAAAAATTGGCAGAGCGTAGTGGTGGGCGCCTGTAGTCCCAGCTACTTGGGACTGAGACAGGAGAATGGTGTGAACCCAGGAGGCGGAGCTTGTAGTGAGCAGAGATCATTGGGCCACTGTACCCCAGCCTGGGCTACAGAGCCAGACTCGGTCTCAAAAAAAAAAAAAAAAAAAAAAAAAATTAAGGGGCTGTGTAGGAAAGAACGCTGGTGAGCACCGGGAATTGAGCCCCTCCCAGTTCTCTACATTGACAGCTAGCCAGGAACAGGGACCTCAGTCTTACAACTGCAAGAAACTGCATTCTGCCACCTCTGTATAAACCTGAAGGAGGATTCAAAATGAAAACACAGCTTTTGGAAGCCCAGAACAGAGATTCTATCCACATCTTGCCCAGATTTCTGACCAAGGAATTATAAGCAGATAAATGGGTGTTGTTTTGCCAGGCGTGGTAGTGTGCAAATGAACTGATGAATTGATATACACACTAGTTGCATAAAATAAAATGTTTCTGAACTTTTTCAGTGTTTTACAGTTTATAATTATCTGTGATGCAATTTAATACACTCATATTTCATTCATTAAGTCAACAAAAATTAACTTAGTCCCTACAATGAACCAGGTATCCCCTCATATGCTCAAGTGCCTGACACTCCAGAAGCTTCACAAGACTGAGATGGAGCCACTGGAGTGTTTTAAGTGGAGAAATGACACACTCCGACTCACAGGAGCAGGACCACTGTGAAAAGAACAGTTACGTAGCAGGTCATGGGACAGTGCTAGTGTCACAATTCATGAGTGACAGTGTGGTGGGGACTAAGGGGAGAGGAGGGCCTGAAGGATGAGAAGGACGGAGGGAAGGGCTGGAGAAGCAGGAGGTGAGGAAAAGGAGCAGAGGAAAGAATTTGAAAGCAGCAGAATTCTTAGGTTTAAATACATTGTTTTATGGATTTTAATACATCCATCTACAGAGCCTAGCAGGGTGTCCTTGGCAGTTGTCTTTTAATACCTCATGTGGGTCTGCCTAAAAACTAATTTTTTATGTTAATCAGGTTTAAAAATTACTAAGTGTTCCTATAAAATATACACAACACTTAGAAGTGGATACTTCCTAAAAACAGACAGTGCATGAGCACTAGTGAGGGGCATTGTGAGTGCATTGAACAGTTGCAACTTTGAGGTGAATAAAGCCTGTAATGGCTTCTGGTTGCAACATATAGGAGCACAGTCGCTACTCTGTATTGAGGAGATGTCCTGGACTCACACAGAAACTCAGAGCTATGGAATGATGGTAAATTTAAAATACTACAAGCAGGAGTCACAGATACATTGTCTGGGAAAATGCAACTTAGTAGCTTTGTGAGTCCTGTTGTAAGGCTTTTGGACACATTTATACATCAAGGGGCCAAAGTCACATTTTTTACCTATTAGATTCCTGATCATTCAGGGGTTACCAAGATTCTGCTACCCACTGTAGTTAATAAACAAAGAGCAAACTGGTCTCTATTCTGTCTCATGCACTCAGGCGCAACTCTTCCCGATTAAAAACAAAAACAACAACAACAAAAATCTACACCTCCATTCCCAGAGCAAGCTTACTCTCTGGCACCAAACTCCATGGGATGATTTTTCTTCTAGAAGAGTCCAGGTGGACAGGTAAGGAGTGGGAGTCAGGGAGTCCAGTTCAGGGACAGAGATTACGGGATAAAAAGTGAAAGGAGAGGGACGGGGCCCATGCCGAGGGTTTCTCCCTTGTTTCTCAGACAGCTCTTGGGCCAAGACTCAGGGAGACATTGAGACAGAGCGCTTGGCACAGGAGCAGAGGGGTCAGGGCGAAGTCCCAGGGCCCCAGGCGTGGCTCTCAGGGTCTCAGGCCCCGAAGGCGGTATATGGATTGGGGAGTCCCAGCCTTGGGGATTCCCCAACTCCGCAGTTTCTTTTCTCCCTCTCCCAACCTATGTAGGGTCCTTCTTCCTGGATACTCACGACGCGGACCCAGTTCTCACTCCCATTGGGTGTCGGGTTTCCAGAGAAGCCAATCAGTGTCGTCGCGGTCGCGGTTCTAAAGTCCGCACGCACCCACCGGGACTCAGATTCTCCCCAGACGCCGAGGATGGCCGTCATGGCGCCCCGAACCCTCGTCCTGCTACTCTCGGGGGCCCTGGCCCTGACCCAGACCTGGGCGGGTGAGTGCGGGGTCGGGAGGGAAACGGCCTCTGTGGGGAGAAGCAAGGGGCCCGCCCGGCGGGGGCGCAGGACCCGGGAAGCCGCGCCTGGAGGAGGGTCGGGCGGGTCTCAGCCACTCCTCGCCCCCAGGCTCCCACTCCATGAGGTATTTCTACACCTCCGTGTCCCGGCCCGGCCGCGGGGAGCCCCGCTTCATCGCCGTGGGCTACGTGGACGACACGCAGTTCGTGCGGTTCGACAGCGACGCCGCGAGCCAGAGGATGGAGCCGCGGGCGCCGTGGATAGAGCAGGAGGGGCCGGAGTATTGGGACCGGAACACACGGAATGTGAAGGCCCACTCACAGACTGACCGAGCGAACCTGGGGACCCTGCGCGGCTACTACAACCAGAGCGAGGACGGTGAGTGACCCCGGCCCGGGGCGCAGGTCACGACCCCTCATCCCCCACGGACGGGCCAGGTCGCCCACAGTCTCCGGGTCCGAGATCCGCCCCGAAGCCGCGGGACCCCGAGACCCTTGCCCCGGGAGAGGCCCAGGCGCCTTTACCCGGTTTCATTTTCAGTTTAGGCCAAAAATCCCCCCGGGTTGGTCGGGGCGGGGCGGGGCTCGGGGGACCGGGCTGACCTCGGGGTCCGGGCCAGGTTCTCACACCATCCAGAGGATGTATGGCTGCGACGTGGGGCCGGACGGGCGCTTCCTCCGCGGGTACCAGCAGGACGCTTACGACGGCAAGGATTACATCGCCCTGAACGAGGACCTGCGCTCTTGGACCGCGGCGGACATGGCGGCTCAGATCACCCAGCGCAAGTGGGAGACGGCCCATGAGGCGGAGCAGTGGAGAGCCTACCTGGAGGGCCGGTGCGTGGAGTGGCTCCGCAGATACCTGGAGAACGGGAAGGAGACGCTGCAGCGCACGGGTACCAGGGGCCACGGGGCGCCTCCCTGATCGCCTGTAGATCTCCCGGGCTGGCCTCCCACAAGGAGGGGAGACAATTGGGACCAACACTAGAATATCGCCCTCCCTCTGGTCCTGAGGGAGAGGAATCCTCCTGGGTTTCCAGATCCTGTACCAGAGAGTGACTCTGAGGTTCCGCCCTGCTCTCTGACACAATTAAGGGATAAAATCTCTGAAGGAATGACGGGAAGACGATCCCTCGAATACTGATGAGTGGTTCCCTTTGACACACACCGGCAGCAGCCTTGGGCCCGTGACTTTTCCTCTCAGGCCTTGTTCTCTGCTTCACACTCAATGTGTGTGGGGGTCTGAGTCCAGCACTTCTGAGTCCCTCAGCCTCCACTCAGGTCAGGACCAGAAGTCGCTGTTCCCTCTTCAGGGACTAGAATTTTCCACGGAATAGGAGATTATCCCAGGTGCCTGTGTCCAGGCTGGTGTCTGGGTTCTGTGCTCCCTTCCCCATCCCAGGTGTCCTGTCCATTCTCAAGATAGCCACATGTGTGCTGGAGGAGTGTCCCATGACAGATGCAAAATGCCTGAATGTTCTGACTCTTCCTGACAGACGCCCCCAAGACGCATATGACTCACCACGCTGTCTCTGACCATGAGGCCACCCTGAGGTGCTGGGCCCTGAGCTTCTACCCTGCGGAGATCACACTGACCTGGCAGCGGGATGGGGAGGACCAGACCCAGGACACGGAGCTCGTGGAGACCAGGCCTGCAGGGGATGGGACCTTCCAGAAGTGGGCGTCTGTGGTGGTGCCTTCTGGACAGGAGCAGAGATACACCTGCCATGTGCAGCATGAGGGTCTGCCCAAGCCCCTCACCCTGAGATGGGGTAAGGAGGGAGACGGGGGTGTCATGTCTTTTAGGGAAAGCAGGAGCCTCTCTGACCTTTAGCAGGGTCAGGGCCCCTCACCTTCCCCTCTTTTCCCAGAGCCGTCTTCCCAGCCCACCATCCCCATCGTGGGCATCATTGCTGGCCTGGTTCTCTTTGGAGCTGTGATCGCTGGAGCTGTGGTCGCTGCTGTGATGTGGAGGAGGAAGAGCTCAGGTGGGGAAGGGATGAAGGGTGGGTCTGAGATTTCTTGTCTCACTGAGGGTTCCAAGACCCAGGTAGAAGTGTGCCCTGCCTCGTTACTGGGAAGCACCATCCACAATTATGAGCCTACCCAGCCTGGGCCCTGTGTGCCAGCACTTACTCTTTTGTAAAGCACCTGTTAAAATGAAGGACAGATTTATCACCTTGATTACGGCGGTGATGGGACCTGATCCCAGCAGTCACAAGTCACAGGGGAAGGTCCCTGAGGACCTTCAGGAGGGCGGTTGGTCCAGGACCCACACCTGCTTTCTTCATGTTTCCTGATCCCGCCCTGGGTCTGCAGTCACACATTTCTGGAAACTTCTCTGAGGTCCAAGACTTGGAGGTTCCTCTAGGACCTTAAGGCCCTGGCTCCTTTCTGGTATCTCACAGGACATTTTCTTCCCACAGATAGAAAAGGAGGGAGCTACTCTCAGGCTGCAAGTAAGTATGAAGGAGGCTGATGCCTGAGGTCCTTGGGATATTGTGTTTGGGAGCCCGTGGGGGAGCTCACCCACCCCACAATTCCTCCTCTAGCCACATGTTCTGTGGGATCTGACCAGGTTCTGTTTTTGTCCTACCCCAGGCAGTGACAGTGCCCAGGGCTCTGATATGTCTCTCACAGCTTGTAAAGGTGAGAGCCTGGAGGGCCTGATGTGTGTTGGGTGTTGGGCGGAACAGTGGACGCAGCTGTGCTATGGGGTTTCTTTGCATTGGATGTATTGAGCATGCGATGGGCTGTTTAAAGTGTGACTCCTCACTGTGACAGATACGAATTTGTTCATGAATATTTTTTTCTATAGTGTGAGACAGCTGCCTTGTGTGGGACTGAGAGGCAAGATTTGTTCCTGCCCTTCCCTTTGTGACTTGAAGAACCCTGACTTTGTTTCTGCAAAGGCACCTGCATGTGTCTGTGTTCTTGTAGGCATAATGTGAGGAGGTGGGGAGACCACCCCACCCCCATGTCCACCATGACCCTCTTCCCACGCTGACCTGTGCTCCCTCCCCAATCATCTTTCCTGTTCCAGAGAGGTGGGGCTGAGGTGTCTCCATCTCTGCCTCAACTTCATGGTGCACTGAGCTGTAACTTTTTCCTTCCCTATTAAAATTAGAACCTGAGTATAAATTTACTTTCTCAAATTCTTGCCATGAGAGGTTGATGAGTTAATTAAAGGAGAAGATTCCTAAAATTTGAGAGACAAAATAAATGGAACACATGAGAACCTTCCAGAGTCCACGTGTTGCTTATGCTGATTTGTTGCAGGGGAGGAGAGTAGATGGGGCTGTGCCCAGTTTCTGTTCCGGCCACCATGGGCTTTATGTGGTCACTGCTTGGCTGGGTCATCTTTGCTGCTCCATTGTCCTTGGCCCTTCAGTAGAAACTTGTCCCACCAAGACCTGTGATCACAGGGAGTTGGATGTCACCTACGGTGGTCCCTGCATACAAATCTCCTTGTGGTATCAAGAGACAAATTTTCAGACCTGTCCAGGTCTTGCCTTCCTCCCAGGGCTTTTTCCTCAATTGTATTTTTGATTTTTCTCCAGTCTTTTTAAAGGAACCAGATTGTGACATTTGCAGAGAGGAGGGGTCCCATAGTTTCTCATCATGATTAACTTTCTGTTGGAACTCCTCTTCTGCCCTCCTACTCTTCTTCCTGCTCTGAGTTGTAGTAATCCTAATGCTGGCTCCAATCCAAACTCATAGATTTATAAAGCAGAGTCTAATTTAGATTCATATGTGGTTGGAAAATTGTACCCATAAGGCTAGGGTTATTGTTCCTGAAGAGAAATATATGGTTTTGTGCTGAAGTGTGCAGGAGGGTTGGTGTGGGAGGAGGGAGGACACACAAGCAGCCCTGGTGAGAAAAGCACTGGCGGCATGGATGTCCATGTGAACTTATGTTCTTTAGCTGCCACAAAACAGCATTTGCCCTGTGGCTACATTAATAAAGGTATGGGCTTTAGAATAGGGAGGTGCTCTACAGTGATCATTCATTCAACTGACATTTGTTGTCTGCTAGGGATATGACTGCTTTTGCATTTAGAAAGCATCCTTAAAGTAAAAACAGAAAAATTTCTGGGGTTATGGTGCATACGTTCTAGATGCAGGCTTGTCCAACCCGTGGCTCGTGGGCTGCATGTGGCCCAGGACAATTTTGAATGTGAGGACTTTTTTGCTTATCTGTGGTGCACCTGAGTCCTGGAGTGAGTGCACCCACCTCCCTCAGGGTCAGGAGTGAATGCTTTAGGAACCCTCCTTTTCAGTGACCTGCCAAAGATAAAGGGCACATTTACTGTGATAACCCAGAGTATCAGCCAAGGGGGCTTGACCTTCAAGGAGTTGTGGGGAAGGTTAATAAAGGGTGGTGTCCCAGGGTCAGAAAAGATGGGCAGACAGCAAGGGCACTTCTTGATATCTATGATAAGCATGTGGAATTGAGTAGCAAGCTTCAGATTCAGAATCCAGTGACTAAGGACATATCTGTATCCCTAAGAGAAAGAACCTTGGGACACGATGATGGTTACATGCTGGGACAATTCCATCAGCCCTTCTGCAAAGGAGCCTATAGCCATTTAATCAGGAGATGGGATAAGTATTAACACTGGGTGTGAGCTGACATTGCTGCCCAGATTCCCACAGCACCATTATGTCCCCCATCACACTGGGGCTTACAGAGGCCAGGGAATAAACCTAGACACATTATGCCCCATGGTGGAATCACCAGTTCCATAAATCCTGTCCTGATTATCTCCCCATTCTCTTAGTGCATAATTGGCCTTGATGCACTGGCAACTGGAGTCACCCCACACTGTGTCCCTAGTCTGGAGAGTAAGGGATCTCATTGTGCTGAAGCCCAAAGGGAAACATCCCTCATCCAAGCCAAACCAGAAGCAATATTGTGCCCCAGGGTGGGTCTTGTGGAGGGTACTGCAGGTATTATAGGGGTGGCACTGCCATTACAGACCTGAACAATGCGGGGTGGTGTTGGGATTGCCTGTTATCTCCATATAACTCAGCAATCTGTACCTGCAGAAGCCTGATACGGCTAAAGAATGAATGGAATTACTCCAGACTTGACCAAGTAGGAGTCCTGATTGCAGCTGCCATGCTGGCTGGATATCACTGCCTGGGGAGATTAATAAGGCCTCAGGCACATGGCAAGCAGCTGTGGATTTGGTGAGTGCATTCCCTCCCATTTCATTTAGAAGATGGATATGGAATGATTCACATTCACATGGGATTTATAATACATTTATTGATAGCTTGCATCAGGGCTACCTTAACTCCTCAACCTTCTATAAATACCACCTTAAGAGACCTGGACGAATCAGACATCTCACAGAATACTAAATCTCTTCATTTCATTGGCAATATCACATAAATTGGGAAGGATGAACAAGAGCAGGAAAGTACGCTGAATTCCCTGGCAAAACATGTGCACTACAGAAGGTGAAGATAAACCTTACAGAGCTTCAAGAGTGGCCACTGCAGTGAAGTGTTACGGGTCCAGTGGTTAGGGGCATGCAGAGCTCCCCCCACCCCCCACCCCCGCCCCCCCGTGCCAAAGTAAAAGACAAACTTGCATCTTGCATCCTCACCAGAAGGAAGGAAGTACACTACTTGGTGAGCCTCTCTGGGTTCTGGCAACACCACATTCCACATCTAAGTATATTGCTTTGGCTGACACTCTGGGTGATATAGGAGGAGGCCAGCTTTGAGTGGGGCCTGGACTGGAAAGGACACTGCAGCAGACCCAGGCTGTGGTGCAGTCAGTCACCATCCCTCAGACCCCTGGTGCTGGAGGTGGCGGTCTGCGGAAAGAAGCAGGATGGAGCTGAACCAAGCATCAGTGGGAAAGTCAGAATGCAGGGCCTGGGATCAGGAGTAAGGCCATGGAGTCCACAGCAGAGAAACATGCTCCATGTTAGAAGCAACTTTTAGCATGTTACTGGCCCTGATAAGATAGAATGCTTGAGCATAGGACACCAAGCAACCATGTGATTCCAAGTGCCCGTGTGTATTGGCTTCTATGTGACCCATAGAGTCATTCGTTGGACAGGCCCAACGGCATCTATCATGAGACGAAAATGGTCCATGTCGGTTGAGCCTCAATTCCATGTTAACACCCACAGAAAACACCCAGTCCTGATGTGGCCCTGAATAACCAAACAAATTGAAGACAAATTGAAGTTAGCCAGTCTGCATCATGGATCAGCCCAGGCCTGATAGGAAGGACCCGTGAGTGGAGCAACCACAGTGGCAGGGATGAAGCTACAAATGAGTCCAGCAGCACTGTCTCTCCACTACCAAGGCCCACCCAGCTACTGCTTCCTCTGAATACTCTGCTCGTGAGCATTGCAGACCAATGATAGGCACCGATAGGGCACTATTTCTTAAAGTAACTGACTAGCCCCTAAGTGACAAGTTGAATAGCTTGAACACCATCCATCCTGGAAGGGGCAGAAGTTCATCCTCACAGGGATAGGCTCACAGGGATTCGATGTGGTGTGGTTTTCCTCTCTGCTCTCAGACCCTCAGTCAACAACACTATTGGCATTCCTGATCCACTGGCTCAGAATTTCAGTACATTATCTGCCTGGGGGACACACCTCTTGGGGAAGGGGATGAAGTATGGGCCCTGACCATGGGATCCCCTGGTCATATCACCACCTGCGCCTCTCAAGTGCTGCCAGGCACACAGAGTCATGGACAGGACTCTACAGGCACAACTCAGTACCAGCTTGGATGAAATCCTCTGAGGAATGGGTGCCATCTTTCAGGATGTGATGCATGTATTGAATCAAAGACATCTCTAAGGCACTGTTTTCAGAAGGAAGAATACGTGGGTCCAAAAACCAAGAAGTCAAAGCAGGTGTGTCTCATTCCTTATATTCACCCCCAGGGTGATTTACTTATAAGTAAATAAATAAATACATAAATAACATGAGTACACAAATAAATTTATTTATGCATGTATGTATGTATGTATGTATGTATGTATGTATGTATGTATGTATGTATGTATTTTATTCATTATATTCACCCCCAGGGTGATTTTGCTCTTCTTACTTCCAAAATATGGACTCTGCAGGGTAGGAGGTCCTGGTTTCCCAAAGAGGGCACCCTGGCAAGGAGACAAATGAGAGTCCATGGAACTACACATTGTGGTTGCACCCAGGGATATTTGAATACTATGTGCCCAGAGACAAGCAGGTGAGAAGAGGAGGAGGCAGGGCTGCTATCACACAATGAGGGCAGGAGAAGTGTGTGTGGAAACCAGGAATCCACTTGGGGACATCCTGGTTTCCCTTGTCCGTTGTGTGAACAGAATCATCCAGCAACCCAGCCTGAGAGGGTTTGATATTCAAGAGCCCAGAACCCTCAGGAAGGAAGGATTGAGTGATACTCCTAGGTAATGTCCCACGTCTCTGCTTCTGTGCTCTGACATCCTCAGCAGGATTAGTGCAGAAGCCCTGCTTCCATGAGTTGTTCCCAGCCAGTGACCGGTCACAGCAAGCACACCAAGGCAGGCCATTACTGGGAGACATGGGACTCCTCTGATGGCCAAATGTGGCTCCAGGACTCCTCCATGCCCTTCCTCAACTCTCCTTAGACTGCCTCTGCTCTAGGATGCGTCGAACAGACCTTGTCTCCTTCTGTCCAGCACTTGGGGTCACACTTGCATCATTGTCTGCCACCTTTTCCAGGGATTTCTGGCTCGCTTCTCATATTCCCTTACAGGTGTGTCCCCTCATAAGATGCCGTAGACTTTAAGCTCATCTTGGCATCTGCTCCTTGGAGGACTTGGAATAAAAAGCATTGCCATGTGCACACCAATAACTCTTACTTATTCCAACCTGTAAAATCCATCTCTTTATCCAACTTCTGCCACCCCCATAAAATCTATTTTGCGTGCGTTTGTAGTATCTCTTTGAATTTACAGATATTTGTTGTATTAAGCCACTAAATTTTGAGGTAGTCTGTGACACAGCAGTTAATAACTATTAAGGCTTTCTTAAGTTTCGGTTATTCCATGGATGTTATCTACATCTTTTAATTCCCTGCATTTTAATAATATTAGCCACACTTGCTGTTTCTAATCCTTTCCTCCTATTCTTTTTTGAAAATGTTCATTTTGTCTTTCTCTGTCCTTCCATCTTTCTTTCCTCCTTTCCTCCCTCAGAGCTTTCTCCCTCCCTCCACTTTTTCACAAACTCTATGTGGTTAGGCTAAAAAGAAGCATTATTTGAATCTTATGCTTAAAGTATAATGCCATAATTTACAGGATAAAAGTAAAGAAAAGGAAGTTATTAATGGAATATGAAAAAATGCCTAGGGTGATTCTGTAGCCAAGACAGTGGTTTTTTAACATGTAATCTCCACCTTCAACTGAGTGTTTTCAGAACACATGAGCAACATAAGTTCTTTCCCATTCTTGGTACAAGCACTTGGGAAATCAAATTAGCCTTATCTTGTATGATTAAGGTCCATACACTGTATAATCCCACCACCTGCTCCTGATCATACACTCTGGGGATATTTTTGGCTATGTGTCCCAGAGACGTGTACACCAATGTTTATGGCAAAAAAACTGGAAACAATCACATATGCATCAATGGGAATTAACAAAATTGTGATATAATCCCTAAAAGTAAAATTTTAGCAGTAAAAATGATTGAACAGCACCTTCCCACATCAGAGATAACTCTCCTACACATAACGCGCATCACAGGAGAATACATATAGTGTGAGTTCGCTGTACAGGGAAGTTAAAAAAACAGGTCAGACTGTGATTTGGGTATATATATTTATTGTAAAAATCTTTAGAGACAGTGCAAAGGACTAGTAAATACAAGACTCAAGATAGAGGTTCCTTTTGGTGGATAGGATTGGGCAACAGTCTAGGGTGGCTTCATAGGTTCTGTTTCTTATGCCAGGAGAGGATGTCCAGGTAATTAGTTACTTGATCATAAATCTTTATTTATTTATTTATTTATTTATTTATTCATTTATTTTTGAGATGGAGTCTCACTCTTGTTGCCCAAGCGGGAGTGCAGTGGTGTGATCTCGTCTCACTGCAACCTCCGCCTCCCATGTTCAAGCGATTCTCCTACCTCAGCCTCTGAGTAGCTAGGATTACAGGCACCTGCCCTGATGCCCGGCTAATTTTTGTATTTTTCGTACAGACTGTGCTTCACCATGTTGGCCAGGCTGGTCTCCAACTCCTGATCTCAGGTGATCCACCCACTTCGGCCTCCCAAAATGCTGGGATTAGAAGCATGAGCCACCACTCCCGGCCCACAAATATATTTATAGTGGCAATTTTCAAAATGCACCTTGTGTGCCATTCCTGATTATTTGGAAATGAAAGAGAAAAGAAAACACAAAAGTTCATTGCAAGGATCCTTAGCGATAAATACATGAGTTAAAACAAAGCCACAGCCAATTGTAAGGAGCCATGTGACAGAGAGTACCAGGATGCCATGAAAAAATAGCCTTGGCTAGAAATAGGTCATTTGATTCTTGGCTAATTGGCAACTCTCTACATTCTCTGGTGTACAATGTTCAATCTGATGTGCAAGGCAATTGTATCTCGCAAAGAATTTGAGAATTTGATATGTTGCTCAATTTTACCACAGGTACAAGTGAATTAAACTTTTACAGAATAGAAAAAAAGCACTGTCGAGCAAAATAAATTAAATGAAAACACATAAAGGAATAACTAGTGATGAAATAGCAATAAGAATGGAAAACACGAAAGAGTTTCTTTTACAGCAACATTAGAAGCACAAAATAACTGTATTTTTCAGAATCATACTGGAGTCCAAATCACTTCTACCACATCTAATTAAAAAACACAGCGAAAGATGTTAAACTGATCAATGGATGCCCACTGAATACCCAGTTATTGAAAAATCTTGTTCCTAGATTGGAGTTAACCATTTCCGCCTACTACATCAAACCAAATCGTTGTTCGTGATGCTAAGCTAGCTGTACAGACAAAGATGTGAGACACATTTTCTCTAACTGCAAAGCACCCTGATTAGGCAAATATTTTTGCAGAAGCTTGAGTAAGAAAATTGACATTTTGGGCATTCTTAAACAGAATTAGTAGCTTCTGAGGAAAAAGATAGTTATGATTGTAAAGGCATTATTATACGGCACCAGTCTTGGGACTCTTTGATCTAGCTACTGTATTTCCTCAACTTTCTTGCAACTCATCAAAGAGAACATTAATATTAAAGGCATTTGCAAAAAAATCTGAGATATTGTTGTATCTCCATTCTCTGTCTCAAAGTTTTATTCATTACTTTACAAAAGATAATTTTAAAGTATTAAAGAAAATCAGTCAGATACAAGAAGTATTTGATTTACAAAATCCTGAAACAATAATGTTAATTGTGGTGCCAGCTACTTGGGAGGCTGAAGGAGGAGCATTGATGGCATGAGCCCAGGAGGTTGAGGCTTCAGTAAGTCATGAGCATGCCACTGCATTCCAGCCAGGGCAACAGAGTGATACTTTGTCTAAAAATAACTAACTAACTAACTAAATAAATAAATAAATAATGGAGGCAGTGCACGAGCCCTGGTGAAGGGCACTTTGGCTGCATTGAGCACTTGCAGATTTGAGGTGATTACATTCTGTACGTTACTTAACATGCATACTGTACATACTTAACATGCATATAAATTATTTGATACTCCTCCTTGCAGAGGTGCAGCTTCATTCCCTTCCTGTGAGTGTGGCCTGAACTTAATGATTCGCTTACAGACTGATAGAGTAATGCTGAGATAATAGTTTGTGACTCTGGGTGTAGATCATAAGACTCACTAAGTCTGGGAGCGGTCGCTCACGCCTGTAATTCCAACAGTTTGGGAGGTCAAGAGGGTGGATCATGAAGTCAGAAGTTCGAGACCAGCCTGGCCAAGACGGTGAAACCACGTCTCTACTAAAAATACAAAAATTAGCCAGGTGTGGTGGTGCATGCCTGTAATCCCAGTTGCTCAGGAGGCTGAGGCAGGAGAATCACTTGAACCTGGAAGTCGGAGGTTGCAGTGAGCCAAGATCCAGCCACTGCATTCCAGCCTGGGTGACAGGGTGAGACTCTGTCTCAAAAAACAAACAAACAAACAAAAACTCACTGCAGCTTCTACTTTGGTTCTGGTTTTCTCTTTCTCTGGGATCATGAGCCTTGGGGGAAGCCAGCTGCTGTGTCATAAGCAGGCCTGTGGAAAGCTCCAAGTGACTAGGAAGTGAGGCCTCCTGGGGCCAGACAATAAGAAGATGAAGCCTCTTCCAACAGCCACGTGGGATATTCTTGTGACTTGTGAATCCCCAGCCCCATTTGAGCCCTCAGATGATAAAGCCCTGGATGACAACTAGACCGCAATTTTGTGAGTGGCCCTGAGCCAGAAGAACTTTGAGAAACCTTTCCTGGATTCCTGACAACTAGAAACTGTGGAACATGATAAATATTTGTTGATTTGAGTTGCTAAGTTTTAAGTGACTTGTTATGCATCAGTAGATAACTAATACACCTTCACAAGAAAGGATGAATCATTGAATTTTCATTTGCTCTAAATTGATTATAAGATATTAAACATGTCATTTGCTTTTAATATTTAACAAGAATTTTCATGGTTATATAAGATATATTTTATTATCACTAACAATGATCTATTATTTTTACCTTCACTTTGTATGTTCTATTCAAACACAAAAGGAAGATCCAGGCTATGCTAGGGTGATTCTATGATGACACCCCAATAACCACCCTTGGTTACTCACATTACCCCAGTTACTCTGTTGACACTAATGTAAGTGCTGCTGTGAAGGGATTTTGCAGATGTATTCCAGGTCCCCTGTCAGTTGGCTTTAAGATGGGGATTATCCTGCTTGGACGGTCCTAATCAGGTAAGCTCTGAAAAGGACTGGGTTCTTCCTGAGAATAGAGACTCACAGTGTGAGAGGGATTCAGCGTGAGGGGCTTCCTCCACTGTGGGCTTTGAAAATGGTGGGATCATGGGGAAAGAACACTGGTGGCCAATAGGAATTAGAAACCCTCCCCACTGTCTACTCTGATAGCCCGAAGGAAACAGGGACCTTAATCCTACAATTGCCAGAAACCGAATTCTGCCAACAAACTCTACATAAGCTTGGGGGAGAACCCCAATCTTAAGATGAGGATACAGCTTTGCGAAACTCTGAACAAAGAGTCTATCACATTAGGCCTGGATTTCTGATGAAGGAAATGCAGACAAATAAATGAGTGCTCTTTTAAGCCACTAAGTTTGTGGTAATTGGTTATGTACTAATAGAAAATTCATAAACAGATTCAACAGCTAAGCATATGACATTTCCTCCAATGGAATGAATTTATGAACTGATATGCATAGTAGTTGCATAAAACCAAATGTTTCCTAACTTGCTTTGCATTTTTCATTTTGTGATTTTTGTGTGATACAATTTTTAACACAATCATATTTCATTCATTCAAGAAAATTAACTTAGTTGTGCCAGATATGCTTTCATATGCTGCAGACACAACTTTGATCAAAACAACCCAAAGCCCCTGTGCTCATGTGCCTTCCATTCTAGACGCTTCTTGAGAGTGAGATGGAGTCATTGGAGTGTTTTAAGTGAAGAAATGACACAATCTGACTCACATTAGCAGGATTTCTGACCATTGTTGGGAGAACAGTCATGGGCAGCAGGCGAGGGGACACAGCTAGGGCCACAATTCAGTAGTGACAGAGTAGTAGAGACTAAGGGGAGAGGAGGGCCTGATGGGTGACAGGGACAGAGAGAAGGGCTGGAGAAGCAGGAGGTGAGGTAAAGGAACAGAGACAAAGAATTCTAAAGCAATGGAATTCTCAGACTTAAACACAGGGTTTTATAGATTTTTAATCCATTTATCCTCAGAGCCTGGCACAGTGTTACTTGCACCTTGATCTTTAATACATTCTGTGGGGCTGTCTAATAACTAATTGCCTCCTTATGATAAACAGGTTAAAAAAGAATATCAAGTGTCCCAATAAAATATGCACATAGCTTAGATGTGAATAATTCCTAAATATAGGCAGGTGCATGAGATGGCCATTGCGGCTCATGCCTGTAATACTAGCATTTTGGGAGGCTGAGGCAGGAGGATCACTTGAGCTCAGGAGTTCAAGACTAGCCGGAGCAACATAGGGAGACCTCATTTCTACAAATTTTTTTTTAGAAAAATTAGCCAGGAGTGGTGGTACAAGCCTGTGGTGCCAGATACTTGGAGGCTGAAGGAGGAGCATTGATCGCATGAGCCCAGGAGGTCGAGGCTTCAGTGAGTCATGAACGTGCCACAGCACTCCAGCTAGGGCAACAGAGTGATACTCGGTCTAAAAATAACTAACTAACTAAATAAATAAATAATAAATAAAGGCGGTGCATGAGCACTGGTGAAGGGCACTTTGGCTGCATTGAGCACTTGCAAATTTGAGGTGATTAAATTCTGTACAGGCTCCTGGTTGCAATATACGGTAACACATTGTGCTTTGTATTGAGATGTCCTGGACTCGCGCACACAAACTCAGGGCTATAAGATAAAGATAATTTAAAAATACAACAGACCAGAGTCACAGATACACAGTCTGGGAAAGTAAAACTTAACTTTGTGAGTCTAACTGCAATGCGTTTAGACACATTTATATATAATGGGGCCAAAAATCACCTCTTTTACAAATTAGATTCGTGACCATTCAGGGGCTACCAAGATTGTGCTAGCCACTGTACTGCGCTACCCACTGTTACTAAGATTGTGCTACTCCGCTGCGGGACCAGCGGAGATCCTCCACCCAATAAAAGCCCCAGGCGCCTATACCGGATTCCATTTTCAGTTCAGGCCCAAATCCCCGGGGGTTGGTCGAGGCTGAGGCGGGGCTCAGCGGCCTGGGCTGACCGCAGTCGCTGGGAATGGGTCTCACACCCTTCAATGGGTACACAGCTGCGACGTGGACTCGGACTGCAGTCTCCTCAGTGGGTATGAACATACCCTATCACGGCGCCAGTTACCTCGTCCGAAACCAGGAACTGCGCTCTTGGACTGCAGCGGACAAGGCGGCTCAGATGCCCTGGCGGAGGAACAGGCAGAGCTGCTCAAAACCTACCTGCAGGGAAGGTGGGCGGAGTGGCTCAGCAAAGTCCTTAAGAATGGGAAGGAGAGGCTGCAGTGCCCAGGTACCAGTGGCCACGGGGTGCCTCCCTGATCTCCTGCAGATCTCCTTGAGTCACATTCCAAAAGAAGGGAAGGAAAATGGGACCAACGCTAAAATATCCCTCTCCCTCTTGTGAGGAGGAAGAGTCCTCCCGGGTTTTCAGATCCTATACTAGAGAGTGACTGAGGGCCTGCCCTGCACTCTGGGACAGTTAAAGGATGTAGTCTCTGAGGGAAAGGAGGGGAAGACAATCCCTGAAATACTGATCCGCGGTCCCCTTTGTCCCCACAGCAGCCTTGGGCACCAGGAATTTTCCTCTCAGGCCTTGTTCTCTGCCTCACACTCAATGTGTATTTGTGGGTCTGATTCCAGCTTTTTTGACCTTGGCCTCCGCTCAGGTCAGGACCAGAAATCTCTGTTCCGGCCTCAGACACTAAAACTTTCTAAGGAATAGAAGATTGCCCCAGGTGCCTGTGTCTAGACTGGTGTCTGAGTTGCTCCCTTCCCCACTTCAGGTGTCCCGTCAATTTTCAGGATGGTCCCATGAGGTGGAATGTCCCATGAGGAATGCAAAGTGCCTGAATTTTCTGACTCTTCCCCTCAGAACCCCAAAGACTCACATGACCCACCACCCCATCTCTGACCATGAGGCCACCCTGAGGTGCTGGGCTCTGGGCTTCTACCCTGTGGAGATCACACTGACCCAGTAGTGGGATGGACAGGACCAAATGTAGGATGCAGAGGTTGTGGAGACCACACCTGCAGGGTACAGAACCTTCCAGAAGTGGGCAGCTGTGGTGGTGTCTTCTGGAGAGGAGCAGAGATACACATGCCATGTGCAGCACGATGGGCTGCCAGAGCCCCTCACCCTGAGATGGGTAAGGAAGGGGATGAGGGGTCATGTCTCTTCTCACGGGAACTAGGAGCCCTTCTGGAGCCCTTCAGCAAGGTCAGGGTTTGAGGCCTGATGGTCAGGGCCCCTCACGTTCCCCTCCTTTCTTACAGCTGTCTTCCCAGCCCACCATCCCCATCATGGGCATCGTTACTGTCCTGGTTGTTCTTGGTGCTGTTTTCACCAGAGCTGTGGTCACTGCTGTGATGTGAAGAATAAGAGCCCAGGTAGGAAAGGGGTGAGCTCCGAGTTTTCTTCTTCCATTGGTGGATTCCCAGCCCCAGATGGGAGTTGGCTTGTATCCTGCCTAGTCATGAGGCACCATCTCTGTCTATCAACACTTACTCTTTTGTAAAGAACTTGTGAAAATGAAGGACAAATTTATCACCTTCATTGGAGTCATGGGAACCTGACTCCCAGCAGTCACAGGTCAGGGGAAGGTACCCGCAGAGGACAGACCTCACTAGGACAATTAGTCCAGTTTCAACACATCCTCTTACCTAGGGTTTCCTGATTCTGACCTGGGTCTGCAGTCACAGTTCTGGACACTCCTCTGGGATCTCATGACCCTGCTTCCTCCCTGGCCTTTCACAGTTTATTTTCTTTCCACAGATGGAAAAGGAGGCAGCTATGCTCAGGCTTCATGCAAGTGTGGTAGGGGTGGGAAGAGTGATCCCTGAGATCCTTGGGATAGTGTAGACAGGAGCCCATGGGGGAGCTCACCACCCCAAAATTCCTCCTTTAGTCACATCATCTGTGGGCTCTGACCAGATTTTGTTTTTGTTCCACCCGAAACAGGGACAGTACCCAGGGCTCTGATGTGTCTCTCAAGGCTTGTAAAATGACAACTTAGGGGGCCTGAAGGGAAGGAGGAGTTGGGGCATAGGGGACACAACTAGGCTCTGGAGATTCTTTGATTTGGAATTTTTCAGGGTGTGGTGGGCTGTTCAGTGTCACAACTTACTATGACTGATCTGAATTTGTTCATGACTATTTTTTTTCTAAGACTGCCTTGTGAGGGACTGAGATGCAAGATTTGTTCATGCCTCCCCTTTGTGACTTCAAGGGCCTCTGTCTTCTCTTTCTGCCAAGGTGTCTGAATGTGTCTACATCCCTGGTATCATGTGAGAAGTGGGGAGACCAGCCCACCCTCATGTCCACCATGACCCCTGATATTGTTTGGATCTGTGTCTCCACCCAAATCTCATGTTCACTTGTAATCACTAAGGTTGGAGGTGGCACCTCAGGGAGGTGATTGGCTCATGAGGATGGATCCTTCATGAATAGTTTAGGACCATCTCTTTGGTGCTGTTCTTGTGATAGTTCTCACAACGTCTGGTGTTTAAAAGTGTGTGGTACCTCCCTGCTCTCTCTCCCTCCTACTCCAGGCTTGTAAGTCATGCCTACTTCCCCTTAACCTTCCAGCATGATTGAAAATTTCCTGAGGTCCTCTCATAAGTTGAGCAGATGCCAGAATCATACTTTCATATAGCCTGCAGAACCATGAGCCAATTTAAACCTTCTGTCTTTATAAATTACCCAGTCTCAGGTATTTCTTTATAACAGTTGAGAATGAATAATTCAGAAAATCGGTACCAGAAGTTGGGTACTGCAATAAACGTAGCTGAAAATGTGAAAATGTCTTTGGAACTGGGTAACAGGTAGAGGTTGGAAGAGTTTGGAGAGTTTAGAAGACAAGAAAATGGGGGAAAACTTGCAACTTCCTAGAGGTTTGTTAAATTGTTGTGACCAAAATGCTGATAGTGATATAGACAATAGAGCCCAGGCTGATGAGGTCTCAGATGGAGATGAGGAACTTACTGGGACCTAGAGAAAAGGTCACTTTTGTTATGCATTGGCAAAGAACTTGGAGGCATTCTGCCCCCTCCTTAGGGATCTGTGGAACTTTGAACATGAGGGTGATGATTAAGGGTATCTGATAGAAGAAATTTCTAAGCAGCATAGCATTCAAGATTTGGCTTCCTGTTGTAATAGTCTATGCACATATGTGTGAGCAAAAAAATGATCTGCAACTGGAACTGATATTTAAAGGGGAAATTTAATATCCAGGACAATTCCCAGTGGAGCTGCAGGAGCAGGACCCCTATCAGGACTACTAAATGGTGGAGCCACTGGCAATGTGCAAGCTCAGCTTGGAAAATCCATAGGTATTCAATTTTCACCCATGAGAGCAGCTATATGGGTTATGTTCAGCAAACCCAAGGATGTGGGGCTGCAAATGGCATTGTGAGCCCACCACTTGAACCAGTGTGCTCAGGATTCAAGATATAGGGTCAAAGGAGATTATTTTAGAGCTTTAAATTTTAACATCTTCCATGATGAGTTTCAGCTTTGTGAGGACACTGCATTCATTTCTTTTGGCCCATTTATTCCTTTTAGAATGGAAATGTATAAGAAATGTCTCTTCCACTCTTGTATTAATATTTTAGAAGTAAATAACCTTTTTAAAACTTTACAGGCTCACAGCTATAGGGACTTACCTTGAGTCTCAGATGAGACTTTGGAATTTTGAGTTGATGCTGGAACAACCTAGCACATTTGGGACAATTGGGAAATTATCATATTTTGCAATGGGAGAAAAACATGAGCTCTGGCTGGCTAGGGACAGAATGTAATGATATAAATATTTACCCCCTGATACCTCATGTTAAAATCTGACCCCCAGTGTTGGACGTGGGGCCTAATGGGTGCTGTTTGGGTCATGGGGGCCAATCTTTTATGAATAAAGAGATCCTGTCCTCTCTCGCAAGTGAATGAATTGTTACTCTTTTAGTTTCCAAGAGAGCCAGTTGTTAAAAAGAGCCTGGCAACTTCCTAAGCTCTCTGTTCCTCTCTTACCGTGTGATCTCTGCACATACCAGCTCCCCTTTGCCTTCTGCCATGAGTGGGAGCAGCCTGAGGCCCTCACCAAATGCTCAAACATTTCCAGACATCAGAATCCCAAGCCACATGAACCTTGTTTATATAAATTAGTCAGTCTCTGACATTTCTTTATAGCAACACAAAATGGAATAAGACAGCGCTCTCATCACAGGTATGTGTCTCTGGCAGTCAGCCCCCATTCTCAAGATATCCAGGGTCCGCTCAGCCATGAGTCCTCTCATCAATATTCTAACTCTTATCACTCAAGAGATTCTAAGGTTTTTAGGAGAAACCAGGGACAAAGACTAAATGTTTTTGTTATACCTCAGATTACCCGCTTTTCTTTGACCACATATCTTTTATAGGAAAAGGATTATAAAAGTAAAGAGGTATTGGCGTATTATCAGAGTCTCATTCAGTCATTCAAAATTAGAACAGTTCACCATCCTCTCGTATGAATATGTCTCCCAGAATGAAGTCACTCAGGTTTGCAGACACCACTCAACCTTACCAGGCTCCAAAAACAAGAATGGTCTCAAGGACATATGGCTTCACTCTTTTAGGCACCCAGTATAATTGACCTAAGAGACAATATCTTCTCTTGCTCACAGCACTTTTGAGGAGTTAAGCTAATATTGAATTTTCCTCATTATATAACCCTTTGATTTAGTCACTTACCCTCAGCCATTATTCCTCCTTCTGTCCCTTTATATCAGTCTTTTCCAGTTTTAGAGGTGACATCAGGTTTGTCTGCTGTGCTGACCTAGACTGCAGGCAGCAATAGTATTCTAGCATGCCTTCCCTCGGTCTACTCTTGGTCATAGAGGGTAGGTTATGTAGGTAAGGAACTAGTGGGGGCCATCTGACCACCAGGCTATATAGCTCTATTTACTGTTAATCCTGACTTTGCCAGATGAAATGAAGGCATAGCACCATCTTTGAGTTGCTTGGGAATTCTTATATAAAGATGTAAATATATAGTTATGGTTTTTGGCTTAAAGATAATTCCTGTTTCTGGCACTTTGATTTTCATCCCTATTCCTGGTACCACTGCATCACATATGAAAAAAGAAATTTGAGGTGAAGCGTAGTCATTATTCCAGCATCCTCTCCCCTTCAGAAGAATTGTATGTATAGTCATAACAGCATCGTCCTGATCCATCAGGTAAAAGAGAGGAAGCTATCTAGAGGAGTCACTCTTGCAGCCCCACCCATGTGGACAGTGAGCACATTCATGAAGATGTAAAAGCCAGTCCTTCATGTTTATATTGCCCAACAACTATATTGCCAGTTTTTAGACAAACAATGCTTCAACTGACCATTTCAATTTTCTATCAAAGTTTTCTTCTGAGGAGGACATCTCCCTGTGCATTGTTAGCCATTTGAGGCTGTAAAGTGTGTTTTCTTGCGTAAAGAAATGGGACTCAGCAGTCCACATTGGTGCAATCTCTTTTTTTCTGGTGATTTCATAGCCCTTGAAGCATTGACCTCTTCCCCTGGTTGAGCATAGCCCAATCCAGAGTCAGTGACTTTCCTGTCAAGATCCCTTGGCAGCTCCTTTGGGGTTGCTGCCATCAGTCTGGCTTGCCAGCCATGTATGATCAAAGCCTTCCCACTAGAGAATCACATAGCCATCTGCTGCCTCTGTCTGTTTTCTTGACCAACAGTCAAAACAGAGATGATAAGAAATGAGATAAATTACCAAAATTGTGAACAAAAGAGAGATTATCACTAGTGACCCTTTAGAAATTCAAAAGCATTATAAGTGAAGACTCTGAAAAACCTGAAGTCAATAAGTTAGACCACTTAGATAAAATGGACAGATTCATACAAAGATAGAAATTGCCAAAACTGACTCAAAAATAACTAGAAAACCTGAAATAAGGAAAAACAAAAAATAATAATGTATTGCTTGCTGTTTTATCTGGCCTAAAAAGCCCATTTGTCAGCCTTCAGTCCTTTGGCCTAAGTTTAGCTCAAATAAGGACTGTATATGCCAAGCTTTAATTCTCTATGTGAATGATAAAACCCCATCTTCACAAGAGGAGATGGGTTATGCTGTTTGTTGGATTAGTGAATTAAGCCCCGTGTTCCCCCTTAAAGAGAAATAAAAAGAGCATAGTAAAGAGCCCTCACCCAGTGAAAAGCCCTGGGATCCCCTAACACGCTTGCCCTACACCCTATACATCTCACAAAGTAGAGGACAGGGAGATCAGGGGGCAAAAGGAAGGTCAGAGGAAAAGGATTTGGGAGGTCATGAAGGAGCTAAACCCAATGCTCCCTTAAATCCTTATCCAAACTTGAGGAAAGAATTAGAACAATGTAAGGAAGGACAAACCTGATAAAAACAAGCAATGGGGAAAGGATTCCCGATTTAATAAATGGTGTTGGGAAAACTGGCTAGCCATATGCAGAAAACTGAAACTGGACCCCCTCCTTACACCTTATACAAAAATCAACTCAAGATGGATTAAAGACTTAAACATAAGACCTAAAACTGTAAAAACCCTAGAAGAAAACCTAGGCAATACCATTCAGGACCTAGGCATGGGCGAAGACTTCATGACTAAAACACAAAAAGCAATGGCAACGAAAGCCAGAATTGACTAATGGGATCTAATTAAACTCAAGAGCTTCTGCACAGCAAAAGAAACTATCATCAGAGTGAACAGGCCACCTATGGAATGGGAGAAAATTTTTGCAATCTGTCCATCTGACAAAGGGCTAATATCCAGAATCTACAAAGAACTTAATTTACATGAAAAAAACAAACAACTCCATCAAAAAGTGGGCGACGGATATGAAAAGACACTTCTCAAAAGAAGACATTTATGTAGTCAACAAACATATGAAAAAAGGCCCATAGTCACTTATCATTAGAGAAATGCAAATCAAAACCACAATGAGATACCATCTCACACCAATTAGAATGGCGATCATTAAAAAGTCAGGAAACAACAGATGCTGGAGAGGATGTGGAGAAATAGGAATGCTTTTACACTGTGGGTCGGAGTGTAAATTAGTTCAACCATCATGGAAGATAATGTGGCAATTCCTCAAGGATCTAGAACCAGAAATACCATTTGACCCAGCAATCCCACAATCCCACTACTGGATATATACCCAAAGGATTATAAACATTTTACTATAAAGATACATACACACATATGTTTATTGCGGCACTGTTCACAATAGCAAAGACTTGGAACCAATCCAAATGCCCATCAATGATAGACTGAATAAAGAAAATGTGGCACATATACACCATGGAATACTATGCAGCCATAAAAAGGATGAGTTCATGTCCTTTGCAGGGACATGGATGAAGCTGGAAACCATCATTCTCAGGAAACCATCAGCTACGTGTTCTCTGGGTCTCTCAGAGAAAGACCCACAAGAACAGAAAACCAAACACTGCATGTTCTCACTCAAATGGGAGTTGAACAATGAGAACACATGGACACAGGGAGGGGAACATCACACACTGGGGCCTGTCTGAGGGTAGGGGGCTAGGGGAGGGATAGCATTAGGAGAAATACCTAATGTAGATGATGAGTTGATGGGTGCAGCAAACCACCATGGCACATGTATACCTATGTAACAAACCTGCATGTTCTGCACGTGTATCCCAGAGTTTAAAGTATAATAATGATAATAATAATAAATTGGATTTGTAAGTGTGCCTTTAACAAGTACTGAGGTTAGGAATTTTAAAAAGGAAATGAGGCCACTCTCGGAAGATCCCCTCAGTTTAGCAGAACAGCTAGATCAATTTTTAGAACCTAATTTTTATACTTGGGCTGAGATAATTCAATCATGAATATTCTGTTTACTGGGAAAAAGATGGGAATAATTAGAAGGGCAGCCATAATCATTTGGGAGAGACAGCAGCATCCTCCTGGGTAAGGAGTCCTGCCAGCTAAGCAGAAATTCCCAAATGCAGATCCTGGATGGGATAATAATGACCCCAGGGATCGGGTCCAAATGCAAGACCATAGGGAGCTAATAATTAGAGGGATTATGCAGTCCACTCATAGGACACAAAACATCCCCAAAGCATTCAAGATCCAACAACAAGAAGAGGAGACTCCCTCTGCATTTCTGCAGAGGCTCAGGGATCAAGTGAAAAAATATTCAGGATTAAATCCAGAGGACCCAGTAGGGCAAGGCCTTTTAAAGGTTAATTTTGTAACTAAAAGCTGATGTAATATTACTAAGAAACTGCAAAAGATTAACGGATGGAATAAAAAACCAATTAAGGAAATACTGAGGGAAGCTCAGAAAGTTTGTGTGTGTGTGTGAGAGAAAGAGAGAGAGAGAGAGTTAAGCTGCTATACCTGAAGGAAGAGAGAGCCAGCGGCACAGCTGTGTGTGGCAGCTGGCTTCTAAAAGCTGTTGATAAAGGTTACTGCTGAGTCATTTCTGCAGAGCTGCCTGTTTTTGCAGACAGACAAGGGGAGCCAGGGCACAGCACGGCTCGGCTCATGCCCAGAGAAAGAGGAAGAAGCTGAGTGTGAGACAGAAAGGAAATGGGATGACAGAGAGAGAATAGAAGAGGAAAATTAGCAAGAGAGACTAAAAGAGACAGAGATCAAAGAGAAACACAGAAGGTAAAACTGGGGAGACAAATAATGTAAAAGGAAAAAAGAGTACAAGACAAAGTGAGAGAATGCTGAGAGGTTGGCAGGGCTGGGGGAAGTTTCTGGGGACTTAAGCAACAAGGAGGTGCAGGGGAAGGGTGCATGCAGTGCGTGGCCACTGAGGAACGACAAAACCCGGGAACTGGGGGATGGATGCAAGTGAGAAAGGGATGTGGAGGAGAGTTTAGGATCAGGCTGCTTGAGGTGTAATGGGTTGCCTACAGCAAAAACTAGATGGCTGTTTATCAGGAGGTGGTCAAAAGGATTCAAGTTATGGAAGAGTAAATGAATAAGATAACATTAAGGTTTTGTTGTTTTAGTGAGAGGCTGGAAGGCCACCAGGGGCAGTTAGCTGTCAGTAAGGCAGCAGAAGGGCTGGGGTCGCTACATAAGGAAAATCAGTACTAGGGTTGTAAACTCAAATGACTACAGGGCCAGCAAATAATAAAAAGGAGGGCTGCAGGGCTGGGTGGGAACTGTGGCGGCTGCTCAGCTCTTCTTACAGTGCTGGCACTGTGTTGCCAGATTGTCTGCTTTGTCAGAGGACAAAATTCTGACTTTTTATGTAAAATATAATTTTAAAATGCTGATATTCTGTTCAAATAACTTAAAAACCCAAAACAGGCAAAAGAGGATGCCAGTTTGCAATCCCTGAAGTAGAGAGAGCTCGTGCTGGGGAAAAGTCTGCCAAAATGCTTTAAGGTGGAATGTGTAAAAGTTCTGTTTCCCAGAGTCGGGCTGGGCCAGGGGAGGATCCTTGCAGCCCAGGAGGAGGAAAAGCCACTAAGTCCCCTCCCAGGGCTGGACAAACTGGAGACCCTTTACAGTTGCTGGGTCACCAGTGGGGGTTGCATGAAACACAAACAGTGCACCTCTAGGCCTGCCACGGAGAGGAACGGTGCCTTTGAAGCACAAAAAAAAAAAGAAACAGGAACGGAGGGCGGAGCCAGAAATGCCTTTTCTAATGAGAGTACCCATCAGGGAAGGCTCCACAGGCTGGCAGATCTTCAAACCAGCAGCTCTTGGCCCAAAGCCAAACCCAGCAGGGCCCGGCCAAGGGCACTCTGGGATGCCAGCTGGTCAGTCCCTTGCCTCCCCAAGTTCCTCCTGGGGTCAATGGGCCCTCGGGAGGTGACTAAACTAACACCAGCCAGTTTCTTATGAAAAGGAGAGGAGAATAAGAAGGCGTCAGAGTATAACTGTTTAGATATCACAGAGTATCAAACTAAAGTTAGTACCAAACCTTAAAGGAACTCTACTACATAATGGGATGAGGTTGTTTATGAATGGGTCATCCTGAGTAATAAATGGTAAAAGACACAATGGCTGTGCTGTCATGAACAAAAACAAACAATCCTTATGTGAAAAAGTTAAATTACTCAATAACTGGTCAGCCCAAACCTGTAAATTTTATGCTTTTAACCAGACCCTAAAGCTCCTAGAAGATCAAGAAGACACTATATATACTAATTCCAAATATGCCTATAAAGTAGTACACACCTTTGAAAAAATCTGGACAGAGCAGGGCCTAGAAAATAGCAGGGCAAAATAATTGGTACATGGGGAACAAGTTTTAGAAAGCCTCCTGTTTCCAGCAGAGACAGCCATAGTTCATGTAAATGGCCATCAGAAAAGAAACACTATAGAAGCTGTAGGGAACAGGCTTGTGGATAAGGCTGCTAAGCAAGTCTCCCTGGAGGAAAAATTTAAACTGTTTAGCCCAGATATCCCTAAGGTGATATTAAAACCCCAATTTTCAAAAGAGGAGGAAAAGCTAGGCAAGATAGGAGCCACTTAAACTAAGAATGGAAGGTGAGTGCTCCCTGATGGGAGAGAAATAATAAACAAACCCATAATAAAAAATCTAATGTTGGCCGGATGCGGTGGCTCATGCCTGTAATCCCAGCACTTTGGGAGGCAGAGGCGGGTGGATCACAAGGTCAGGAGATCAAAACCATCCTGGCTAACACAGTGAAACCCCATCTCTATTAAAAATACAAAAAACTAGCCGGGGCGTGGTGGTGGGTGCCTGTAGTTCCAGCTACTCGGGAGGCTGAGGCAGGAGAATGGCATGAACCTGAGAGGTGGAGCTTGCAGTGAGCCGAGATCGTGCCACTGCACTCCAGCCTGGGTGACAGAGCGAGATTCTGTCTAAAAAAAGAAAAAAAAAATCTAATGTCTATATTGCATAAGGGAAGTCATTGGGGTCCCCAGGACATGTGTGATGAAATACTAAAGAATTATGGGTGTATAGAAATGTATGCCCTGGCTAAACAAGTGTGTGGGAATTGTGTGAACTCCCAGGAAACAACTTAAGGTTAAAAGAACTTGTAACACAAACCCTACCCCTTGAGTTCACAGTTCACCACTTCCAGCCTGGCAACTCAGTGCTAATTAAGACTTGGAAAGAAGACAAGCTCCACCCAAGCTGGGAAGGTCCCTATCAAGTGAGGCAGCTGTACAAACAGCTGATCAGGGGTGGACACATTACACTCGGGTCAAGAAACTGGTTAAAAAAAAAAACGGAAGGTAAATTGGAAGTGTATAGATCACCTAAGAAACCCTTTAAGCTAATTCTAAGGAAAACCTAAAAGTAAGCCATAAGCAGGCTCCATCACTGGGGGCTGATATGGTTAGAATTAATCCTAACACAAGGGGTGAAAGGAAACCTAAGTATTGTATAAGAACCACACGCCACCTAACTGTAAAAATTTAAAGTGCAATCCTATATTAATTACTATAAACAACCCAGCTACTCTAAACCAGAAACCTTGAAGGTATAAATTAAAAATAAATATCTCAGAAAGGAATCCCGTGGGACGGTTAGCTTTTAGGTTAGTCACCAACTCTACCCCAAGCCCACCCAGAATTACTAGAACTCCTGGTCCCATTAACTTCCTTTAACCCACCAAACAATAAACCTAAGAGAGTAAAAATAATTAAAGTAACTGACTTAAGGCAGACTTTAAAAATTAAAACAGGATATAGAGACATAAATGCCTGTGTTAAATGGGTGAAATTTTCAGCACAAGCCCTCGATAAAAGTAACTGTTATGCATGTGCTGCTGGTCAACCTCAGGCACAGGTGGTTCCATTTCCCCTTGGATGGGATACTAATCCCAAAGGAATGTGTTGCGTGTTGGCTGTATACCAAGACAAGGTTGCATGGGGAAATAAGACTTGTAAAAGTCTGTCATTGCTCTTTCCCACTTTGCAGAGATCAGATCCTAAAGCAATCCCCTCATTCTCTATAGGGAATATAAATCACTCCTGTTGTCACTCTAGACAGAAGGTGAGGTTCGATAAACCTGTGGGAAAACTCGCAACCTGCACCCACATCCTAAATGTCACTGGTAACCCAGACTGTGGCAACCATTCAACTCTCCATATACCCCAGGCAAATGTCTGGTGGTATTTCGGGAAAGGGAACCTCCGTAACTTGTTACCGTCCAATTGGACCGGGACTTGTGCTTTAGTACAATTGGCCATTCCGTTCACCCTGTCATTCCATGAAACAGCTAAAAATACACATGGTCATAGAGATCAGAGTAATTTAGCAATTTATTTTAACCCATATATAATGTGTGTGTGTATATATATATATACACACACACACACACACAAACATATACATATACATATATATACACACACATATATATATACACACACACACACATATATATATATACACACACACATACACACAAGGCTTCTGGAACAGTGGATGAAAGCTTTGTATATCTATCTATCCATCTATCTATCTATTTATCTATCTAAACTCCATAGGAGTACCTAGAGGAGTGCCTAATAAATTTAAAGCACGAAACCAAATACCTGCTAGATTTGAGTCAGCACTTTTCTGGTGGTCAACTATTAACAAGAATGTAAATTAGATTAATTACATGTCTTATAATCAGCAAAGATTCATCAATTACACGCAAAATGCCCTTAAGGGAGTAGCCAGACAACTAAATGCCACTAGCTAAATGGCTTGGGAAAACAGAATTACACTGGACATAATATTAGCAGAGAAAGGTGATATATGTGATATGCTGGGTGGAAAATGTGACACTTCCATTCACAACAATGCTGCCCCAAATGGAACCATCATAAAGGGATGGCAGGGACTAACAACTCTAGTCAACGAGCTGGCAGAAAACACAGGAGTAAATGACCTTTTTACTAACTGGTTAGAAGGTTGGTTTGAAAAATGGAAAGGAATGGTACCTTCAATTCTTACATCTCTCGTGATTATGGCTGGGGTCTTAACAGCCGTAGGATGTTGTATCATACCTTGTGTGAAGGGTTTATTTAACACAAAGGTTAATTAAAGCAGCTATTAGTAAACAAATGCCCCTAATGTCCCAACAGAATGACTTACTATTATTAAAAGCCAAACTAAACTTCTCCTCCTATAATGAAGAAAGTAAAAAACTTCCAGAACAGTTAATAAACAAAGATATGTAAGTGAAAATAAGACCAAAAAGGGTAAAAAGAAAAAGAGGAGGTAAGTGTAAAAAATAACCTACATGTGAAGAAGGTTCATTTTCATAAGTGCCTTAGAATATGTTTAAGCAGGCCACATGGAAACAAAGAGATAAAGAAGCAAAATATACTAAGCCACAATCCCCTCCTTCCTGCTTTCCCTTTGACCCAGTGTCCAGGAGCCTACTGGTCAGGGCCCCCTCAATGACCCCCCTCCCCACCTCACCAAAGAATTTAGTTTGGGCTAGCTTGCCATCACCTAAGTGCAGTCACTAGGGCCGTAAGTCAAATGCTCAGAGTCTTGAGACAGTCGCCATGCATTATGGGTGGCTGCAACAAAATGCAGCAAAAAATGCAGCAAAAAGACCCTAAAGAACATACCTGAAGTCTTAATACAACTACCAATAGGTGATGCCCAGGAAGACTATAACCCCGTAGTACTCAGCTAATGAGGAATTGGGGAAGGGACTTGCACACTAGGGAAGAAATAGTTTGTTGAAACTGTCCCAGGTGTACCTGCACTCCAGACACCTGATCTTGCAAGACTGTCATTAAAAGTCTCTCTTTCGCTGTTCTCTGGGTCTCTGAGTCTATTCTTTGGGTTTGAATGGGTGAGTTTCTTTCTCACAGGGATGTAGATGGCAACGTGGCTCTCATTCCCCTCCCAAATACCCCAACTTTCATCGCCTGTTCCAGAAGCCTTGTCACCTACAAGCCTATCTGCACAGAAGGTATGAGGGGACCCTACAGCCCAGACAGGGACCCTCCCATCTCTAGCAACTGTCCCCTTTTCTCACCTGGACCCTCTGCACCTGATGTTGTCTTCTTCTTGCATCAAAGGACACAGAGAATAATAATACTACTAATAATACTAATGATGATGAAAGCAGCAACAGCAGCAACATATGGAATGGCTGGTCATCAACTCTGAAGCACCAGGGCCATCCCTGAAAAAAAGGGCCTATTACACACTGGGCACCCACAGCCACAGCCGTTCCTGCTGCCCCCACCCTGGCCTGATCCTCCTTATGTTGGAACCCTCAAGGGTGGTCCCAGGTTCACTAGAGGACACAGGGTGAGTGCTGTGATTCCTGCTGTATCCCATGGAGCAGATGACCCTCTGCTCCTCTCCTTGGGGAATCCTGCAGGCCACCTCTGTGTGGTAGGTCCCATCCCATTGGACAGAACACCCCAAGACTGCTGGGCATCCTGGCTCAAAGACGCCCCATCCTGTCACCAGGTCAGAGAGATATTCTGGAGATACAAGCCAGAGCCCAGCATATCAGGGTGATGTTGCCCTCCAGGGCCTCACTGCAGGCCACACTCATGGTGGAGGAGTGGGGGACTGGAGAAGAAAGGGCAGAGACAATGAGGCACATGGCCAAACCCTGCTCCCCTCTAATGGAGATGCAGGGAATAGGGCTGGTCCGCTCCACTGCTCCGACTCTGGCAGAAGTCCTCACGGACCCCAGACCTTCTGCAAGTCTGTCCTCACCCTGGGGACCAATTCCTCAAGGCTGGCAGAAGGATGGGCCTCGAGACTGTGTCTTTATGCTCTGGGATCCCTGCATTGATGCTGAGGAGGGGAATGTCAGGGGTGGGCTCCTGGTACATGGGGCCAGAGGGAACTCTTAGGGATGGGCAGGCTGGGAAGCAGATGGGGCAGCCTTGGCCCTGGGGGCTTCCTCTCCTGCCTGACACCCACCCAGGTTCAGGCTTCTGTCAAAGGGCCCACTGCTTCCCCAGATTGTGACACTGGACCCTTCAATCCCTGACCCACTGTCTTTTTCCAGTGGCTCTAACAGGAGAGAAAAATCAGGATATAACACACCAACAGAAAACACATGCATCCATAGCACAAGGAGGGTTTCCCTGGACAGAGTTGGGGGTCGGGGTGACTCTAGTGGAATAGGGGAGAGGAAAGCCCCTACCCAGGCCCAGTACCTGCTCTCCTGACACCCACACAGGATTCCAGATACTGCTGTAGTTTCTGCCTGCAGTCTACCCATATAGGGTGAGAGTGTGTCTCGGCCGGCATAGCATCTTCCTTCTAGAAATTTGTGATGTTCATAGCAAAGGTCTGAGTTCTGGAGGACTGGGATACTGTCCATTCCTGAGTCTCCAGGTTGAGAGAGAGGAAGAGCTACCCATAAGAGTAGGAATGCCTAGAGCCCCTGGTGCTGCTGGCTTCCTGATCTCACAACCCCTAATCTCCTGGAGGGAATGCAAGGCTACCCCCACCCAGCAGTTCCAAGTGAGGAACTCAGACCAGAGGAGACCCCTCCCTGGCCCTCCTCCATGCCTTTCTGTGTGGGCTGAGTGCCAGGTTACCTCCCCACCGAGCTCTGCTGACCCCTATTCCTCACCCCTGCCCCCAGCCAGATCCAGTGGGGACAGACAGGTCCCTGCTCTCTGCCCCCAGCTCTCCTGGAAAAGGTCTCCCATCACTCTTGCCTGCTGCCACCTCTCACCTCCCTTCTGTCCCTTGATATATGCCAGGGCCCTTCTGAGGTCCTGCCCATTCTCTGTCAAGTCCTCAGTCTCTGTGTCCCAGGTCTCAGCTCCCAGAACTGCTTCTGCCCACTGTCCCCGGGACCCAGCCCTGCCTTTCTGCCTGTTGAAGAGCAGGAAGGGCTGACCATCCAGATGTCCCTCAGCAAGAAACCCTGACTGCACAGATCCATCCCGGGACAGCACCGTGAGGTTGTAATGAAGACTGTGGGGCCCTGGGGAACAAGAAACCACGGATGAAACTTCTTCCTGGAAGTAACTTCACATTGATGTTTAACACACAGGTCTGCTGTCTCAACCTTTCTGAGGAGGCAGGAAATGTACATATGCAAAGGGACAAGAATGAGGATTTCAGATACAAGGAAAACTGGGAGGGCAGGAGGATGGAGGAGCAGACTGAGGAACAGAAGAAGGGGGAATGGAGATGGCAAACATGTAGGCCAGCTGCCAAGGCAGGGTGGCTACAGGCCACCTAAGGGTATAGGGAGGAGGCCAAGGAGAGAGGCTGCCCTGCAGTGGTGAGGGAGGAGCACGAAGGCAGTGGTGGAAGGAAGGTCTTGCCAGAGGGGAGGGTGGAAATGGGAAGGGACCCAGGCTCAGAGGGACCCATGACCAGCATGGCTGTGCTACACAGGTGAGGGTGAGATGGAGTCGCGGGCCGCTGCCTTTGAGGAAGGCTCATCATGTACAAGATGGGAGTAAGGGAGGATCAGTGCATCTTTTCCAGAAACAGTGCCAGGAAAACGACATTCACATGCAAAAAGAAATGAAGTTGGACTCCTGACTTACACCACATATACAAGTTAACTCTAAATAAATCAAAGACCTACACTCAGGAACTAAAACTGAAAAATTCTTAGAATGAAACATTGGGAATAATCTTCATGACATAGGTTTTGACAACACTTTTATGGATATAACACCAAAGCACAGACAACAAAGAAAAAATTGATAAGTTGGACCCATCAAAATAAAAAAAATTGAGCATTAAAAAACACAATCTGCAGAGTGAAAAAGCAACCATTAGAATGGAAGAAAATATTTGCAAATCATTTATCTAATAAAAGATTAATATCCAGAATACATAAAGAATTCCTGTAACACAAACATAAGACTCAAAAAAACTATGTAGGCAAAGAATTTGAATAGCCAATTCTCCGAAGAAGACATACAAATGGCCAATAGACACATGAAAAGATGCTCAACATCTGTAGTTATTAGGGAAATGCAAATCAAAACTGCAATGGGCTACTACTTCACACCAATTAGGATGGCTATAATCAAATACACACACACACACACACGCACACAGAGAGAGAGAGAGAGAGAGAGAAAGCAAGTTTGGCAAAGAGGTAGAGAAACTGGAACATTTGTGTAGTACATTGGGAAAGACAAAGTGGGGCACCTGCTATGGAAATCAGTGTGTTGCTTCCTCCAAAAACTAAAAAATTAATTACTATGTAATCCAGAAATTCTACATCTGGGTATTTACCCAAAAGAAATGAAAGCAGGAACATTAAAAAGATATTTGAACACTCATGTTCATAGCAGCATAATTCCCAATAGCCAAATTCATAGAGACAGAAAGTAGAACCAGTGGTTCCAGCGGCCAGGGGGAAGGAGGAATGGGGAGCTACTGTTTAGTAGGCACAGAGTTTCAGGATGCACAAAAATGTGAATGTACTTAATGCCACTGAACTGTACACTTTTAAATGGTGAAAATAGTGAACTTTATATGTATATTTTACAACAATTAACAAAAAAGAAATTGTCACAGCGTACCAAACAATAATATAGAATTAGAAAGAGGCTGGGGTCCTGGTCAGAGAGAAAAAAACCAAGGCCTGAGGAAGGGCCTTCAGAGAGGAGTGGTGCTGAAGGCGGAGCAGTCACACTCCAAAAGAGGGCTCAGGTTAGAAAACCCTCACAGGAGGAAGGTGGTGCTGGGAGAAGGCCCAGAGGAGGGGATGACCACAGCCCACTATGTGGTAAGTGAAGATTTTGGATATGAAGTCTAGGAACTGACAGCCCACCGGGGTCAAGGAACCGAAAGAGGATGAGGGTCAAGGAGCCGTTGGACTAGAGCCTGTTTTGGGTCTGGGTGGGGGTGAGGAGATGGGCAGGGCAAGGACTAAAGGGTGGCATGAGAAGGAAGGGGGGGTGACCCTGGGAGAACTTGGGGTAAAGTGAGAACAGGAAGGGAGGGGTTGTCTGGGGGAGGGTGGGGTTTGGGGAAGGTGAGAACTTGCTGAGGGCCGAAGGCAGCTGGTCAAGAGGTGGGAACAGCATAAGGTCCCAAGGCAGAGAGGGGCAGAGGGACCAGGGAGGGATGGTCCAGCACCTGAGGGTTTCAGGGTGGGGTCCTGAAGAGGGTGAGGCTGAGGATGAAGGAGTGGGGAACGGATCACCTGAGGCAGGGCCCAGAGCAGGCATCTGCACTGGAGGGGAGGGGGCAACTGCGCTGCCCTGCGCCCTGCCTAAGGCCCAACTTTCATTAGCACCAGGGCTCCCCTTAAGTGGCCTGGAGGGGAGTGGGATGGAGGGAAGACTCCCCCGACAAAAGGCAGCACCAGAAAGTTAGGGTCAGGGACAGCTGGGAATGGAGAGGCATAGGGGCAGCACTGGGTGAAGGCTGCTTGTAGAAAAGGCCCATAAGGGAGGCAGGAGGGACGGGAGCAGGGGATGAGGGCAGAGGACACCCTACAAATGGATCAGAGAACTGCAGATAGAAAGGGGTAGCAGGGAGCAGGGAGGGCAACAGGACCCAGGGGGCCATGAGAAAGGAAGCTGAGGAAGTAGGAGGGAACTTGGTGTCCTTAGATCATTGGAGCCCACAGTAGCTGGGAGGGTTGACAGAGAGGAAAGAACCCTGGGAACGGGAGGCGAAGGGATAATGAGCTGGGGATGGGAGCAGTCGCAGGAAGAATCCTCTGCCTGGAGCCGCCAGACTCCAACCCCTCAGCTTGAGAGTCAGGAGCCCCATAGTCCCCACAGCAATAGGAAGCACCAGCTCCTGGTCCCGAAAAAAGGAGGGCCCCAACTCCAGGGACTGCGGCCCGCCCTGGAGCTGAGAACACGCGGACTCCAGGGAGAGGACAGGGCTTCAGGGACCCGAGAGCCGCTCTGAGCACCGGGGGATGTGACTGCCTCAGCGGCAGAGCTGGAAGGGCCCTCGAATGCCATTCACAGGAACAGCCCAGGAACCCAGGGACTTCAGAAGGGCTGGTTTGTCCGAAAAGTGAGAGGAGGCGGAGGAGAGGTGAGGAGAGCAAGTGCAAGAAGAGACCAGAAAGTGCAGGGGGCGGGTGATGCGCGATCCCGAGGAGGACTGAAAAGAGACTGAAAAGCAGGGCTGAGGAGTGGCGGCAACCGGCAGCGTCCAGCTCCCGCACCTCGCTGCACATCGCACCTGAGCCCCGCCGCGACCGCATAGCGCTAGCTGCGACCCATTCGGACCCCCCAGAAACGCCAAGCCGCTCCCGCTCTAGCCAAGGGCTAGAACAATCCTGCCACCTCAGCCTCCTGAGTAGTTGGGACTACAAGAGAGTGCCACCACGTCCAGCTGTCATTTACCATCTGGTACCAACCCCCATTAGACAATGAACCATCCATGATCACGAACTGTGTCCCTTCCATCTTCGTCAGCTTTACGAGCATTTTTTTTTTTCCAATGGAACTCTACCTATGATTACTAACCATTCCCCAGGACCCCTAGCCTACACTTTTCTGTAGATGAAAATGTCATACACCACAGAGTTTTAACAATAACTTAGTTTTCCCATCCACATTCACTGATTATTTATTTCGAGCATTATCATTTATTGAGCACAACAGGGACTGGGGTCTTGTCCCCACCTTAGAGGGATTATTTACACTGCTAAAGGTCACAAGGGTAGTGAGGGGCAGAGAGGAAGATGGACCCAGCTCTCCTGACACTGGTCCCAAACTCTTCCCTCCACAGTGTCTACACTCTCTCGAGGACTTTTTCTCCCTGTGCCAGTTCCAGCAAAGGATCTCATTCAGCTCACCCCCAAGAAGACTTTTAATACTTCAATGACGATGATACTAATAATAATAATATGCAAAGTTTGTTCCAACGCATTTAGAGGTGATCGCGACAAGACATGAAGCCAATCCCTCCCTTTCTGGGGCAGGGGAGGCAGTGATGATCTTGGACTTTGGATGAGTCGCTCCCCAGGGTCTAGGCCTGGCTGCCCCTCCCCAACCAAATCTCCCAGGTCTTTTCTGTCCAAAGCCCTCCCCCTCTACCCTACCTCCAGCCCCTTCTGCTCTGAGCCATCAACTACGTTTTCTCCCTCAGCACTCGCCTTAGATTCCTGGACTTACCAGCACAAAGGTGATTTTCTCCTCGCAGACTGTAGGCGCCACTGCTGGGTCCGGAAAAGAAAGAGAAAAGGCCCAGCGTGGTCGCGTGTGTAACTCAGGACGCGGCTGCGCTGGGCGCCCGAGCGCGTTCTCAGGACTGCGGCCCGGAGTTCACTGCGAGGACTGGGATCACCCATCACCCCGCCCTGGTCTACGGAAAATGACAAGTGTTTACTGATATAGAAACGGAATAACGGCGCTGTGGGCTGGGGAGGGCCGAGCTGCCTTCAGGCTTCTGGTCTCCAGCCGCGGGGCACTCACACCTGCCGCTGTGAAAATGCAGACCCGCGGGGCAGGAATTCGGAGTCCCGGCTGGAGCGCGATCTGGAATCTGACTCGCTTGAAACAGCACCGCGGTGGATTCGGAGCCGGGTGAGTAGGGAAAGGCGCCTCAGCCCCTCCCACGGGCCGCCCACTGATTCCAGGATCCGAAAACGCTTCCAGCTGCTCCGTCACCCCTGGAAGGCAGCGCCGGCCTCTGGGCGGTTCTGGTGGAAACGGGCTCCGCCGCCGGCAGGAAAACTCACAACTAAGGGACCAGGAAAAAGCCTCTCAGGGTCCCGCGCCTTCAGTGAGGATCCTAATTTACACCCCGAGTGTGGCCCCGTCAAAGACTAGAGCGAAGGTCACTGAAATGACACAAGATCAGCGAGGCCCAGGGCGCTGCCGCTCACAGAATGCGGAGACACGGCTGCCTCGCGTCCCTTCCCTGACCTGCCCCAGGCGGACGCGGTGACGTGTGTTTGCCTCGAGGCTGGAATACATGGGGATCAAATGCAGAGAATGGAGAATGGAGGGAAGGATGGGGGGACATTTCGAGGAAAGGAAGGGAGAGGGAGAAAAGGGGAGAGAAAAGGTGAAGGTGAGAATAATATCTGAAAGATGTAGTTTTATTATTTCTAATTTTATTTTTGCCCTTTATCTAGTTTTGTTATTTATGAACATTTTTGCCAAAGCTTTTTTTTCTCTGTGTGTGAATCTGTAAATATACGGCTTATTATTCTTATTTCAGAGCCTGCGAGGTCAAGCTGCAGAGAACATGAGCTTCTACCTCCAGATGTGCCAGGGTGCATCTCGTGGGTGCAAGAATAAGGGTTTTGTTTTGTTTTACAAAATCAAAGTACAAATCTCAAATAGAATAATATTTTTAAACCATTATTGGGACATACTTTGCATACAATCAATGTATCTATTTGAAATGCACAGCTCATTGAGTTGTACTGCTTGGCTGTTTTACACACCCACATATCCACTACCACAATGAAGATAAAGAAATAACATTTCCATAGTCCCCTAAAGAATAGCCACGCGATAAAATTCCATGCAGTCCTTAAAAAGAGGAGGATAAATTTTTAAGTATTGTTATGAGAAGATCTGTGCCCAGCCTACTTTTATCCATTTTTAAAAGGACGAGGATATATGAAATTATAATACCAGTAATACCACTTACATAATATATATTTTAAGTAGGGGAAAACACGGAGGATTATTCCCCAAAATTTTGACAGGGACCCCAGGGACTGGGATAACGTTGTGACTTTCACCTTCTCTGAAATGTTGGAATTTTATATTACAGAATAAACTTGGATTTTGGCCAGGCACAGTGGCTCAGGCCTGTAATCCCAGCTCTGGAAGCTGAAGGATAGCTTGAGCCCAGGAGTTCGAGGCTGCAGTGAGCTATGATCTCACCACTACACTCCAGCCTGGGTGACAGCAAGAGATCTTGTCTCAGAAATAAGTAAATAAAATTTAAAAATAAAAATAATAAACTTGGATTTGTGTGGTGGTTAAGAAAAAATATTTGTTTGAAAATATTATAAAGATAAGCCACACACCCAAATAGTTACAGGATTTTAAAAACCAAAGTGTTAATTAAAACCCAACTCCAGAAACTCTCTTTTAAGGGGGCTTCATATTTTCATGTCATTAAATCTTTCTCAAAGTATCTTTGATAGAGCCGTTTTTAGTGCAGTAGAGAGATGTGTAACAATTTTACAAAAGGGGCGGGCTGTAATAAAAAGGGAAAGGCAAAATTCAGTGTGGACACACTGTCCCATTTATTTTCAAAGCACGTTTGAAAACTGTGCTGCTATAGCGTCTTTGGGTTGAGACAAAGTCGAGGAAAATCTTGTTCCTGGAGTACTGATTTCCTATTTCCAAGGGCCAAAGTCTTTCAAAGCAAGTCTAAAAACTCAGGCTGACTTTCAGATCTGAAGAAATCTCAAGAATATTCGTGTGGAAGAACATTCCATGCTAATGGGTAGGAAGAATCAATATCGTGAAAATGGCCATACTGCCCAAGCTAATTTATAGATTCAATGCCATCCCCATCAAGCTACCAATGACTTTCTTCACAGAATTGGAAAAAACTACTTTAAAGTTCATATGGAACCAAAAAAGAGCCTGCATCGCCAAGTCAATCCTAAGCCAAAAGAACAAAGCTGGAGGCATCACACTACCTGACTTCAAACTATACTACAAGGGTACAATAGCCAAAACAGCATAGTACTGGTACCAAAACAGAGATATAGATCAGTGGAACAGAACAGAGCCCTCAGAAATAACGCCGCATATCTACAACTATCTGATCTTTGACAAACCTGAGAAAAACAAGCAATGGGGAAAGGATTCCCTATTTAATAAATGGTGCTGGGAAAACTGGCTAGCCATATGTAGAAAGCTGAAACTGGATCCCTTCCTTACATGTTATACAAAAACTAATTCAAGATGGATTAAAGACTTAAATGTCAGACCTAAAACCATAAAAACCCTAGAAGAAAACCTAGGCATTACCATTCAGGACATAGGCATGGGCAAGGACTTCATGTCTAAAACACCAAAAGCAATGGCAACAAAAGCCAAAATTGACAAATGGGATCTAATTAAACTAAAGAGCTTCTGCACAGCAAAAGAAAATACCATCAGAGTGAACAGGCAACCCACAACATGGGAGAAAATTTTCGCAACCTACTCATCTGACAAAGGGCTAATATCCAGAATCTACAATGAACTCCAACAAATTTACAAGAAAAAAACAAACAACCCCATCAAAAAGTGGGCAAAGGATATGAACAGACACTTCTCAAAAGAAGACATTTATGCAGCCAGAAGACACATGAAAAAATGCTCATCATCACTGGACATCAGAGAAATGCAAATCAAAACCACAATGAGATACCATCTCACACCAGTTAGAATCACAATCATTAAAAAGTCAGGAAACAACAGGTGCTGGAGAGAATGTGGAGAAATAGGAACACTTTTACACTGTTGGTGGGACTGTAAACTAGTTCAACCCTTGTGGAAGTCAGTGTGGCGATTGCTCAGGGATCTACGACTAGAAATACCATTTGACCCAGCCATCCCATTACTGGGTATATACCCAAAGGACTATAAATCATGCTGCTATAAAGACACATGCACACGTATGTTTATTGCGGCACTATTCACAATAGCAAAGACTTGGAACCAACCCAAATGTCCAACAATGATAGACTGGATTAAGAAAATATGGCACATATACACCATGGAATACTATGCAGCCATAAAAAATGATGAGTTCACGTCCTTTGTAGGAACACGGATGAAACTGGAAATCATCATTCTCAGTAAACTATTGCAAGGACAAAAAACCAAACACCACATGTTCTCACTCATAGATAGGAACTGAACAATGAGAACACATGGACACAGGAAGGGGAACATCACACTCTGGGGCCTGTTGTGGGGTGGGGGGAGGGGGGAGGGATAGCATTAGGAGATATACCTAATGCTAGATGAGGAGTTAATGGATGCAGCACACCATCATGGCACCTGTATACATATGTAACTAACCTGCACATTGTGCACATGTACCCTAAAACTTAAAGTATAATAATAATAATAATAATAATAATAATAATAATAATAAAGACCAAAAAAAAAAAAAGAATGTTTGTGCGGACAGCTACGCTCTAAGAATCCAGCTCTCTTAGGCTCCAAGCTCAAGCTCTCTGGGGCTTCACCCAGTGACAATGGCCGGAAGGACAGGACACAGTGAAATGGCACCAGTGAGTCAGAGGCCAAAGGAGGATTTCTGGCCCCAGCGCGCAGGATGTGCTTTGTTATAGTGGGGTTGGGATAGCGGAGTGGAGGCAAGGACACTCTGGGAATAAATGGCGAGAAAAAGTGCGCTAGGGAGGATCCAAAGCCTTCAGACTTCTTCCTTTCCTTCCTGTTGGGTGGGAGGGGACCAACATGGTCCCTGGTGGGGAGGTCCGTGGGATGCAGAGAATGGGGTTGCTGCAATGGGGCGTTGCGCGCCCCACGCAAGGCTTCTGGCATTCTTCTCCTAGCTACTACTGATGAGTTCAAACTAGCAGGAGACTAAGACGTGTCCTTTGCAATGTAGACTCCATATCTTGCACTTCGGCTGGTTTACTAAATCCATCTTAATAAAACACAAAAACAAAGAACTAAATTCTGCGTGTGATATTTCTGACCTCTAGAAGGTCCTCCCTCTCCCCATTCCTCGTGGGCTCCCTTCTTGCCCCGCCCCCTCCGCTTTGTCTCCACTTCTCCATCCCTGTCCATCTCTGGACCCCGCTCCTGAGTATCTCCCCCCTTCTTCAGAGGACTTTCCCTCATGGAGTGCAGACTCCTCCACCTCCAGGAAAAAGAGACGAAGTCCACTGAGAAGGAACTGAGAGACTCCTGTTACTCCACCCCTGAAGTCAGCCTGTCCCACAACGCTCACTCAGGCTGCATGTGTGTGTGTGTGTGTGTGTGCCTGTGTGTGTGTGCCCGTGTGTGTGAATCTGTGTGTGAGTGTGTCTAAATATGTGTGTGAATGTGTGTGCGACTGTGTGTGCCTGTGTGTATCAGTTAGCGTGTGTATCTGTATATGAGAGAGAGTGTGTGTGTATGTGTGTGTGTGTGTGCGTGAATGAGAGTCAAAGTGCTAAACCTGGCATCCAGGAAACCTCCCCACCTTGGCACTGCACGCAGGAGTCAGTGTTATGTGCACCTGTGCTTTTATTTCAGGAGCTGAGACAATTGTATTAATCAGATGTGCAGAGAGCCAAGGGCCCCACACTGGAAAGCATCAGAGAGGAGGGTGAGATTGGAGGAGCCCCTGACTCCAAGTCTCTTGATCACTCTTACACAGGGATCTTGAAAAAAAAGTGCAGGACACTCCGTTCTCTCCTGGGAGTGACAGGGAAGCCAGAGCCACTGTGCGTGTCAAATTCCATCAAAGAAAAACCATTATAGCAAAACTTCCATGTCACAGTTTTAAGCCTGCACAATGACTCAAATAGAACCAATACCAAAAAAACAAATTCCTAGCTCAGGTGAGGTCAGTGAAGTTGGCTGTCAGGTGTAAAGGAAACTGCAGGTATAAAGAAGGACACCTGTAGGTAGGGCTGCAGCCCAGTCGCCCCTGCATCTTAGGGCGCCTGGAAAGGACTGTCTCCATTCAATAGTGTAGGGTGAGGACATTTTGGGGGAGAAATATAGACTGTCCTTAGACCCCTGGGGTTTGTACATTTACTTTCTGACTTTTTAGCTGTTGACTTCATTTTTGAACAAATTACAGTTACATAAATTTGCTTTGACTTTAAGTGTAAAACAGGAAAATATTCCTGAAACAGGAAACAAGGGCCAAGTGACCTGCACTGTCACCCCCCTCTGTGGCTCCCTGATGCAACACAATTGTGAGCCAACAAATCTATGGCTAGGGAAACAGTCAACTCCATTTCTGCAAATGTTTCAGATGTTCCTTCTTGCTGAGTAATGTTCTAGTTTTACCCCAGCCTTAATATTTTAAGTCTATATTTTCCCAGCTGTTTTTTTTTTTGTTGTTGTTGTTTTTGAGAAGGAGTCTCATTCTGTCACCCAGGCTGGAGTGCAGTGGCACGATCTCGGCTCACTGCAACCTCCGCCTCTCAGGTTCAAGCGATTCTCCTGCCTCAGCCTCCCCAGTAGCTGGGATTACAGGGGCCCGCCACCACGCTTGGCTAATTTCTGTATTTTTAGTAGAGATGGGGTTTCACTGTGTTGGCCAGGATGGTCTCAATCTCCTGACCTCATGATCTGCCCGCCTCGGCCTCCCAAAGTGCTGGGATTACAGGCATGAGCCACTGCGCCAGGCCTTGTTGGTTTTTAAATAATGCATGTATATTTATTATTTGGTTTGTTGTAGTAAGCCATCTGGAATCAACTGTGGAAATAAATGAATGGTTCTCTATTAAATAACTGCTGAGACCATCTGAAAAATGTATTAACCCCAAAACCAATCACTTCACACTCGTCTACTGCCTCCTCCCCAGAGCCATTCTCTCTAGGATAGTAAATCCGACGGGCCTTCCAGCTGGGCTGCCTGCTGCATCTCATGCAGCTGTCCATCACCCACACAACAGGCAGAGTGAACCTTTCGAATGGGAATTAGAGCCCATCCTCACCACCACATCCCAGAGACACTCCAGCCTCTTCCCTTCCTCTCTCCATTTCCTATTAGCCCCTCAACACGGGGCCCCTCTGGCCATTCTGGCCTCATCTCACCACTCTCAGCCCAGATCACTCATCTGCACTCGCACCAGTCTCTTGTCACTGCTCAATCCTGTCTCTGCCACCGGCCCCTGCTGGTACTCCCACATGCACTTGCTCCCCAGGGATCCACATGGCTCACTCCTCATGCCATTCAGTTCTCTGCTCAAATGTCCCTTAGTCAAGTTCTCAGGAACCTCTTATCCAACAAAATATATCTCCTGCCATCCTCACCACCACCAATCTTCTAACCCGAGTATATTTTCTCCATAACAATTATCACTGATATTAGAATAAATTTGAAAGTTGTTGTCTGTACCACTAAAACATATTATTTGAGGCCAGGACCTTGTCCAGCCACCACTTGTATCCCTAGCATCTAGAACATACCAGTACAGAGGAGGGGCTTAACAAATAAGAGGTGAATGATGGGTGAATATAATTGGTATGCTGCTTTTGATAAGCAATTTTATAACATGTGTGTCCGAGGCGGGTGGATCACCTGAGGTCAGGAGTTCGAGACCAGCCTGACCAACATGGTAAAACCCCGTCTTTTCTAAAAATAAAAAAATTAGCCAGGTGTGGTGGTGCACGCCAGTAATCCTAGCTACTCGGGAGGCTGAGACACAAGAATGACTTGACCCTGGGAGGTGGAGGTTGCAGTGAACCGAGATTGTGCCACTGCACTCCAGCCTCAGTGACAGAGTGAGACTCCATCTCAAAAACAAAGCAAAAAAAGTTCATGCAGTTTGACCAAATAATTTATATTTGAGAAATCTATAATTCTACAATGAAATGCAAAATATAGAAGAATCTTTAGGTATAAGGATATCAATCAGATATTATTTACAATAAGGAAGAAGAACTTGTAAAAGAAGAGTAGCTGGGTCATTTTTTGGAAATAGTATACAGCCAGGAAAAGTACTGTTTAAGAAGAGTTTATGATAACATATAAAGTTGCTTATTGATAATAATAAAGTTTGAAAAGCAAGATTCAAAATAACTCATACAGTGTGACTGCACTAAGTCATCCTGCACAGACACCACATGCACAGAAACCAGGGGTGGAAACTCAGGGGGCAGCTGCAAAGCACAGCTCCAGGGCCCCTTTTCACTGACGTCTCTGAGGCTCTGCCAGGCAGAGGTTCATCCGGATCCTCCCAGTGGGGACACAGGTGTTTTCCATCTTTCTGCTTCACTACATTTTTTATATTTTCTGTAATTGAGCAGATTCTACTTTCTAAAAGGGTAAAATGCTGATTATGAAGTTTTACAACATTTGAAATACAATTTTAATGAAAAAGTCCAAATGTCCTGTCCCAACTCAGGTCACTTTCTCTTTTTTTAGAGATAGGGACTTGCTCTCTCACCCAGGTTGTAGTGCAGTGAGTTGATCATAGTTCACTGCCGCCTTGAGCTCCTGGGTTCAAGTGATCCTGCTGCCTCAGTCTCCAGAGTAGCCAAGACTACAGGAAAGCCCCAAAATGACCATCTAATTTAAAAAAAAAAATTGAACAGAATACATCTCACTGCTTCCCAGGCTGGTCTTGAACTCCTGGGCTCAAGTGATCCTCCTGCCTTAGCCTCCCCAGTGTTCTAGGATAACATGGGTGAGCCACTGTGCTCAGTCCTAACTTAGCTTGAAGCAAAGTCTCCTCTCCATGTCATAGGGCAAAAACTCCAGCTGATGGAGCCTTCAGAAAGAAGAAATAAACTCTTCCTCCACAATGCCTCATCCATCCCTGGGTTATAGGCGTCGGCTGAATGATAAAGTCAACACTGAGAATATGATCATTTTAGATTACTGATTGTCATTTAATTTTAATTCCACCACACCTGAGAGAGTGGGATGGATTCTTTCTTTTATTATGATTTGAGCATCTGAGTCCCTTCCATCCTGAACATCTGACATGGGTGCTTCAAAAATGTAGGTCTTGAGACTTAAAGGGCACTTGGTCTCCTGAGCAGGCCCCCTGCATGCGCCACACCCACTAAGGCTCCATAACAGTGGGAAGAGCAGCCACAGTCAGAGCCCAGGTGGGTTCACACTGAGGGACCATCCACATCCAGGGTACGCTGAGGAGGGGCTGAGGTGAGAATCCAGCCCCTGCCTAGGCTCTGGGTGAGAGGTGGGCAGGACAGTCAGCTACTGAGTATTACTGGAGCTATTGCCTTTTTTCTCCTGAAGACCCCACCCCTGCACACACCAAAACTTTACATTCTTTGTGGAGCAATTTTCTTTTTAGAAATGTAAACACCCCCTAATCTTAAAGCCACCCAATATCACTCATAGTGACACCGCAGTAGGATAAGCTCTTAACTCCCACCAAATTAGCCTCAGAGTTGTAGTTTTTGTTTGTTAGACATGGGGTCTTACTCTGTCATCCAGGCTAGAATGCAGTGGCATGATCACGGCTTACTGCAGCCTCGAACTCCTCGGCCCCAGAGATCCTCCCACCTCAGACTCCTGAATAGCTGTCACTAGAGGTGAACGCCACAAGCCCCAGCTAATGTTTTGTGTTTTTTGTAGAGATGGGGTTGTGCCATGTTGCCCAGGCTGGTCTCTAAGGCCTGGGCTCAAGTGATCTGCTGCCCCGGCCTCCCAAAGTGCTAGGATTAGCATGAAGCCCCACACCAGGCCTGCAGCTGAGTATTTGGAGCTAAGGCAGGAAGTTGCTGTGGAGTTTGTACCCAGCTAATTTGAAAGGTGGTCCTGAAAGGTAAAGTGCGATTAGGTGGACCTTGGTGGGGAAGCATAGATGTTTCTGGTGAGAAGAGAACAAGATAGATGGGAAGCTTCTAAAAGTGAACATCAGTGGGCCCTGTGCTCACACAGCACTGGGATTTGGAAGACCTTTTCCCACCCACTTTTGGCTTGTGAGCTTTTATTCCACCTTCTTGTCTCCTAGGTCATTGCAGGAAATCCCTTCATTTGGTAAACATTTATCAAACACCTACCATGTGCTAGGCATTGTGTTAAAGGAGCTGGGGCTGAGGTAAGAGGAACCAAACCCCCCTTGCCTTCAAGGTTAAGCCGTCTTGCTCAGGCAGAGATCAGTAAGGAAACTCTTTATTTATTTATTTATTTATTTATTTATTTATTTATTTATTCATTTATTTTTTTAGACAGAGTCTCACTCTGTTGCCAGTAAGGAAATTCTTACACAAATGGTTGGCAGAATATGCAACTTGCTTTGCGGATGCACATGTAGACCATCTGCTCTGACCAAGGAGTCACAGAAGCTTCATAAGACACAACATTTGAGCTGCGTTTTGAGGTATAAATAGGAGTCTGACAGGCATCCAGGACAGGAGAGCATTGCTCAGAACCCAGGACATGAATTTTTCTCTCCTAGGCCAGGCCAGGACTCAGACTAAGCTGACTGAGGAGCCAGGTGCTTCCTGGCAAGGAAGTGTGTCCCATATATGACTATCCAGAAGTCACAGCTGCTCAATATTGAGTCTTGAGACAGAGAGAGAGAGGCCTGATTTGAAATGCAGAATTCTGCTGGGGGCCCGTTAAAATGCAGTTTCTGATTCAGTAGGTCTGAGGCAGGGCCTGAAAATTGCATTTCTAACAAGTCCTCAGGTGATGCCAATGCTACTTGTCCCAGGAACACACTTTGAGAATCACCACCCTAAGGCAATCCATATTGATTTCTAATATCAGAAGAGGGCTGACAGGCAAAGGTATAGGATAAACTAGACCATGCATGGGCCATCTTGGAGAGCACCCCACCCAAGTCTGCAGCATTTGATTTCCTTGGGATCCCGGGAATGGCAGACACCCAGGAAGGAATCAAATGTGGGGTTACAGGGCAATCCAGAGGCTGAGCTTCACACAGCATCTGGGGTTCCCACTACTTCACAAGTGGCCCCCACACCCCCAATCCTTCCCACCCCTTATGAAACTGACCTACGAGTCTTGCTCTGCTGTCCTGGGCTGTTTGGGCCTGGGATGTGAGCTCTGACTATACCTTCTGATCCAAATACAGGGTGACCTCATATGACACATACTTAGAATGGGCTCATAATGAGAACCTTCCAAATTCAGCAAATGGATTCAATCGTGTGTTTTCCAGGAGAATTACCAAGCGTTCTCTTTTCTAAATATCACATACTTGAGCTCACATGGACAGTAGAGGAAGTTCTGAGCCTGCTGAAGCCACAATTGGTACATTGGACCCCGTAGAATTCCTTGTAGATTGGGCTTCACCATTTACATCAGGATTTGGTCAAAATTTCCTTCACCAAACCGGTTGCATTTGTTAAGTAACCATGCTCTCATTTTGACTTTTAATGAATGAAAGACAGACACACACATAAAGAAAGATAGTGCAATGAAAAAGAAAACAACATACTGAATTAAAGTGACAGGAAACATCCTTGTTTGAGAAGTGATATAATTTTTAGACAGTTTTTTTTTTTAATTAAGGAAGGTAAGAGAATTAATTCTGTTAGGCTCTTTTTTTAAGTTTTTTATTTTGAAGGATTTGATTTTGTTTGTTTTGTCTGCCTTGGAATTATCTTTTATTTTATGTTTTGACTTGGCTCAAAACTCAAAAAGTTAAAAGTCTCTCTCTTATGCTACCCCATCTTGACAGGTAGCTATTTATATCAGTTTCTTGCTTATTCTTTCAAAGGCATTTTATGCATATGCAAGTCAATCTAAATGTATATGTATATAATCTTTCTCCCATTTCACACAAATTTTAGCAAACTACATATGCTTTCCTGCACCTTGCCTTTTCCCTTCACATTGTATCACAAAGACCATCACATGAAGAAATACCAAGAGCTTAGCTACATCTTTGTTTGAAATTTTCATGATACACCATTGTATATATATGCAATATTTTTAAAAAAAAATAGAGATTGCTTCTTTTGAGTGCGGTGCTTTTTAATCAGCCCCCTCTTGATAGGCATTTGGATTATTTCTTTCAGAGAACAATTTTGCATCATGTAACATCATATGGAAAAGCTGTAGTGACCCCACTCCTATATGCATATTCTAGGGAAACTCACATATCTCTGAGAGCAGGAGGCAATGTCCCAGGATGTTCATTGCAGTGAGGTCTACAATAGAGAAAATCTAAAGGTCAATGAAGAGGGAAAGAGAAGAATTGTAGTATATTCCTCCCATGGAATACTATCCACCAATGAAAGCAAATGAACTATTTGTATGAACATAGATTCATGTCATAGAACATGTTAACTGAAAAAGCAAGCAAATGAATGATAAAATTAGCCAGAAACAATTTATAAGAAGTCTAAAAGCAAAGCCAGGCAAGGTGGTGTACACTTGTAATCCTAGCACTTTGGGAGGTCATGGTGGGTGGATCGCTTGAGTTCAGGAGTTCAAGACCAGCCTGGGAAACATGGCAAAAACCCTCTCTCCAAGAAATACAAAAATTAGCCCGGCATGGTGGAGCATAGCTATACCCCCAGCTACTTGGGTGGCTGAGGTAGGTGTATCGCTTGAGCCTGGGAGGTTGAGGTACAGTGAGCTGTGTTTGTGCCACTGCACTCAAGCCTGGGTGACAGAGTGAGGAGACCTGTTCTAAAAAAACAAGTCTAAAAGACTTCAAACAAAGAGATTTCCTAAAACTTAGTAAAAATATAAAGGCATACACTAAATTCAAGTCACACATCCTCTTGCAATTCTTGATTTGCTCAGTACAGTACTGACTGAAACATGTGCATATCAGAGCTGTGAAAAATCAAGGCTATCTACATATATTTCTATTATTTTTCTATGTATACTACATATAGCCAATAATATTAAAATGTCGCCAATTGACAAACCTGGGTGGTGCCTTCACAAAGATTTTTTATAATTTTCTATTCTTTCTTCCAGCTGGAACTACTTTGAATTAATGTTTGTGAAGTGAATCCACAGGAACTGAGCAAAATAAGAAAAGAGTTATTGAGTGTGAGGAAAGCTGCACAGAGGTACAGACAGATGGAGAGATGACAATACTGAGCATGTCAGTGACCTTCACAGTAACAGACTTCCTGGAGGAGCGTGAGCTTGAGCCAGAATGAAGAGGATAAAATATAAAAGAGGGATGAAGGAGTGGGGACTTTAGGGGGCAAATATGGGATTGAGTAGGCCAGACTGGGAAGCGTGGATGGATTCTAAACATTCCGCTTTAGGTCTAGCACTTAGAGAAAGAGAAATCATGTTTATTTAGCTCCTTCCACAATCTTTAGAGAAATCTTCTGAAACATTACAAAAAAGACACATGAATGGCCAATAGTCATCAGGGAAAAATGCAAAGTAAAACCACAGCGAGAAACCACTAAGCACTTATTAGAATGGCTGAAATTTAAGTGATTAATAAATATAAATGTTGTCAAGGATGTGAAACAGTCTCATCCACTGCCTATAAGAATATAAAACAGCCACTCTGAAAATCACTTTTATATCATCTAATAAAGTTAAACAAGCTAGTACTCTATGGCTAGCATTTCCACTCCTAGGTATTTACTCAAGTGAAATAAAGATTATGTCCAAGAATCCCTGTACAATAATGTCCATAGTTCATTTGTAACAATAAAAAACCGTGAATACCCCCACAATGTACAAAAAAATTGTGACTCAGTGATACAATGCAATACTACCAGCATTAAAAATGAATGAATTACTGATACATGCAACAAGCTGGGCAGACCACATAGATATTACACCAAGTGCAAAAAGCTAGGCACAAGGGAGGCCATATGGGATGAATGGATACGTATGAAGTTTTGAAACAGGAAGAGCTACTCTATCATGATAGTCATCAGATCAATGGCTGCTGGGGAAAGGGGGCTAATTTGAAGGCAGAAAAATAGAGAACTTCGTGTATCTTCATAGTGGCATGGGTGCTACGGCTGTATTTGTCAAAATTCATTGATGAATTTGATACAGATCTGATCATTTCAGTATATGTAAGTTTTACAAGTTTAAAATGCTTACAATAAAAATTTAAACGTTAGTAATAAAAAATAGTAATTGAAAATATTAGCAACAAAATCCAACAACAGATCAAAACAATACACCATAATCACATGAGTTTTATACCCAGGATGCAAGGATTGTTTGACATATGTGAATCAAAATATGTCATATACCGCATCAACAGAATGAAGGACATAAACCATATTATCATCTCAATAGATGCAGAAAAAGCATTTGGTGAAACTAAACATTGCTTCTTAATGAGAACTCTCAAAGGAGTTCCTCTGACAAAGGAACCAAGAATATACACTGGGGAAAGAACAGTCTCTTAAATAAATGGTGCTGGGAAAATGCTACCAGATGCAGAAGAATGTAACTAGACCCGTCTCTCACCATATACAAAAAATCAACTCAAAAGGGATTGTAGACTTAAACGTAAGACCCAATACTGTAAAACTACTAGAAGAAAACTTATGGGAAACATTACAGGACATGAGTCTAGGCAAAGATTTTATGGCTAAGACCTCTAAAGCACAGGCAAAAAAAGTAAAAATAGACAAATGAGACTATATTAAGCTAAAAAGCTTCTGCACAGCAAAGGAAACATCCAACAGAATGAAGCAACAACCTGTTGAATCATGAAAATATTTACTAAGTATTCATCCAACCAGTATATTCATCCAATTAGTATATTCTAGACTAATATCTAGAATATACAAGGAACTCAAAAACTTGGCAGTAAAAAATACAAATAATCCAATTAAAAAGTGGACAAAGGATCTGAGTAGACATTCCCCAAGAGGAGGCATATAAGTGGCCAGCAGGTGTGTGAAAAACACCCAACATCACTAAATACCAGGAAAATGAAAATCAAACTACAATGAGATATATCTTACCCTAACCCTAGTTAAGATGGCTATTATTAAAAAATAAAAAATAATAGATGTTGGTGAGCATGTGGAGAAAGGGGAACTGTTATACACTGTTGGTGGTCATGTAAATAAGTGCAGCCATTATGGGAAACAGTAGAGTGATTTCTCAAAAAAACTGAAACTATTAATAGAACTACTCTCTGATGCAACAATTCTACTTCTGAGTATTTATCCAAAGGAAATGAAGTCAATATATCAAAAGAGTACCTGCACACCCATGTTTATTGAAGCACTATTCACAATAGCAAAGATGTGAAATCAATGGGTGAATTTATCAATGGGTGAATGAATAAAGTAACTGTAGTATATACACAATGGAATGCAATTCAGCCATAAAAAAAGAATGAAATCCTGTCAGTTGCAGCAACATGGATGGAACCAGAGGTCATGTTAGGTGAAATGAGCCAGGCAAGGAAACACAAATATCACATGTTGTCACTCATATGTGTGAGCTAAAGACATTAATCTCATGGAGGTAGAGAGTAGAATGAAAATTACCAGAGGTTGGGAAGAATGTAGGGGTGGGAAGATGCAGAGAGGTAGATTAATGGGTACAAATGTACAGTTATATTAAAAAAAAGTTCTAATGTTCTATAGCACAGCAGGCCAACTAAAGCTAACAATTATGTATATTTAAAACAGCTAGAAGAGTGGATTTTAAATATTCCCAACACAAGGAAATGATACATGCTTGAGGTGATGGATTCCCTAAACACCCTGACTTGATTATTCCACATTCTGTGCATGTATCAAATGATCACATGTGCCCCATAAACATATAAAATGTTATGTATTACCTTTAAAAAATATTTTTAAAATAAACTCAACACAATATGGGACATTTTAAAAAGTACAAAAATATGACCATGATAAAAATTGGCAAATATTTCCTTTTTATTAAGATCCACTTTGTAAGTTCAAGCAGAATGAAGCCCATACAGCATCAGAAGAGGTGGCTCTCCTGAGAGAATCTTCTCCCCAGTTAGAAAGGCAGAAACAGAATTCCTGGAGAAAGTAAGACTCTGGAGAACTGCACAGCACCTCTTCTTGGGGTCTGGGGTTACCCAGATGTAGGGAGGGTTCACCTTCTGGGAAAAACTAAACGTTGGTTCTTGTTCTTTTTTGTTCTTATTGCAAGACGAAAAATTGAGAAAACCAAGAGAAAGCACCAAGCCAAAGGGATATACTCTCTTTTATTTTTTAGAATATCCACTACCAAGGATGATCCACGCTGTTATGAGATGAATTGTGTCCCTCCCCAACCGAAATTCATATGTTGAAGTCCTATATTGAGAAGACAGAAGTGGCCATCTACAAGCCAAGGAGAGAGGCCTCAGGAAAAAGCAACCCTGCAGCACCTTGACCTGCACCTGTAGCCTCCAGAACTGTGAGACAATATATATTTATTATTTTACTCACCCAGCATGTGGTACTTTGTTATGGTAGCCCTAGCAAATTAAAACAGAAATATTACCTTTTCTACTCTGTCCTATGTATGAACATGAGACTTTTTAAGAATATGAATTACCTGGGATTCCAAAACATAGAGTGAGTCAATGGAAAACAGATGATACAGGGTCATTTCCAAGCCTTTGTGGGTCTCCTGGCCACCACACAAACATGGATGTGTTCCCATTTCTTTTCAGTTTCACACAGTGCAAAAGTTGTGGACATAGAATCACAAACTGTGTTTAATTTATTTGAGACATTGAGTGAGCTAGTTTTGCCCTAATTTTATAGAAAGATGATGAACAATCATAATTACTAAACCAAAGAGGCTTTTTGGCAGGGGATGGCAGGTACTATGTTTTCTCCTCCTTTTAAAGTGCATTTTCCTAAAGAGTCTTGTCTAGGAGTAAATGTCATCACTTTGCTTTTTTCCTCCGCATTGATCACTTGGTCCTCCCTGCATTTCAGTAAGGTTGCTAGAATGGAGGCATTTGTCCATGATTCACAGATGAATCAGAGGCCCTATGAGTAGAGAGCTTCTCCTGAAGTCACACAGCTCGTGAGTGGTGGAGCAATGACAGGCACATGACTCTCCAGGTCCCTAGTCCAGTTTTCTGGGTGCCATGTGAATTACAGCCTTTGGTTCCTTTTACATGTAGTTCATTTCTGAACCTGAGAAGGAGAATGCACCTCAGGTGACTAACAGTTTTTGCTGTTCTGTACTTGTCTGAGAATGACCCCAAAAGATTTTTAAATGCCAATTCTTTGGCTACCAACCCTATTTTGCCCAGGCATGGACATGGAGCAGGTGAACATTCCTTTACCTATGACATGCCTGAAGATTCTGAGACCTACGTGAATCAGGTAAGCTCCACACGCAGAGGGACACCCACTCTCCCACCCACTTATTTTCTGTATCTTTTCACACTTCACTTCTTCATTCCTCCCTCTGGCTGTCTTCCCTCTTTGGGGTCTTCTAGTCCTAACCTCTGTCTCCTTCCAGGTGACTAGAGCAGGCTGGTTTGGAACAGGGCTTATGTCGGATGAGAATTGTGCCAGGATCCTCAGTGATGGGCAGCATCACTTTAAGTTCAGTGTTAGGAGCTACCTGCTGAGACAGACATCTCCTCCACAGTGAGTGCTGATTTCATGAAACCCTTAGTTCCTCCCTATTCCTTACTGTGTCTTCAATCCAATCATGTAGGTCATGGGCACTTAACGCATAATGAACAATTGACTGGTTCATGCCCCCTGGCCTTTGATGCTGTTTTGGGACGTTTTGCTGCCCTCTATGTGGGGTCTCTGCCTTTTCTCATATTACATCTCTTCCACCACGCCCAAGTCCATCCTCTGAACCCAGGCAGTACACCAGCGTCTGCATGTGTGCTGTGTGTTCCTGCCTTGCTTTGTCCTTTCATGCCTTATTCTCACTGTGCCATGTCTCCTTCTCAGTTGAACAGATGCAGTAGGAGACTCGTTCATTCTGGAATGTGACCATCTGCCCTTCAGGAGAGGACAGCAGGGTATGGGTGAAGGAGATCCTGCTGCCCCCACACCTGACAGCCTCCACCACCCCCTGGCTTTCCTCTTCTGCATCAGCACCACTCCTGAACCATCATTCCTGATCGTCAGAATTTTTAATGTAACTAAACATGAAACACAAGTGCATCTGCATTATGTGTGGGTGCTGTCTCCCTTTATTGTATTTGGGGTAAGATTATTTTAGGGCATGGTCCAGGGTAAATTCCTGTAAGGCCTGGGTGCCCTGCTGTGAGGTCAAAGGAGGACGGACTGCAGAGCCCTGGCTCCCCAACTACCTGCCAATTTCCGGCCCTTTGTTGGGGTCTCTTCTGCTTTATCTGGCCTGAGAGAGGCTGGGATGTTTCTGATCCTGCGGCTCCTGGTGGATGGTGCGCAGTATTTCCAGGGATGGAGGGTGCTGTGGGCACTGGTGGGAAGCTTGAGTGTCTCCACCCAGGCTTTCTTGGTGCCTCCTCATCTATTCCTTCAAATTCTAGACCTTAAGCACCAGGGCCTGGGCCCCTGACCCCCTCCTGCCCTTCCAGCAGGGCCTGGTCCAGCTCCAGCAACTCCTCAGCTTGGGCCAGCTCAGCTGTGTAGGGGGCTCATGGCCCTGGTGAGGGGGAGTGGTGAAGGGAGCATCAGCCAGGGCAGGGGGCTGAGGCCCTTGGAACCTGTATTGCAGGGTCTGGCTGTAAATGAGGAATTCTACCTCCCTTTCCCTTTTTCTAGCCCATTAGCTTAAGGCCCCTTGTACTGAGAAGCCCAGGGAGCCCCTTGTCTTGGGCATAGGCCTCTGGGGGGCAAATAGAGATCCCCGGCTCACAGAATATAACTGGATACCTTGAACAAGGATATGGGGTCACTGGAAAGAGAGGACCGGCTGTCCCTCTCCGCTAAGAAATAATTAACTGTTAGATGAGGGGGAATTTCTGTTCAAGGGCTCTGTGGACTGTGCTGCTCTGGAGGGGGTGGGGAGAGAGAGCCCTGAGGTCTGAGCTGGGGTGTGGTTGGGAAGGAGCTGAGAGCTGAGAGCTGGAACTAGGCAAGGAGCTGCAGGGGTGAGGGTGGTGCAGGGTGGGATTTAGAGGATTTCCCCCGACTCCTGGGCTGATCCCCTTCACATCCTCCACCCCCACCCTTGGTGTCCGTCAACATGCGGGGGTGACCTCATCTTCCCACTGCCCCTGGAGCTGTTCTACTCTTCCACGCTTGCCTTGGGGTTTTCAGAGCAGCATCTTTGTGAGTCCTGGAGAGCTAGGGACCAGGAGGGCAGGAGGAGGTGAAGACAACAGCACCGAGAGATCCTGGAAGAGAAAGGACCATGGTAGCTGAGGCAGGGAGCAGTCTGAGTTGCCTAGAAGACACCAAGAGTTCGCTCCCTCCAGGCCTTGGCTTTGCTTCAGCACCTGGCGCTGCATAGGCCCCACCCCTGCCCTGCTCTGCTGCCTCCACCTCCCTCTCAGCCTGGTCCCAGACAGAATCCAGACCAATTCCTGTTTCTGATGTGAAAAATGATCCTGCCAGTTTAGGCAGAGCTTGCTTTAGAGCACTGGTGCCCAGCCTTCCACAGGTCTTGTGTCTGTTTTTCTTGGCACTGGGTTTCTTCTCACTTATTCTTCTGAATTGGCAAGGCAGGAATTACATCACTAGTTTGCAGATGAGGAAACTGACTCGTATGGGCTCATTCAGCACTCACTCACTGGGCAAGTGTCTGTCAGGGCCAACTGTGGGCCAGATGTGCCCAGGGCTCTATAGCTAGCTGGTGGAAGGGCCTGGAGGGTTCATATTCAGGTCCACCTGACTTGAAAACTCATATTGACCTTACTTAAGTACTGATTCCCGATTTACAATCCGTGCCACAAACTTTATTGTCATATCTAAAGAAGTTGCCACAGCAGCCTTTAGCAACCACCCTCCTGATCAGCCAATAGTCAACACTGAGGCAAGACCCTCCCCCAGCAAAAAGATTAGCAAAACCTCCACACCCTCTCTCAGGATGTTCCTGCACCTCACAGCTACAGCAGCAACCTGGTCTCCCTGAGGACATGACCCCCTCCAAAATCCTCCCACATGGGGGAGTTTTCCCAGGGACTTGTACCCCTGGGTTCAGAGGTGAGGTGGGGTCCTTGCTCCTCACTGTGGTTCTCACACCTTTCTCCCTCCCTCCTCCCTAAACCCCTAAGCTGTCAGCAGATTAGGGCCCCATTCCCCATGTTGTAGCCATTCCCTTTGTGCCCCAAGCCATTCCTCTTAATCCTGACCCTTGTAGCTCCTGGTTCACTGTCACCCTCTCCAGCAGTGCTGTCTCCTTGACTCTTGGTGACTTCAACATACACAGATGTGGTGGGCTGAGTAATGGTCCCCAAAGATGTCCAGGCTTAAGCCTTGGAACATGTGAATAGGTTGCATTGCATGGCAAAAGGGACATTAATCATGTAATGAAGATTAAGGACCTTAAAATAGGGAGAGTATCCTGGACTATCTGTGTGGGCCCAATCAAATCACATGAGCCATTAAAAGCAGAGAAACTGCCCTGGCTGGAGTCACATTCTGCAGAAGAGGAAACAGAGGAGAAGCTGGAGAGAGGAGGTCAGACGTTCCAAGCAGGAGGACTGGATGTGCCTTAGGCGCCATGTGTGAGTACCTGAGAGAAAACTCTAGGAGCTAAGGGTGGCTCTTAACAAGGAAGTGGAAATCTCCGTTCTATCTGCAAGGAAGTGAATTCAGACAAGAACTTGAATGAGCTTGGAAGTGGATTCTTCCCCAGTCTCCAGGAAGGAATGCAGGCCTTCCCGTACATTGATCTTAGCCCCATGAGACTGTGTGGACTTGCAACCCACATGACTGTGACATGATAATTAGGTGCTGTTTAAAGCCACTTGGTTTGTGGTAATTTTTATGGCAGCAATAGACACCTATACAGCAGAGAAGATGCCCTTGCTCCCTGGACTCTCAGATCCTGGAACTCCTCTCCTCCATGACCTTCTCCTCTCTCTGCCTGAATCTCATGCCCTTGTCATCCCCTAGGCCTCATCACAGCCAAGAACCCCAGCCCTTCCATACTCTCAATCTCACACTTCCCACTCTCTGGCCATCTTTCCACTCATCCCCTTGCAAGGTGGCCACAGGCTCTGAGGACACAGACACTATCATTTTATCATATGCTGTGATGTAATATCAGTGAACCACTCATTTCCTATGTGCCTGCATTCCAGGCTTGGAGTCCACCCTATAGTACATCAATTCCAACAATCCTTCCAGCCCACTGGGATTCCCAATTGAGTGATCCTGCCATCTACTCCCTGTCACTCACCCTTGGTGTCCTCTCCTCCCTCTTCTCCCATTTTGAATTCTACAGTAAATAATTTCAATCCCTCCCTTGCCTCTCCCTTGCATTGTCATACTCACCTGGCAAAACTACACAGCTGGTGGGTTCCACCTCTGTCTATGCTGCACCTGCCCCATGAGCTGCAGGAGGCTGGACAGCAGCACACAACATGCTGACTGGTCTCTTTAAGATTCCAAACCTCATGGGGAGTCCCTACCATTGACGTGGCCAGCAATCACCCTCTCCCTGCGTGGTTCACCCTCAGCCTCCTCTTGGCCTGGGTGACTCCTAGACACCTTCTCTCTGTGCTCACACATCCAACCCTTCTTCCCCATTCTTACCTCAGCTGACAACCTTGCCTCCTACCTCACTGAGAAAACTGAACACATTAGAAGACAACTTCCCAGATTCCACCACTGTCTGCTCATGCATTTGCAGCTGCACCACATGTCAGGCATTTTACCACGTGAGGGATTGCTGGGGGTTAACAATTCTGCTCCCAGTCAGAGCCAGTCCCTCTTCTGGTGCCCCAAACATCATCCCTTCTCATCTACTTAAAGTTGTCAGTTCATCAATTAGTATCTTTTTTTATCTTTATCATCAACTTTTTCCCTCTCTCCCCACTGGATCATTGTGGCAGTCATGAGAATGCACATCCCAGCCCCTCAGCTACAGGAAGCAGAATTGATGATGACCCCAGCTCTTGAAGCTTGAAATCTATTGCCATATTTGCTCTGATCCCACATCTGCCCCCTGATCTTTTCCAGCCAATGATTGAGGAAAGCAGGGCAGAAACTAAGGCAGGAATATTTCTCCTTTGAAGGCTGACTGCAGCCCCAGGGTTCCCTGCCTCCTTTACTAAATTTCCCTTAGCCTGTACAGGGTCTAGGATGCTTCCAGCTGACCTTCCTGCCCTCTCTCATTCACTGGGGCTCAGAGTTGCAGCGTGGTCTGATGGCTCTCCCAGTGTTTTCTGTCTCTCTCCTGAATTTCTCCCGCAAGTATTTCCCTGAATAAATCCTTGCACAATTACTACTGTATTGGGGTCTGCTCCTCAGGGGACCCTAACTAACCCAAGCAGTATGAAGGGTGACCCATGAAAACAGGCAAAAATGGGAATTTGAAATAATCTTGCCCACTGCCTGGCAGGCCAAGAGGATGCCACCCGGGTTGGTGGGGGACACAGAAAGTCCATGGCATAAGGTACAGCTGAGGTGCTGTGGTCTCCTCAGTGCTGAGCTGAGAAGATGCCCTGGTTAGGGGAAGCTATGGCAGGTGAGGTGATAGAATGCCCTACACAATAATGATGAGGTTGGGGGAAACCTACAAAGACAGAGGAGTTGGGTGGTTACTGCTTGGCTGCGTTGATGCCCTATAAAAGGATCATGAGAATCTGCGGGTTGTTAACAGCTGTCACCGGCTACAGGTGACAGCCTCTGCAGTGTCTCATGGAGAGGCCTTTATCTCCTGTAGCGAAAGGGCAGATAGCGTGGAATGGCAGCTGAAGACATCACTACGAGGGCCGCAGTGCTCCAGACATGTCTGACACTCAGCCAAAGCAGGCCTGTTACAGGAAAGTCAGGGTCCTGGTGGGGAAACCTGAGATTCTGGAAACTGGAACCGGGTTATCTGATGGGTGCCCTCCAGGACCCTGTGGGAATGCAGAGGAGGCTCACCATTATCTAATAATGGTTCCCACTTCCTACGCTGGAAGATGCTGCAAAAGCCTCACCCCCGTGATTCTGCGGGAATCCCACTCAGCAGCTTTGCAAGAATTAGCCGCCATTTCCCCACAGGAGCCCAAGGAGCACTTCTGGGATTGGAATTTGAGGGCGTTTGATCAAGAAACCAGAATTTCAGGCTGGATGAATAAGAATCCTTTGGCTTGGAGGCACTTTCTCAGGGCACGGTTTGTCAAACACCCCAGGACTTTGATAAGTGGAGCTAAACCCACCGCTGGGGTGAATCCATATAGATTGGAAAAAAAGATGCCCAACTCTCAACAAGGTAGACATGTCTTAGTTGCCCTGGAACATGTAAAGGAAGGAATAACGAGGCTGAGGGAAGTGGGCATGGTGAAGGCCCACCAGGGCCATGCTCCACAAGAGGGCCCAGAGGACACAACCTTTCACCAGAGCCTCAGGAACATGATGGTGAAAGGGACCTGCATCACTAAGTATAGGGGTGTTGTCCTCTGCAGGCTGGGGGTGATGGTAATAAAGATGGTCCCAGAGTTGCATTTATCCATATCCCTGGGGAGAGTGTGGCCCTGAAGAGACAGAGAAGAAGTGGTGGCAGTGACCTGAAAAAGCAGAGGGCATGGTTACTATGGCAACTTCAGAGTAGCAGCCAGGAGGACTCAAGTTGCAGGGAATGTGGGGAAGGTTAACAGAGGGTGGTGTCCCAGGGTTAGGACAGGCAGCCAACAAGGGTGCTGCTTGATATCTATGATAGGAATGAAAGAATTGAGGAGCAGGAGGGTGAAGGTGTTTGACCCAATACAAAGTCATGATCCCATCCTTAATGCCTAGACCTCAGCCAAGATTCAGATTCAGATCTCAGTGACAGAGGAGGAGTCCATATCCCTAGGAGGAAGACCCTGCAACCCTGTGGAAGTATATGCTGGCACAATTCCCTCAGTCATTCGGCAAAGGAACCTATAGACATTTACTTGGGTGGTTGTACACTGGGGAAAGGAAACAGGCAGAACTGGGGGGATTATTGACACTGGGTGTGAGCTGACATTGATGCCCAGATGCCCACAGCACTCATGTCTCCCATCACAGTGGGGCTTATGGAGGCCAGGGAGTAAACCTGGACAAATTATGGCCCACAATGGGACCACTGGGCCAACAGACCCAACGCTGGATATCTTTCAATTCCCTGAGTGCATAATTGACACCGCTGCACTGCTAAGTGGAGTCACCCCCACACTGGGTCCCTAGTCTGTGGAGTAAGGACTCTCATTGTGCTGAAAGCCAAAGGGAAACCTCTGACACTGCCCACATCCTGGCCAAATCAAAAATCATAGTGTGTCCCAGGGTGGGTCTTGTGGAAGACACTGAAAGTATTATGGGGTCGCACCAACATTAGAGAGCTGAAGGATGTGGGGTGGTGTTGGGGCTGTCTATTGTCTCTATGTAATCCAGCAACCTGTCCCTGAGGGAAACTGGTAAGGCCTAAAGAATGAATGAGATTACTCCAGGTCTTGCCAAGTAGGAGTTATAATTGCAGCTTTTATGTTGTCTGGTTATCACTGGTAGAGCAGGTTAATAAAACCCCGGGCACACAGTGTGCAGCTGTGGATTTGATGAGTGCATTCCTTTCCACTCCAATTAGAAAGTGGATATGGGCTGGGCGTGGTAGCTCATGCCTGTAATCCCAGCTTTGGGAGGCCGAGGCGGGTGGATCACCTGAGGTCAGGAGTTCTAGACCATCCTGGCCAACATGGCAAAACCCCATCTCTAATAAAAATACAAAACTTAGCCAGGCGTCATGTCAGGTGCCTGTAATCCCAGCTACTCAGGGGGCCAAGGCAGGAGAATCACTTGAACACAGGAGGCAGAGGTTGCAGTGAGCCGAGACCACGCCATTGCACTCCAGCCTAGGGGACAAGAGCAAGACTTTGTCAAAAAAGAAAGGAAGGAAGGAAGGAAGGAAGGAAGGAAGGAAGGAAGGAAGGAAGGAAGGAAGGAAAGAAGGAAGGAAAGAAGGAAGGAAGGAAGGAAGGAAGGAAGGAAGGAAGGAAGGAAGGAAGGAAGAGAATATGGAGTGATTCACATTCATGTGGAATCAACGACACATTTATTTATTGTTTGCCTCAGGGCTATTGTAACACCTGTGCCCTCTATAGTATAGGCTTAAGACTGTACTGGACATACTGCATATCCTTTAGGATATTAAATCAGCACATTTCATTGACAACTTCATGTTGACTGGAGTAGATGAGCAGCAGGAAGAAAGTGCACTGTAGTCCTTTGCAAAACGCACGCACCCCACAAGGTGAAGATAAACCTTATACAGCTTCAAAGGTGGGCACCGAAGTGAAGTTTTATGGGTGAACAAGTGCCAAGTGTTTAGGGGAATGCAGGTGTGTCCCCTCCAAGGTAAAAGAAAAACTGTTGCATCTTGCATCCTCACCAGAAGCAAGGAAGCACACTGCTTGGTGAGCCTCTTTGAATTATAACAACACCACATTTCACATGTAGACATTTTGCTTTGGTCCACAGTCTAGGTGACATAGGAGGATGCCAGCTTCAAGTGGGGCCTACACAGGAAAGGACCCTGCAGCAGATCCAGGCCATGGTACAAGCAGCCACCATCCCTCAGACCCCCTGGGGCTGGTGGTGCCAGTGGTGGGGAAAGACACAGGATGGAGCTGAACCAAGCACCAGTGGGAGAGTCACAGTGGAGGGCCTGGGATTCTGGAGTAAGATCATGTCATCCACAGCAGAGACACATGCCCCCTGTTAGAAGCAACTTTTAGTGTTCCTTGTCCTGATTCAATAGAATGCTTGACCACGGGATACCAAGCAACTACGGGGTTCCAAGTGCCTGTGTGACCCACAAAGTCATAGATGGTACAGGCCCAACAGCTTTCATGATCAGGTGAAAACAGTCCACCTGGGTTGAGCTTGAATCCCTTGTTGACACCCACAGAAAACACCCAAGTCTGAAGTGGCACTGAACTACCAAACAGACAAATGGCAGTTAGCCAGCTTTCACCATGGGTCAGCCCAGGCCTGGTAGGATGAGTGCATGAATGGAGCAACCACAGTGGCAGGCATGAGGCTCCGTAAGGGGCCAGCAGCACTGACTCCCCCACACCAAGGCAGATCCAGCTGCTGCCACCTCTGAATGTCCAACTCATCAGCAATTGAGGCCCATGATGTGCCCTAGTGGGGCACTATTTCTTTACATGACTACCCATTAAGTAACAAGTTGACTACATTTAGCTACTTCCAACCTGGAAGTGCCAGAGTTTCATCTTCACAGGGTTAGGTACCGATTCTATGGGTGGGTTTTCCTGTCCTGCTCTCAGACACAGCCAGCACCACTCTCTGGGTGCTGTTGACATTCCTGGTCTGCAGGCTAGGCAGTGCTCCTAGCCCATTATCTGCCTGAAGGACCCACTTTGCAGGGAAAGTTTCAGTGTTTCCACGGCTGTGGGTTCCACTAATCCTATCACCATCTGCACTACCCAGGAGCTGCCAGCCACAAGGAAGGCTGGACAGGTCTTCTACAGGCACAACTCAGTGCCAGCCTGGAGGAAGCACTCTGAGGGGTGGGTGCCATCTTTCAGGACACAGTGCATTGTTTGAATCAGAGACGTCTCTAGAGTTCTGTGTTCTCAATAGGAAGAACATGTGTGTCCAGAAATCAAAAGGCGGAAGCAGGTTTGGCTCCATGTCCAATCTCTTAGATTCACTCAATGGGGTATTTCGCATATTTTATCTCCCAACACTGGGCTGTGCAGGATACGAGGTTCTGGTTTCCAAAGGAGTGTACCCCTAAAAGGAGACAAAAGACAGCCCACTGAACTACACATTACTTTAGTCACCAGAGAAGTTTGGACAGTGTGTGCCCAGAGACCACTTGGTGAGAAGAAGATTCTCCTCCTCTCCAGGCCCAGGTAATAAATAGATCCTCATCCCCAGGAGAAGGCATGGCTGTTTCACACAAGGGCAGAAGTGTGTGTGGAAACCAGAGATCCACCTGGGAGCCTTCTGGTTTCCCTTGCCCCATTGTAAGTGTGAGCAGAATCATCCAGCAATTCAGCCTGAGAGGATTTGATTTCCAAGGGCCCAGACCCGTCAGGGCAGAAGGTTTGAGTCACACTCGTGGGTAATCTCCCAAGGCCCTGCTCTTGTGTTCTGACATCCTCAGTACATTGGTGCTGAGGCCCTGCTTCCCATGGGCTGTTCCCAACGACTGATGGGTCATACCAGTGACACTAAGGCAGGACATTCCTAGGAGACAGGGGACTCCTCTGATGGCCAATTGTAGCTCGAGGACCCCTCTATGGCCTTGCTCAGTGAAGCCCTCAGATGATGCAGGCCTAGGCTGACAACTGGACTGCAACCTTGTGAGAGGCCCTGAGCCAGAAGCACTCAGGGAAACCTCTCCTGGATTTCTGATCATTGGAAACTGTGGGAGATGAGGAATATTTGTTGTTTTGAGCTGCTAAGTTTTACATAATTTGTTATGCAATAGTAAATAACTAATACATTTTCACAAGACAGGATGCATTATTACATGTTAATTTGCATTTGCTCTAAATTTATCATCATCATTATTATTATTTTTGAGACAGGGTCTCACTCTGTCACCCAGGCTGGAGTGCAGTGGCATGATCACCATGCACTGCTGTCGACCTCCTGGGCTCAAGGGATCCTCTGACCTTAGCCTCCTGAGTAGCTGGGACTATAGTCGTGAACCACCATGCCAGGCTAATTTTCTAGTTTTTTTGTAGAGATGAGAGTTTCACCATGTTGCCCAGGCTGATCTTGAACTTCTGGAGTCAACAAGTCTGCCTTCCTCTGCCTTCCGTAGTGCTAGGATGGCAGGCGTGAGCCACCACCCCTGCCTAACTTAATTATAAGACATTAAACATGTAACTTAGTTTTAAAAGGAAAGGAGAAGTTCCATGGCTGAAGAGGATGTATTTTATTATCGTTCACAATGATCACTTTACTTGAACTTCAATTTCCAACTGTGTCCCAATTAAACACAAAAGGAAGATTCATCCCTTGCTAGAGTGATTCTATGATGGCCCCAACAACCACCTCCTGGTCATTCACCTTCCCCCAGTTATTCAACCAACTCTAATGTAGGTGCTGCTGTGAAGGAATTTAGCAGACATAATAAAGGGGCTCAATTAGTTGACTTCAGGCTGGGTTTATGCTGCTTGGACCGTCCTAATCAGGAGAGTCCTTGAAAGGACTGGGTTCTTCCTGAGCATAGAGATTCACAGTGTGAGAGGGATTCAGCATGAGGGGTTTCCTCCACTGTGGGCTTTGAAAATGAAGGGGCTGTGTAGGAAACAACACTGGTGGGCACCAGGAATTGAGTACAGCCCTCCCTGTTCTCTACATTGACAGCCAGCAAGGAACAGGGACCTCAGTCTTAAAACTGCAAGAAAGCACATTCTGCCACCTCTGTATAAGCCTAAAGGAGGATTCAAAATGAAGACTCAGATTTGGGAAGCCTGGAACAGAGATTCCATCTACATCATGCCCAGATTTCTGACTAAGGTACTATAAACAGATAAATGGGTGTTTTTTGGCCAGGCGTGGTGGTGCACTCCTGTAATCCTAACATTTGAGGAGCTGACACAGGAGGATCACTTGCAGCCAGGAGTGTGAGACCAGCCCAGGTAATACAGTGAGACACTCGTCTCTACACTTTATTTTTTAATTAGCTGGGTGTGGTGGCACTTGTCTGCAGTCCTATCTACTCTGAAGACTGAGGCAGGAGGATTCCTTGAGCCCAGGAGTTTGAGGCTGCAGTGAGCCATGATCATGTGACTGCACTTCACGCTGGATGACAGTTTTTAGAGACTCTGTCTCTAAAAACAAATAAATGAATACAATAAATAAAAACAAATAAATAAATACAATAAATGGGTGTTGTTTAAAGCCAATGTTTGTGATAATTTTTTACACAGTCTTATAAAATTCATACACAGGCTCAACAGACTAATGGAATGAACTGATGAATTGATATATACACTAGTTACATAAAATAAAATCTTTCTGAACTTTTTCAGTGTTTTGCATTTTATAATTATCTGTGATGCAATTTAATATACTCATATTTCATTCATTCAGTCAACAAAAATTAATTTAGTCCCTACAATGAACCAGGTATCCCCTCATATGCTCACGTGCCTGACATTCTAGAAGCTTCACAAGACCAAGGTGGAGCCACTGGAGTGTTTTAGGTGGAGAAATGACACACTTTGACTCACATTAGCAGGACCACTGTGGAGAGAACAGTCACGTAGCAGGTAACGGGAGAGTGCCAGTGTCACAATTCAGGAGTGACAGTGTGATGGGGACTAAGGGGAGAGGAGGGGCTGAGTGATAAGAGGGACGGAGGGAAGGGCTGGAGAAGCAGTAGGTGAGGAAAAGGAGCAGAGGGATAGAATTCAAAAGCAGCACAACTCTTAGGTTTGAACACTTTTTTTAAATGGTATTTCAATAGATCCATCTACAGAGCCTCGCAGGGTGTTACTTGCAGTTGGCCTTTAATACCTTAAGTGGGTCTGCTTAAAAACTAATTGTTTTTATGTTAATCAGGTTTTAAAAATACTAAGTGTTCCTAAGAAATATACACACCACTTAGATGTGGATACTTCCTAAAAACAGGCAGTGCATGAGCACTGGTGATGGGCATTGTGACTGCATCGAGCGCTTGCAACTTTGAGGTGAATGAAGTCTGTACTGACTCCTGGTTGCAACACATAGGAACACAGTGGCTACTTTGTATTGAGGAGATGTCCTGGACTCACAGAAACTCAGGGCTATGGAATAAAGGTAAATTTAAAACACCACAAGCGGGAGTCACAGATACCTTGTTTGCAAAAGTGAAACTTAGGAGCTTTGTGAGTCCTGTTGTAATGCTTTTAGACACTTTATATATCAAGGGGCCAAAGTCACATGTTTTTACCGATTAGATTCCTGATCATTCAGGGGTTACCAAGATTCTGCTACCCACTGTAGTTAATACACAAAAAGCAAACTGGTCTCTATACTATCTCATGCACCCAGGCACAACTTTTCCAGATTTAAAGAAAAAGAAAAAAGAAATAAAAGAAAAAAACCTCTGTCTCTACACCTCCATTCCCAGGGAGAGCTCCCTCTCTGGCACCAAGCTCCCTGGGGTGAGTTTTCTTTTTGAAGAGTCCAGGGGAACAGGTAAGCAGTGGGGAAGCAGGGAGTCCATTTCAGGGACAGGAATTCCCGGATGAAAAGTGAAGGGAGAGGGAAGGGGGCCCAAGCCGAGGGTTTCTTCCTGGTTTCTCGGACAGCTCCTGGACCAAGACTCAGGGAACATTGAGACAGAGCGTTTGTCACAGGAGGAGCGGGGTCAGGGCGAAGTCCCAGAGCCCCAGGCATGGCTCTCAGGGTCCCAGGCCCCGAAGGCGGTGCATGGACTGGGGAGGTGCAGCATTGGGGATTCCCCATCTCCGCAGAGTTTCTCTTCTCCCTCTCCCAGCCTGCGACGGGTCCTTCTTCCTGGACACTCACGACGCGGACCCAGTTCTCACTCCCACTGAGTGTCGGGTTTCTAGGGAAGCCAATCAGCGTCGCGCGGCCCCGGTTCTAAAGTCCCCACGCACCCACCGGGACTCGGAGTCTCCCCAGACGCCGACGATGGGGTCATGGCGCCCCGAACCCTCCTCCTGCTGCTCTCGGGGACCCTGGCCCTGGCCGAGACCTGGGCGGGTGAGTGCGGGGTCAGGAGGGAAACGGCCTCTGCCGTGAGGAGCGAAAGGTCCGCCTGGCTGGGGCGCAGGACCCGGGGAGCCGCGCCGGGAGGAGGGTCGGGCGGGTCTCAGCCCCTCCTCGCCCCCAGGCTCCCACTCCATGAGGTATTTCAGCACCGCGGTTTCCTGGCCGGGCCGCGGGGAGCCCAGCTTCATTGCCGTGGGCTACGTGGACGACACGCAGGTCGTGCGGGTCGACAGTGACGCCGTGAGTCTGAGGATGAAGACGCGGGCGCGGTGGGTGGAGCAGGAGGGGCCGGAGTATTGGGACCTACAGACACTGGGCGCCAAGGCCCAGGCACAGACTGACCGAGTGAACCTGCGGACCCTGCTCCGCTACTACAACCAGAGCGAGGCGGGTGAGTGACCCCGGCCCGGGGCGCAGATCACTTACTCCCCGCTCCATGCCTCACGGACGGCCCTGGTCCCCTGAGTCTCCGGGTCCAAGATCGACCCCGAGGCTGCGGGACCTGCAGAGATCCTCGACCCGGGAGAGCCCCAGGCGCCTTTACCTGGTTTCATCTTCAGTTGAGGCCAAAATCTCCGCAGGTTGCTAGGGGCGGGGCCGGGGCTCGGTGGGCGGGGCTGACCGCGGGAACTGGGCCTGCGTATCACATCCTCCAGGGAATGTTTGGCTGCGACCTGGGGCCCGACGGGCGTCTCCTCCGCGGGTATGAGCAGTATGCCTACGACGGCAAGGATTACATCGCCCTGAACGAGGACCTGCGCTCCTGGACCGCCGCGGATACCGCGGCTCAGATTACCCAGCGCAAGTATGAGGCGGCCAATGTGGCTGAGCAAAGGAGAGCCTACCTGGAGGGCACCTGCATGGAGTGGCTCCGCAGACACCTGGAGAACGGGAAGGAGACGCTGCAGCGCGCGGGTACCAGGGGCCATGGGGAGCCTGCTCGATCTCCTGTAGATCTCCCGGGCTGGCCTCGCACAAGGAGGGGAAGAAAATGGAAACACCACCAGAATATCGCCCTCCCTCCTGTCCTGACGGAGAGGAATCCTCCTGGGTTTCCAGATCCTGTATCAGAGATTGACTCTGAGGGCCCACCCTGCTCTTCCTGGGACAATTAAGGGATGAAGTCTCTGAAGGAGTGGAGGGGAAGACAATCCCTGGAAGACTGATCCGCGGTCCCCTTTCACCCCACAGCAACCTTGGGCACCAGGACTTTTCCTCCCGGGCCTTGTTCTCTGCCTCACACTCAATGTGTCGGAGTCTGACTCCAGCTCCTCTGAGTCCCTTGGCCTCCACTCAGATCAGGACCAGAAGTCCCTGCTACCCTGCTCAGAGACTAGAACTTTCCAAGGAATAGGAGATTATCCCAGGCGCCTGTGTCGAGGCTGGTGTCTGGGCTCTGTGCTCCCTTCCCCACCCCAGGTGTCCTATTCATCAGGATGGTCACATGGGCGCTGCTGGGGTGTCCCATGAGGAATGCAAAGTGCCTGAGTTTTCTGACTCTTCCTTTCAGACCCCCCCAAGACACACGTGACCCACCACCCTGTCTCTGAACATGAGGCATAACGAGGTGCTGGGTTCTGGGCTTCTACCCTGCGGAGATCACATTGACCTGGCAGCGGGATGGGGAGGACCAGACCCAGGACATGGAGCTCGTGGAGACCAGGCCCACAGGGGATGGAACCTTCCAGAAGTGGGCGGTTGTGGTAGTGCCTTCTGGAGAGGAACAGAGATACACATGCCATGTGCAGCACAAGGGGCTGCCCAAGCCCCTCATCCTGAGATGGGGTAAGGAGAGAGATGGGGGCGGTCATGTCTCTTAGGGAAAGCAGGAGCCCCTCTGGAGACCTTTAGCAGGGTCGGGGCTGGGTCCTGGAGGTCAGAACCCTCACATTCCCCTCCTTTCCCAGAGCCCTCTCCCCAGCCCACCATCCCCATTGTGGGTATCATTGCTGGCCTGGTTCTCCTTGGAGCTGTGGTCACTGCTGTGATGTGGAGGAAGAAGAGCTCAGGTGGGGAAGGGGTGAGGAGTGGGGTTTGAGTTTTCTTGTCCCACTGGGGGTTTCAAGCTCCAGGTAGAAATGTGTTCTGCCTGGTTACCGGGAAGCACCATCCACATTCATGGGCCTACCCAGCCTGGACCCTGTGTGCCAGCACTTACTCTTTTGTAAGCACCTGTGACAATGAAGGACAGATTTCTCACCTTGATGATTGTAGTGATGGGGATCTGACCCCAGTAATCACAGGTCAGGGGAAGGTCCCTGCTGAGGACAGACCTTAGGAGGGCAGTTGGTCCAGGACCCACATCTGCTTTCCTTGTTTTTCCTGATCCTGCCCTTGGTTTGCAGTCACACATTTCTGGAAACTTCTCGAGGGTCCAAGACTAGGAGCTTCCTCTAGGACCTCATGGCCCTGCTACCTTCCTGGCCTCTCACAGGACGTTTTCTTCCCGCAGATAGAAAAGGAGGGAGCTACTCTCAGGCTGCAAGTAAGTATGAAGGAGGCTGATCCCTGAGATCCTTGGGATATTGTGGTTGGGAGCCCATGGGGGAGCTCACCCACCCCACAATTCCTCCTCTAGCCACATCTCCTGTGGGATCTCACCAGGTTCTGTTTTTGTTCTACCCCAGGCAGCCAAAGTGCCCAGGGCTCTGATGTGTCTCTCACGGCTTGTAAAGGTGAGACCCTGGGGAGGCTGATGTGTGTGGGTTGTTGGGGTAACAGTGGATATAGCTGTGCTATGGGGTTTCTTTGACTTGGATGTATTCAGCACATGATGGGCTGTTGAAGGTGTGACCCCTCACTGTGAGTGATATGAATTTGTTCATGAATATTTTTTCTATAGTGTGAGACAGCTGCCTTGTGTGGGACTGAGAGGCAAGATTTGTTCATGCCTTCCCTTTGTGACTTCAAGAACCCTGACTTCTCTTTCTGCAAAGGCATCTGAATGTGTCTGTGTCCCTATAGGCATAATGTGAGGTGGTGGGGAGACCAGCCCACACCCGTGTCCACCATGACCCTGTTCCCCACACTGACCTACATTCCTTCCCCGATCACCTTTCCTGTTCCAGAGAAGTGGTGCTGGGATGTCTCCATCTCTGTCTCAACTTCATGGTGCACTGAGCTGTAACTTCTTACTTCCCTATTAAAATTAGAATCTGAGTATAAATTTACTTTTTTCAAATTATTTCCATGACGGGTTGATGGGTTAATTAAAGGAGAAGATTCCTAAAATTTGAGAGACAAAATAAATGGAAGACATGAGAACCTTCCAGAGTCCACGTGTTTCTTGTGCTGATTTGTTGCAGGGGAGGAGAGTAGATGGGGCTGTGCCCAGTGTGTGCTCAGGCCACCATGGGCTTTATGTGGTCACAGCTCACCTGGGTCATCTTTGCTGCTCCATTGTCCTTGGCCCTTCAGTAGAACCTTGTCCCACCAGGACCTGTGATCACAGGGACTTGGATGTCACCTAGGGTGGTCCCTACACATCGAAGTCCTTCCGGTATCAAGAGACAAATTTTCAGTCCCCTGTATCTTTTGCCCTCCTTCCAGGTCTCTTTCCTGGATTGTATTTTCCATCTTTTTCCCCAACCTTCTTAAAGGAAGCAGATTCTGAAATTTGCAGAGAGGAGGGGTCCCATAGTTTCTCATCGTAGGTAACTTTCTGTTGGAACTCCTCTTCTGCTCTCCTACTCTTCTTCCTGCCTGAGTTGTAGTAATCCCAGTGCTGGCTCCAATCCAAACTCATGCATTTATAAAGCAGAGTCTGATTTAGATTTATATGGGGTTGGAAAATTGGACCCACAAGGCTAGGATTATCTTTCCTGAACAGAAAAATATGGCTGTGCGCTGCAGTGTGCAGGAGGGTTGGTGTGGGAGGAGGTGGGAAGGACACACAAGCAGCCCTGGTGAGAAAAGCACTGGCAGCACTGATGTTGGTGTGAGATGATGTTGTTCTTTAGCTACGTTAATAAAGATATTGCCTTTAGAATACAGAGGTGCTCTACAGTGATCATTCATTCAACTGACATTTGTTGTCTGCTAGGTATATGACTGTTTTTGCATTTAGAAAACATCATTAAAGTAAAAACAGAAAAATTTCTGGCCTTGTGGTGTATACGTTCTAGATGCAAGCTTGTCCAACCTGCAGCTCTCGGGCTGCGTGTGGCCCGGGACAGCTTTGAATGTAAGAAGTTTTTTTGCTTATCTGTGGTAGCAAATATCATGAAAATTATGCACGCACATGTTTTTCTTTTTTCTATTCTTTCTGCTCATCAGCTGTCATTAGTGTATTTTATGTGTGGCTCAAGACAATGCTTATTCTTCCCAACTGGCCCAGGGAAGCCAAAAAATTGGACACCTCTGTAGGCAGATGATAGATATAGTATAAGCAGAGTAGGAACAGAAAATGCTTGAGTTAGAAGGTGGCAAGTGCTGTGTGGCAGGTGATCCAGAGGGTGGGCTGTGGGGACAGGAAGGTGGCTGTTGTGCTGGGTGGTCAGCATGGGCCTTGTTGCAAATGTGACCTTGGAGTAAAGATTTGAGGGATGTGAGGAGTTGTCTACAAGGATGTCTGGGAAAGTTCTTTTCAGGCAGGGGAACCTTCAGTGCAGATGCACTAGGGCAGGAAATTGTCTGTGTTCCTGGAAGGAGGAAGAAGCCAGAAGGGCTGGACACAGAGAAACTGAAGTGAGGTCAAAGGTGTGGCTAGAGCAGGTAGCCCTGAAGGGTGTGGGAAGGGTGTTGACCTTTGCTCTGAATGACATGGGGAGGACAGTTTTGAAAAGTGGGACATGGTAGGGCTCATCCTTTGAAAGCTTCTTTCTGGCTGCTGTGCTGAGAACAAAATTGAGAGGTGGGGGACTAGTGAGGCAGTGGGGAAAACGGTGGGAAAGGAGTGCAGTATTCCAGGATGGAGACGTCGCTTACCTTGACTAGGGTGTGAGCAGGGGAAATAGTGAGAAGTGAAGGGATTCTGGATGAATTTGAAGATGGACTCACAGCACTTGCTAATGGATGTGAGAAGAAGAATCAAGGACACCCACAGTATTGGACTGAGTGAGCAGAAGGGTGGAGCTGCTGTCAGTGGAGATGGGGAGACTCTGGCAGGAGCACACAGAGGAGAGGGCATCGCAGGCATTCAATGGAGGAGACATCTATGAGGAATGCAGGTGAGGGGCCCAGATGCCTCTGCAGCTACAGATTCATCATCCAATCACTCTCCTACTCCCACCACCCCTGTGTCTCAGAGCCAGAGCACTGATTCTCCCCTGGGCTGTGGGCACAGGTAGGTGAAAGTCAGGGAAGTTGTGGTCTGCTATTGGTTATAATAAGTCACAGATCATTATGCTTTCTCAGACAATTAAAGAAATAATAAGAGAATGTGTAATTAGGACACTTAGAAGACTACAATAATGCAAAGGTTTTTATTCATCTAAAGAAGGTAACATAAGAAAAATAGTTGAGCAAGAAAGAGATAATATTAGAAGGCAGCAAATGACAATGGACAGACTTAAACCCAATGAGGTCAATAATTACATTAAACATAATGGACTCAGACACTCCAATTACAAGACAAATAGTGCAGGGGGGTAAAAATAAATAACCAAATAAATAATCATGGGCTGTTTACAAAAGACATAATTTCAGTAGAAGGTAAAGAAAAGTTGAAAGTAAAAGGATAGAGAATAAATACCAGACAAACATTCATGAAAGACCACATGGAGACGCCATTTAGAAAAATTACAGGATATGAGTCTCCTGAGACATAGAGTACACGTAGACAGCTCACAAGGTCTTTTTCCCTTTTTTCAGAGACAGGGTCTGTTGCCCAGGTTGAAATGCAATGGTGATATCATACCTTACTGTAACCTCAAACTCCTGGGCTGGAGCAATTCTCCTGCCTCAGCCTTCCGAGTAGCTAGGACCACAAGCCTGTGCCGCCACACCTGGCTATAATGTCTCATTTTCTCATTTGCTGTGATGTGAACAAGGAAACAATACCATGCCATGTATTTGACTTGCAGCAGGTACACAACAAATGTCAGGTGAATTAAGAAATAAAACCACTTAGTAATCCAAGCCATATCCACATTTACATCTTACAGTTGAGGAGCAACATCCCAGACAAGTAAAGTAAAATAAATTGATTTACATCATCCAGAGCAGAATCGAGAACACATTCCCTGTGCTAAAGGAATCAGAGCTCTACTAGGGGTCATAGCAGATATCATGCAAGTCACATATGTTAATTACTAGAACAGGAATTGATACATTTCAAGATATACTAAACAAAGGGTTTGGAAGGATTAACTGAATGCAGAAATAGAGGAAGAAAATGGATTTGTTTAAAAGATGGTTAGAATCTTTAAAGAAACAACATTTTTTTAAAGTGGCCTTATGTGGACCAAAGCAGAGATGAACTCAAGTGTCAGGTGGGAAAATGCCTAAGTGCAGCTTCTAGACCCAAGGGAGACCTAAAAATCCTGGGACATTTTCGGTTGTCACATGGGGATTGGTGGGAGGGGGTGAGTGGGGTGCTGCTGGCAAACCTCCCACAATGCACAGGACAGACCACTCCACAAGATTCTCTGTCCCAAACTGTTAATAGTGCTGCTGTTGAGAAACCCGCCCCAGAGGTAAATGCTGTAATGTCCTCACCATTTCACAGATTAAGAAACTGAGGCACCAGGGGGAGAAGTGTCAGTAAGACCTGAGCTGCAGGCTGAATCCAGGCCACTTGGCTACAGGGTCTTGGCTCCCCTGGTTAAGTCAGGGACCCAGTAGCCGACCACAAACAATCCCAGCTGCACGGTGCCTTCATGGTCTGTGGGCGCCTTCATGGTCTGTGGCGCCCCCTGGTGTTGACACTGGGCCTGTGGCCAAATGAGGCTTGAGGGAAAAGGAAAAAACAGGTTTGGGTAGCGGGATCTCCTTCAGGCTCTCCAGATTTCCAGCCACGACTTACGCTCAGAAAAAATAATGTCCACCTTAATTATCTCTCCAACCCTGTTTTTCCCTGTCCCGGCTAGTTCCCTCCCTCGACTCCATCAACATCGGCACCTGCCAGATGCCCACCACCCACCATGTAAGGAGTGAAAAGGCCCCAGGACTAAATGACAAGACGAGGTTCCACCCCAGCCATCCCTCCCCTCCTAGAGCTCTAGCTCTGTGCCTTTAGTGCTTAGGCTCTTAACCTGGGGTCCAGGAACCCACTTTCCTATGACACTGCGTGAAGAAGTGATGTTACACGCACACATGACTTCACTACAGGACATTGGATATTAATATTCATCAGATCAGCTAGAGGCCCAAGATACCACTCTTCTCCCAACAGTTTGTGATCCTCTGAATTAAAGAAAGGGTAGGGATTGAGGGAGGCCCTAACTCCAAATCTTCTACCACTTCTAGCGAAGTGCTGAGAAGAAGTGCAAGGTACTCAACCTGCTCTGGGGATACAGCAGGAAAGCAGAGTGTTTACGGATTTCACATTCCATCAAAGAAAATCCATTTTGACAAAATATCCAAGTCACTTTTCTAAGCCCCAGGCAGCAGTTCAAACAAATAACATCAAAAAACCAAAATCTTGGCCCAGGTGAAATCATTGAAGCTATAAAACTTTGTGAGACCTGTAGTTAGAGAGAAGGACAATTCAGTTTAGGGCTGCAGCAGAAAATTCCTATATCATATTGTGTTCTTCTTCATCATGAAGGTCCCCTGAAGGGACCTTCTCCCTTCAGCAGTGCATAGTGAGGCCATTTCCGTGCAAAAAGATAGAATCTCCTGGGATTCCTGATGTTTACACTTACTACTCACTCCTTCACTTTGTAGATGCCAACTTCACATTAGACATCTTTCAGTTAATTTCCTTACTCTGTCTAAGCAGAATATTTAAACTTCTTTCTGAAGCAGAAAACCAGGGACTGGTTATGTGAGCTATCACCCCACTCTGTGGCTCTCTTAAGCAATAAGCATAAGAGATTGTGGGCCAACAGAATTTGTAGCAAGGTAAACATAACCCTTCATTTCAGCCTATGTTTCAGCTTGTCTAGTGATGTTCCAGTCTTGCTCCAGTCTTAACATTTTAAAATTTATAATTTTACTTGAATATGATTTTATAAGAAGTCATATATATTCATTTCTGTTGAGTCTGTCAGTGAAAGCCTTCTCAAAACAACTGTGAAGTAAAGACAGGTAAATAAATGCATGGTGCTCCCATGTATTAATGCTCACTGCATCTTACAAATGTGTCAGCCCCACTGCAACAGATGGTGCATCAACAAATGGTGCTGGAAACCTGGATATCAACATGCAAAAGAATGATGCTGGAAAAAATTCATGTCCTTCCATTACACCCTTTTCAAAAATTAAGTCAGAATGACTCAAAGAACTAATCTTAAGAATTGAACCTGTAAAACCCTCAAGAAAATACTGAGGAAAATCTTATGGACATTAGAATTGGTAGTGGTTTCTTGGCTGGTGACCAATAGTACAAGTAATATAAGAAAAATGACAAATTAGAATGCATCAAAATTTAAAAACTTTTTTGCATCAAAGGACACTATTAAGAGAATCAAAAGAAAATGCACAGACTAGGAGGAAATATTTGCCAATCACATATCTGATAAAGAATTAATATCCAGAATATGTAAAGAACTACAATTCAACAATAGCAAAACAATCTCATTCAAAAATAAGTAAAAGACATGAATAGACAATTCTCCAAAGAAGATATACAATAAGGACATAAAAATAAGGAATGCTGGTCAGGCATGGTGGCTCATGCCTGTAATCCCAGTACTTTGGGAGGCCGAGGTGGGCGGATCACGAGGTCAAGAGATCAAGACCATCCTGGCCAACATGGTGAAACCCCGTCTGTACTAAAAAAATACAAATATTAGTTGGGCATGGTGGCAGGTACCTGTAGTCCCAGCTACTCAGGAGGCTGAGGTAGGAGAATCACTTGAACCTGGGAAGTGGAGGTTACAGCGAGCCGAGATTGTGCCACTGCACTCCAGCCTGGCAACAGAGCAAGACTCTGTTTCACAAAAAAAAAAAAAAAAGGAATGCCAATAAGGACATAAAAATATGGTAAACTTCACTAGGCCAAGTGTTGGTGAAGATATGGAGAAACTGGAACACTTGTACACTGCTGGTGAGAGTATACAGTGGTGCAGCCACCATGGAAAACAGAATAGTGATTCCTCAAGAAAGTAAAAATAGAATTACTATATGAGCCAACAATTCCACTTTTGGGCATACCCAAAAGAACTGAAAGCAGGAACTCACCCAGATATGTGTACACTCAGGCCCATAGCAGCACTATACCCAATATCCAAAAGGTGGAAGCAACCGAGTGTCCATCAGAGGATGACTGGATAAACAACCCACGGTGCACATAAGCATGGAATATTATTCAGCCTTAAAAGTGAATGAAATTCTAATTGGATGAGCCTTGAAAACACTATAAGTGAAATAAGCCAGAAATAAAAACAAATATGATATTTTACTTATATAAAGTAGCTAGAATAAGCAAATTCATAGAAACAGAAAATAGAATAGAGATTACCAGGGGCTGGGGGTAGGGAGAATGGGCAGTTATGGTTTAATGGGTACAGTTTCTGTTTGGGATGATGAAAATGTTCTGGAAATGGATATTGGCGGTGGTTACACAACACTGTAAATGTGCTTACTGCCACCAAATTGTACACTGAAAAAATGGTTAGAAGGTAAATTATATAGTATGCATGTTTTACCACAATTTACAAAAAATATATCAACACTAAATCCAATCACAGCTCTCATCGAGTTTTTTTATACTGGTGTTTCAACAAGCACATTGCCGCTGTGGAGGGGAGGGGGTCCTTGGAGTTCTTATGCCACCATGTTCTTTGGTGTCACTTCTCAGCACAACTTTGGTGGTCAGAGCACAACTTGGTTTTATACATTTTAAGGGGACATGAGACAGTGATCAACATATGTAAGCTAAAGATTGATTCCGTCTGGAAAGGCGGGACAACTCGAAGCAAGGAGGGGGCTTCCAGGTCACAGATAGATGAGAGACAAATGGTTGCATTCTTTTGAGTTTCCGATTAGCCTTTCCAAATGAGGGAATCAGACATGTGTTTATCTCAGTGAGCAGAGGGGCGACTCTGAACAGATGGGAGGCAGGTTTACCCTAAGCAGTTCCCAGCTTGACTTTTCCCTTTAGCTTAGTAATTTTGGGGCCCCAAGATTTTATTTTCCTTTTACAGAACCATCAATACTTACAGAAAAAAAAAAACCCTGAATGTACACAAACCTCTATACCAAACTACCAATTTATAGAAAATACAGGTAATAGAAATACATTAAACCACACCTTGGCGTGCAATCCACAAAATGCAAACAATAGGAAACCTTACCATACAATATAAATTTTAAGGAGAAACCTATGGAACAAATGAGAACAAAAAACATATTTTTAAAGGTAAAACTAAACTATAATTTTGGATGATGAAAATATAAAGTCCAGCATAGGGAAGCAGTTCCTTTAGAATTTTAGTCACAATTAATGGAAGGGTACTGAAACCTGCTATTTCCCAGTTGAATAACAGGTCCTGGGGATATAGAAGGTCTTGCCACAAGTTGAATCCATAACTGCTGCTTTCCTGGTACCAGGGAGAACAGGTTTCCTATCAAGGACTGGGTAGGAGTGTTTGCCAGGCCTGTATCAGCTATTGCCCAAGTTTCCACTTTACAAAAGTGCCATGCATACATGCAACAACATAGTGCCTTCTCCATGCATCCCTTAAGAGATGAACTGCATGCTATCTTAGGGCCAGTACATTATGAGTCCAGTGCTGCCCCTATTGTGGAGCCCTCACAGGAGATGTCTCCAGTGGTACATGAAGGCATGGCCCTCATTCCTGATAATGCTTGGTACTTAGATGCATTGAGCCAAGGTAACCCTGTGTATGGACAGTAGTAGCTGCACAACCACAGACAGTATCTGGTTTGAGATGGGAATGCAACAGAGCAGTCAATGGGCAGAACTCCAAGCTGCATGGTTGGTTTGTACCCGTGAGCCACCACCTATAGTTCTCTGTACAGACAGTCTGGCAGTACTTAAGGGTCTTACAATTTGGCTTGCCCAAAGGGCCTGAGATGATTGGTATATAATTTAAAAATCCTTATGGGGAGCTGATATGTGGAAAGACATTTGGAAAAGTCTACAGGAACCCACTGTGGACCTAATTGCTTCAGCACACTGGTCAGATTCACCTCCCAGAAACATGGAGGCAGACATCCTAGCAAAAATTAGAATACTGAGCTAGTTGATTAGGTACATATCACAGTGGGGATTTCAGTGCATGAATGGGCTGCCAAATAGCAAAGGGAGCAGGATTGGCTCTCTGCTATGCAAATTTAGTGGTGGCGGTAGCAAACTGCTTAATTTGTTCCCGTCTGTACCTCTGCCACATCCCACATACACCTGGACATATACATAAGACAGCCACCCCTGTGACAGACTGGTAGATAGACTACATCAGACCCTTGCCAGTAATCTTGAGACGAAAGTATGCACTAACATGTGTATACACTGCCATGGGATTGTTGCAAGCTTTCCCTTGTAAGAGCAAACCAAACAGCCACCATCAGGGGCTTGGAGCAACTCAGTGTCATGTAAGGATACCCTCCACATATTGATAGCAATCGAGGCATGCATTTCACCAGACACGGTGTCCAAGACTGGATGCATGAAAGGGACATAGACTGGGTATTTCACTTACTGTATACTCCCCCAAGCAACAGGGTTGATTGAAAGGAAAAATGGTATTTTGAAGGCACAGTTTTGAGCACTCTCAAAATCCAATATCTTTCATAGTTAGACAAAGATTTTGCCTCAAGCCATTAGAAACCTTAATTTAGTTGAGACAAATATGGTGCTGGCACCACACCAATGACTCAGGACCACCACAGAGATGGATCCATTAACCATAGTAGTAAAGAAAGTCCAACCAGATGCATCTCTGACCTGAGCAGATAAAAGGCCAATGGCAAAGGTTATTTAGAACTCCTCAAGATCTTGAGCCAGGGAGGAGACACTTGAATGGGGGTTGGACTAGCAACTTCCCCTATGTTGGATAGAGCATTTCTTTCCAGACAGCAAGGAATTCCCTACCAACTAAAGTGGTCTCCATTGATCCTGCTGAAGTCTGGGCCAAAACACTCCACATACCAATAAACTGGAACACAGTCCCTTTTAAGAAGCACCCTGGCTGGCCATTTGACATGGTCCTTTGCTGCCCCTGTAACCTTACACATAATACCAGCGCCTTTGCCCCTCAGGCAACATGTTTGGTGTGTACTCCCAGCCCACAATCCTATGTTCCTAATCAACAGAGATGGAGCTACCAGTAATTCTGTTTAATGGGGAAGAACTGCCCCACCAAATACCTACTAAACATTTTTAATTCCACCCATAGTCTTCTGTTCCTATTGTTGTTCTGCTCTATACCTCTTGGTTTGGTTCCTGAATAAACATGGTAAAGGGCATTTTTAATTCTGTGTCTTACACCTGGCATACATATCATCGCCTGTTGTTTGTGTTGTTGCTGTGGCCCCTGCTTAACAAGTAGAAAACAAATTGATAAAATGTGTCACTCACACCATCAAAATGTCACCCACAGCCCCCTCTGAAGGCTCAGGGACTATGGGGGAAATGTGAGTCCATGAGATTGTAAGAGCTGGATTAGAGGGCTGGGATGTGGAGAGAAAAGTGACTCCCTCTTGGATGCTAATTCTCTATGCTGACTTCTGATTAGCCCCAGTCCCAGGACTGACTCCTGATTCCTACTTTATTTACCATCCCTATTGTAAGAACATGTCAACCTTGATGTTATACAAATTCTAGGCTATGACACATTAGCATTCTTACCTGTTCTGGACAGTAGTAGCCTTTGTCTTGCACAGAGCATGTATACTCTTCCCCTGTGGTATATAAGCCCTGGGTGTGGGGGTAATAAGTGCAGAAACCTACCTGTCTTGCTGCCATCCAAGACCACGCTTCTGTCTGTAAGTTCCCCAATAAAACACTCTTTACTGACAAACTAGATTTGTCTGTCTTGTTCCTTGGTTTATTGGCTCCTTTGGCATTTGGGGGGCACTTTGCATAGATGGCCCTTTCATGGAACAGAGGGTCTGTGTGGGGCTGGGAGCCCAAGTCAGCACTTGCAGTCAGAGCCTAGAACATGTGCTGAGGAGACAGAGCTAGACCTGTTAGCAGAGACAGACCTGTTAGCGGAGTGGATAACTGGGCCAGCAGGTCTGAAGTAACGCTATGGAAGAGCAGGCCAGTAACAGCTGAAGAGCTTCAGAAACTCCCACTTCTAACAAGGTCACTTCCTCTAAGAGGGACTACTGTTGTATCATAGTACACAGCTGTCTCTGCCTGGCTGTCCTAGTAAATATGCAGCATTTGGGGGCATCCACACTACTGGAACAGTAGCCATGAGAAGAGTCCATTGTGCCAGCTTAATTGCACCCAACTGTACAATGAGAACATGGGGATCAGTGTGTTCTGCTACTTCTCTGCTTAGCATTCCTGATATACCTGCTTTACATAGGCACCATGTGGCACCGTGGTGTGTGCCTGTGCCACTTTGAATCACATTTGGGTATCTATTGGAAGGCTTCTTCGGGACTGTTGTGACACCAACTACACTATGGACTGATCCCTGTCAGAAGGTAACAAAGGGGCAAGGGACAGCATTTCCAGTCTAAGCCCTGGAATGTGCGTGGCATCAAACTGTTTTGCATTTGTGAGCAGGAATACAACTGCTGGACAACAGATATTCCATCAGCCAACAGAAACTGTGACTGGCTTTAAAGAAAATGGGCTTCCCTTGGTCTTGGGAACACAAGACTCAGCAGTATAGAAACAGAAATGGTTGCAGGTGGAGGAAGCACTTTCACCGGAGTCAGGAAAGCATGAATAACACAAAATCTTCAGCGTTTCCTCCCTTCTCTCTCCTGAGCTTTCTGCACCTCTGCTGTAGCAGTGATGGCAGCAGTGTGGAGAACACAGCCTCAGGGAACAACCAAGGTCCAGGATCACTAGCAAAGGTTATGAGAAACTATGACTTCCTTTAGAAAAAAAAAAAAGGGAAATGAGAGTGCCCAAGGTCTTAGGAGAGGGCTGGTGCAGGCCTGGGGCGTAGTAAATTCTTTAGCTTGTCTAGATTCACCATGCCAAGTGGGGAGGTTGCTTGGGTCAGACTATATTAAAGGACAGCATCTCCACCCTCCCCTAGAAGTCTCAGAATGTCCACTGACTGTGGCTTTAGTGGTCCTTGAACAGAAATTTGGTAACATGAAGAGTAGCAGATGCTGGCATGGTAAGATTACAAATGTGTATCAGAAGAATTATTTTGTGGGTAACAGAAAAAACAACATATAAAGAAACAAGTTAATACCATGAGAATGTCATTAGCCAAACTCAGAATGTGGATCATTCTACAGGACAAGTAACCTGGCTTTTTTGGGGAAACAGAAGCATAGGAGAGCCAGGGTGACACCATTTTAAAGTCAACTCCATCTTTCAACTAGCAAGGCATATTCCTTGCCAGTCACAACCCATGGTCATAAGAGGTTTACAGCTGATTAAACAACTTAATAATGCCTGCAAGAACAAACGCCTATGACAGACAACAGAATGTCCACATGTCCTGACGTCACATTATAATATATGCTTTTAAGATTATTATAGTCATGCTTTGATATACTAACTAAAATGCCAAGGATAACTTTCTTTAAATCAATAGGTCCTAAATTTTGTCATGCTGTCAGAGCACCCACACATAGACATTTAACTTAGCTTTTATGTAGATTAAACCCCTACATTAGAAGAGTTTACAACAAAGATGGTGCATTCTTCCTTTTGCTTTCTGAGGACACCTACTCTGTATCTGAGTAACTTTCAATAAACTATCTCCTTCTCACTGCACTCTGTGACTCACCTTTAATTCCTTCCTGTGCAAGATCCAAGAATACTCTTTTGGGGTCGGGATCGGGACCTGTTTTTCTGGTAACAGTTTCTCCAACAAATCAAAGCCTTGAGAAAAAAAAAATAGGTAGGGTGGGTGGTATGGTATAGAAGAACAGAGAATAATGAGACATAAGAAGCAATTGCAATGTGTGGACCTTCTCTAGCTTCTGTTTCAGACAGACCAATTGAAAAAGACAAGACAGATATTTGAATATGCATTGAGTGTTTAGCAAAATTAGAGAACTGTTGTTAATTTTGTTAGTGTGAGAATAGCATGGCTTTATGTTTTTTAAAAACCCTATTCTGTGAAAGATGCATGCTGAACTATTTAACTGTGAAATTGTATGTAAAGGATTTGCTTTTACAATCCTCCAGAGATGAGTTTATAATGATATAAATGATGTGATAAATAAATCAATGGAGGAGAGGAGGCAAAATCTCTCCTGCAGAAGAACTCCAAATAAGGTAGGTAGATACTTTGTCCTTAAAGGAACAGCATTAACTCCCTCTTCTGGAAGTGTGAATTCTTGATATCATGTAATGAAAATGGTACCTCACTTGTGGCTTTCCTACCCCCGAATCCATAACCTCTACTTATTATGAAAAAAAAAAAAAAAAAAAAAAAAAAAAAAAAAACCACCGAATTCCAATAGAGGAACATTCTATAAAATACCTAACTAGTATTCCTCAATAACGTCTAGGTCATCAAAAACAAGGAAAATCTGAGGAATTGTCACAGCCAAGAGGAGCCTAAGGAGGCATGACAACCCCATGTAATAGGGTATCTTGAATGGGACCTTGGAGTAGAAAAATATTATTAGGTAAAACTCAAGGACACCTGAGTAATGTATGACTTTTGGTTAAAAATAATGCATCAATATTGGTTCAATAATTGTAAGAAATGAACCATACTAATGTTAGATGTTAATAACAGGAGAAACAACTTCTCAATTTTCCTGTAGTTAAAACTGTTCTAGAACTGAAGTCTATTTTTTAAAATTCTCCTGGAAAAAAGTGGAAACATATGAAATATGATGGACAAATGTTAGTAATTATTGAATGTGATGATGGATAATGAGAATTCATTATATAATTCTGTTTTTGTGTATTTGAAGTTTTCTATAATGGAAAGTTTGAGGCTGGGCACAGTGGCTCAAACCTATAATCCCAGCACTTTGGGAGGCCAAGAGTTCAAGACCAGCCTGGGCAATGTAGTGAGACCCCATCTCTACCAAAAAACAGAAAAATTAGCCAGGTGTGGTGGGCTTGCACCTGTAGTCCTAGCTACTCAGGAGGCTGAGGTGAGAGGATCACTTGAGCCCAGAAGGCCAAGGCTGCAGTGAGCCATGATGTCATTGTACTCCAGTCTAGGTGACAGAGTGAAACCTTGTCTCCAAAAATAAAAAATAAAAAAAGTTTGAACAAGAAATAAAGAAATATGGAGATAAGGATAAGAAGAAGCTATTTAAAGCATTAGAGTAGCTGCTTTTTTAAATTATGGTTAAAAAAATATATAATAAAATTTACCATTTTGCCATTTTTAAGTGTATAGTTCTATGACATTAAGTATATTCATGCTGTGTAACCATCACCACCCTCCATCTCCAGAACTTTTTCATCTTCCCAAACTAAATGCTAGGTCTATTAAGCAACATCTCCTCACTCTCTCCTCCTCCCAGCCCCTGATAACCTCCATTCTACATTCTGTCTATGAATCTTACTAAACTAGGTGAATCATGTAAGTGGATTCATACAATATTTTTCCTTTTCAGTCTGATTTATTTAATCTAGCTTCATGTCTTCAAGGTTCATACATAATACAGGAAAATAATTTCCTTCCTTCTTCTGAAAAATATTCCACTGTATGGATCTACCATACTTTGTTCATCCATCGATGGATGTATACTCTGTTGCTTCTACCTTTTGGCAGTTGTGAATAATGTTGTTATAAACATGATGTACAAATATCTGCTTGGTCTCTGCTTTAACTTCTTTTGGGTCTGTACCCAGAAGAGGAATTGCTGGATCATATGTCAATTCTATGTTTAATTTTTTGAAGAACAAAAAGTGGCCTCTTCTACAAAACAGAAATTTTCAGATTAGGAGATGTGGGACAGGGAAAAATTCCTGTCTCTGAAAAGTTAAGAGTTTTCACTATAAGCTTTGTAGAACCATTTTTAAATAGTATATGATAAAAATGAAGTAAAGTATGCAATAAAACTCATCTTGTGCTAGGTACTGGAGATACATGGAGGGAGCCCTCAGTCCTCTGGGGGAAGAACCTGGTTATAGAACAGTGTGATCACAGGTGCAACACAGAGAAGACTCCAGGGACAAGCACAGAAAATAGCCATCAAGGGAGATTCTTTGCACGCCATGCAGAAGTGCCCTACAGGAGGTGACGTGGGAGTGAAGGAGGAAAATATGACATTCTGAGTTGGAGAATTGGAAGATTAAACTTGGAATGATGTCAGCACTGAGATTCTGGGATCATATTGTACAACTGGCCCCATCTCAGCACTAACACTGTGAAATCTTACCTTTCTTATGTCTTCAAATTGTGGCCCTATATTTAGCTTCTATATCTTTCTTTGACTAAATCTCAAAACTAAAATTGGTCCTGATTCCAGGGGAGGTGTTTCTCTGACTCCTCTCTTTTGAATCTCATAGCCTGACATTTTCTCTTCATCTTGAAGACCATATTCAGGAGGGACCCTAGGAACTCTGTATCTCAGCATGTGAGGCTTCAGGCCAAGGGGTGCTAATTTGATTCTGAAAGATCTTATCTGCCTCCAGCGCCATAAGGTCCTGATGAAATGTCTAGCATCTTTGTGGAAATTCAAGTGTCTCCATACAGCATTATATGTCTTGGAGATTATGTATATGAAAAGCTTTACAGATAGGTGTGTCTCAGTGATGCTGTGCAGAGTAACCTGTGGCCTAAGTCAAGTCAGAAAATGCTTTTGACTCTATATTTCTCAAAAATGTAAGTCTTAAAATTTGGCTATGGATGGGAAAATATTACATAATTGAAAGGATAAATATAAGTATGCCAATCAGCCAAAAACACTGCAAATGTTTAATGCAGATTTAAGTTTTCCCTCAAAAACTGTTAATAAATTAATAGTGCAGCTTACAAATGATGAAAAGAGCTGAGACGTTTAAAAAAACTTTCCAAGTGTCAGGTCCTGGTACTTTACATTTATTCTACCTCCTAATCCTTATACTAGGTCAAAGCTCATTTTATGTCTTCAAGATTCAGATGTAACACTGGGAATGAGAAAGGTTAATATAAGTGATATGTCCAGGACTATACTTCTAGTAATTATAGCTCACTGATGGAGAGAACATTAAAATCTGTTTGGCCTTCACTTAAAAACAAATAATATTTGTGTTATAGAAGCAAGACCTTTTTAGTCACAAGTTAATAATTTTAAAGAAAAGATTCAACATGTAAATTTATCTGGAAAGGCCAGGGGTGAGGCTGCGTAGAGACATGATTAGATTCAGAGATACATTTGTCATCAGATCTCTCTGTACTTCTAAAGAAGATAGCCAATATCAGCTTATCAGCTCCAACTCCTCTCATATTATTCTACCTTAACAGCTTCAGCAGAAAAACAGACATCTTTCTCACAATGTTCATAAATAAAGAACCAGAGAAGATGACCTTTGGACCAATACCTGTTGTTATGGAGATGTGGTACAGTGTGGGAAACTCTGATTGGTCAGGGCTGGGTCATGTTATTTCCTCATCCCCTGGTCCATTATATTATTTCTTAAGTTATTTAAAGTCATGGCTACTATTTTTATTTATTTTAATTGACATAATTATACATATTGATATAGTACAGTGTGATATTTTGATACATGTATACAATGTGTAATAAGCAAATAAGGGTATTTAGCCTATGCATCACATCAAACGTTTACCATTTCTTTGTGATGGAAACATTCAAAATCATATCAAAAAGATAATCCACCACAATCAAGTGGGTTTCATACCAGGGAAGAAGGGATGGTTGAACACACTCAAGTCAATAAATGTGACACACCACATAAACAGAATTAAAAACAAAAATCACATGATCATCTCAATAGATGCAAAAAAAACATTCAACAAAATCTGGCATCCTTTATGATTAAAGCTCTCAGCAAAATCGGCATACAAGGAACATACCTCAATGTAATCAAAGCCATCTATGAGAAACCCACAGCCAACATAATACTGAGTGGGGAAAAGCTGAAAGCATTCCCTCTGAGAACTGGAACAAGACAATGATGCCCACTCTCACCACTTCTCTTCAACACAGTCCTGAAAGTCCTAGCCAGAGCAGTCAGACAAGGGAAAGAAATAAAGGTCATCCAAATCGGTAAAGAGGAAGCCAAACTGTCACTGTTTGCTGATATGATTGTATACCTAGGAAACTCTAAAGACTCCTCCAAAAAGCTCCTAAAACTGATACAAAAATTCTGCAATATTTCTGGATACAAAATTAATGTACACAAATCAGTAGCTCTCCTATACTCCAACAGTGACCAGGCTGAGAATCAAATCAAGAACTCAATCCCTTTTACGACAGCTGTAAAAAAAAAAAAAAAAAAAAAAACAAACTTAGAAATATACCTAGCCTAAGGAGGTGAAAGACCTCTACAAGGAAAACTACAAAACACTGCTGAAAGAAATCACAGATGACACAAGCAAATGGAAACACATCCCATGCTCACGGATGGGTAGAATCAATATTGTGAAAATTACCATACTACCAAAAGAAATCTATAAATTCAATGCAATTCTCATCAAAATACCATGAACATTCTTCACAGAACTAGAAAAAAAAATCTTAAAATTCATATAAAACCCAAAAAAAGCCTGCATAGCAAAAGCGAGACTAAGCAAAAAGAACAAATCTTGAGGCATCACATTACCTGATTTCAAACTATACTATAAGGCCAAAGTCACCAAAACAGCATGGTACTGGTATGAAAATGGGCCCATAGACCAATGGAACAAAATAGAGAACCCAGAAATGAACCCAAATACTTACAGCCAATTGTTCTTCGACAAAGCAAACAAAAACATAAAGTGGGGAAAGGACACCTTATTGAACAAATGGTGCTGGGATAATTGGCTAGCCACATGTAGGAGAATGAAACTGGATCCTCAACTCTCACCTTATACAAAAATCAACCAAGATGGATCAAGCACTTAAAACTAAGACCTGAAACTATACAAATTCTAGAAGATAATATTGAAAAAAACCTCCTAGACATTGGCTTAGGCAAGGATTTCATGACCAAGAACCCAAAAGCAAAATGCAACAAAAACAAAGATAAATAGCTGGGACCCAATGAAACTAAAGAGTGTTTGCACGGCAAAAGAACAGTCAGCAGAGTAAACAGACAACCCACAGAGTGGGAGAAAATCTTCACAATCTATGCATCTGACAAAGGACTAATATCCAGAATCTACAACAAACTCATACAAATTAGCAAGAAAAAGAACAAACAATCTCATCAAAAAGTGGGCTAAGGACATGAGTAGACAATTCTCAAAAGAAGATATACAGCTGGCCAACAAACATATGAAAAAATGCTCAACATCACTAATGATCAGGGAAACGTAAATCAAAACGCCAATGTGATACCACCTTATATCTGCAAGAATGGCCATAATCAAAAAATCAAAAAATAATAGATGTTGGCATGGATGTGGTGAACAGGGAACACTTCTTTTTTTTTTTTTTTTTTTTTTTGAGACGGAGTCTGGCTCTGTAGCCCAGGCTGGAGTGCAGTGGCGCAATCTCGGCTCACTGCAAGCTCCGCCTCCCAGGTTCACACCATTCTCCTGCCTCAGCCTCCCGAGTAGCTGGGACTACAGGCGTCACTGTGTTAGCCAGGATGGTCTCGATCTCCTGACCTCGTGATCCACCCTCCTCGGCCTCCCAAAGTGCTGGGATTACAGGCTGGAGCCACCGTGCCTGGCCTGAACAGAGAACACTTCTACACTGCTGATAGGAATGTAAACTAGTACAACCACTATGGAAAACAAGGTGGAGATTTTTTTAGAGAACTAAAAGTTGAACTACCATTTGATCCAGCAATCCCACAATCCCACAATGGGTATCTGCCCAGAGGAAAATAAGTCATTATATGAAAAAGATACTTGCACACACGTTTATAGCAGCACAATTCACAACTGCAAAAATGTGGAACCAACCCAAATGCCCATCAATCAGTGAGTGGATAAAGAAACTACTCAGCCACAAAAAGGAATGAATTAATGGCATTCACAGCAACCTGGATGCGATTGAAGATTATTATTCCAAGTGAAGTAACTCAGGAATGGAAAACCAAACATCGTATGTTCTCACTCTTAAGTGGGAGCAAAACTATGAGGATACAAAGGCATAAGAATGACACAATGGACTCTGGGGACTCGGGGAAAGGGAGGGAAGAAGGTGAGGGACAAAAAGCTACAATTTGGGTGCAGTGTGTACTGCGTGGGTGATGGGTGCACATTTGCTCCTTTTAAAATACTATTATTATTTTGCTGTTGTTTGAGTTTCTTGTAAATTCTAGCTATTAATCCCTTATCAGATGAATACTTTGCAAATACTTTCATTCTCTAAGTTGCTGTTTTATCTCTGTTGGTTGTTTTCATTGCTGTACAGGAAATTTTTAGTTTGATGTAGTCCCATTCATACATTTTTGCTTCTCTTGCCTGTGCTTTCAAGGTCTTAATCACAAAATCTTTCCTGCGTCCAACACTCTAAAGTGTTTTCTGTATGTTTTCTCCCAGTAGGTTCATAGTTTTGGGTCTTGCATTTAAGTCCTTAACTCATTTTCAGTTGATTTTTGTGAATGGTGAGAGATAGCAGTCTAGTTTCATACTTCCTAATATGGATATCCAGTTTCCCCAGCATCATTTATTGAAGAAACTGCCCTTTCCTCAGTATATGTTCTTGGTGATTTTGTTAAAAATAAATTGAGTGGCTGGGCACGGTGGCTCACGCCTGTAATCCCAGCACTTTGGGAGGCTGAGGCAGACGGATCACGAGGTCAGGAGTTTGAGACCAGCCTGACCAACATGGTGAAACCCCGTCTCTACTAAAATACAAAAATTAGCCAGGCGTGATGGCACACGACTGTCATTCCAGGCTGAGGCAGGAGAATCGCCTGAACTCAGTAGGTGGAGGTTGCAGTGAGCCGAGATCGCACCACTGCACTCCAGCCTGGGTGACAGAGCGAGACTCCGTCTCAAATAAAAAAAAAAGAAAGAAAGAAAAGAAAAAAGAAATTAACTGTAAATATATGGATTTATTTCGGGGTTCTCTATTCTGTCTCATTGGTTTATGTGTCCGTTTTTATGCCAATACCTTGCTTGCCATTTTGGTTACCATAGCTGTATATTTTGAAGTCAGGTACTGTGATACTTCCAGCTTTGTTCTTTTTGCTCAAGATTGTTTTAGCTATTCAGGGTCTTTTGTGGTTCCATACAAATTTTAAGATTTCTTTTTCTATTTCTATACAGAATGACATTGGTATTTTGATAGGTATTGCATTGAATCTGTAGATTGGTTTGGGTAGTATGGTCACTTTAACAATATTAATTCTCCCAATCCATGATAATGGAATATCTTTCAATTTTTTGTGTCCTTTTCTATTTGTTTCATTAGTATTTTATAGTTTTCATTACATACTTGGTTAAATTTATTCCCATGCTTTTTTATAGTTACTGTGAATGAGATTTCTTTCTTGATTTTTCATCATTTTGAGTTTGCCTCTATGGCCTTTATTGTGTTTAGGTACATTCCATCTATACCTAATTGGTTGGAAGTTTTTATCATGAAGTGACATTGAATTTTATCAAATGCTTTTTCTGCAGCTATAGAGATGATAATATTAGTTTTGTCTTTCATTCCACTAATATGCTCTATCATGTTTATTGATTTGTATGGAAAGTCTACAGTTTTTTTATGTTGATTTTATATTCTGTAAATTTACTAAATTTGTTTATCAGTTCTGAGAGTTTTTTGATGGAGTCTTTAGGTTTGTGTATAAATAAGATTATGTCATCTGCAAACAGCAACAATTTGACTTCCTCTTTTCCAATTTGGATGCCTTTAATTTCCTTCTCTTGCCTAATTGCTCTGGGTCGGACCAGTACTATGTGTTTTTGTTGTTGTCATTGCTGTAATCTTTTAAAATTTTCTATCCATTTCCATAGGAATCAGTCTAGTACTATGTTAAATTTGGTAAAAGCAGGCATCCTTATCTTGTTCCAATTCTTAGAGGGAAATCTTTCAACTTTTTTTCCATTATGTAAGTTGTCAACTATCGAATTGTCATATGCAGCCTTTATTGTATTTAGGTACGTTTCATCTATACCTAGTTGGTTGAGAGTTTTTAATCATGAAGTGATGTTGAATTTTACCAAATGCTTTTTCTGCATCTAGAGATGATCATTTTATTTTTGTCCTTCATTCTGTTGATATGATCTATCACGTTTATTGATTTGCAGATATGTAACCATTCTTGCATCCCTGGAACAAATCCCATTTGATCATGGCATATAATCTTTTTGATGTGTTGTGGATTTAGTTTGCTACTATTTTGTTAATTTTTGCATCTGTGTTTATCAGCGTGTAGTTTTTTGTTGTTGTATCCTTCCCTGGTTTTGATAACAAGGTAATGCTTGCTTCCTAGAATAAATTTGAAAGAACCCCTTCCCCCTTCAATTTTTTGGAATAGTTTCAGATGAATTGGTGTCAGTCTCTCTTTAAATGTTTGGTGGAACTGAATAATGAAGGCATCCAGTACTGGGCTTTTCTTTGTTGGGAGACTTTTTATTCCTGATTCAAGCTCATTACTCATTATTGGTATGCTCAGGTTTTTAATTTCTTCTTGGTTCATTCTTGGTATATTTTATGTGTCCAGGTTAAACTTCAGTTGCCTTTATAATCTAATGAGAGCTATGGACCAAAATTTTGGGTAAAGCACTTTCCGTGGCAGTTAGATTTTTTAAAAAAACTTCTTTCATTGCCCCCACCTTTTTTGTTGTTGTTGTTTCAAGTGAGTTATGGGTTTCTTTTTAACTGAATTGTATAAGCAAAATATCTCCAAGTAGCCTTGAATTAGTAACAAATCAATCTTTTGTTTACCAGTCTTGTTTGCTTAATTAGCAAATGTGGGCAGGGAAGAATTTTAGCTGTTTTTTTTTCTTCACCTTTTTCTTTTTGGCTTTTGCATGGCACAAAAAACAAAATTTTTCTGTTGAACAGGGATACCTTCTATTATTGCTCTGAGATCAAGATTTTGACCTATTTGGTCTGAGAGCCTAACTTTTATAAACATTTATTTTTTTTTTCTTTTATGTTACTAATTTTTCAATTAAGTGTTTCATTATTGTACACAGTTGTTAGGGAAACCTAAATTTATATTTATAAAAGGTGTCAGCCAGGTGCGGTGGTTCACGCCTGTAATCCCAGCACTTTGGGAGGCCGAGGCAGGCAGATCACAAGGTCAGGAGATTGAGACCATCCTGGCTAACACGGTGAAACCCCGTCTCTATCAAAAATACAAAAAATTAGCCGGGTGTGGTGGCGGGCACCTGTAGTCCCAGCTACTCAGGAAGCTGAGGCAGGAGAATGGCGTGAACCCGGGAGGCGGCGCTTGCAGTGAGCCCAGATCAGGCCACTGTACTCTAGCCTGGGGGACAGAGTTAGACACCATCTCAAAAAAAAAAAAAAAAAGGTGTCTAGGTGGTTGATTACCATGGAGCTATTGTAATCTGTGAAGCCATTAATTTCAAAGCCTTTAAGACTGTTTTCTTTCCTTGACTGAAATGCCATAAGCAGTGAGTTTTATCTGAACACCTGTAGAAATGTCATCATGTTCAAAGTAGGCAGAAAAAAAAAGAGAGAGAGAGAGAGAACTTCTACATGTTAACTCTATAATTGCTGGTTTTTAAAAATAATGACCATTTCAGTTCTGAATTTTCCTTCATTTTGCCTATCTACTTATAAATGTGCACAAGAAAGTTAACATTGATTTTGAACATTTCAAACCAATTAATACGTCATTGTATTTGTGTGACAACAAATTCCATACAGAAGCTCTTACAGCACTACTTTCAGATGAAAGCAAGTCTGGATTCATCGTAATAGATGGTAGTGGTGCACTTTTTGGCACCCTCCAAGGAAACACAAGAGAAGTCCTGCAAAAACTCACTGTGGATCTCCCAAAGAAACACGGTAAAGGTCAGTCAGCCTTGCGTTTTGCCTGTTTAAGAATGGAAAAGTGACCTAACAATGTTCAGAAAGTAGCAGAGACTGCTGTGCAGCTGTTTATTTCTGGGGACAAAGGGAAGGTGGCTGGTCTAGTTTTAGCTGGATCCGCTGACTTTAAAACTGAACTAAGTCAATCTGATACGTTTGATCAGCGGTTACAATCGAAAGTTTTAAAATTAGTTGATAGGCCGGGCGCGGTGGCTCATGCCTGTAATCCCAGCACTTTGGGAGGCCAAGGCGGGCGGATCACGAGGTCAGGAGATCGAGACCATCCTGGCTAACACGGTGAAACCCTGTGTCTACTAAAAATACAAAAACAAAATTAGCTGGGCGTGGTGGCGGGTGCCTGTGGTCCCAGCTACTTGGGAGGCTGAGGCAGGAGAATGGCGTGAACCTGGGAGGCGGAGCTTGCAGCGAGCCCAGATCACACCACTGCACTCCCGCCTGGGCAACACAGCAAGACTCAGTCTCAAAAAAAAGAAATTAGTTGATATATCCTATGGTGGTGAAAATGGATTCAACCAAGCTGTTGGGTTATCTACTGAAGTCCTCTCCAAAGTGAAATTTATTCAAAAGAAGAAATTAGTAGGGATACATTGATGAAATCAGCCAGGACACAGGCAGGTACTGTTTTGGTGTTGAAGATACACTAAAGGCTTTGGAAATGGGAGCTGTAGAAATTCTAATAGCCTATGAAAATCTGAATATAATGAGATATGTTCTTCATTGCCAAGGCACAAAAGAGGAGAAAATTCTCTAACTCCAGAGCAAGAAAAGGATAAATCTCATTTCACAGACAAAGAGACCAGGCAGGAACATGCGCTTATCAAGAGCATGCCCCTGTTGAAATGGTTTGCTAACAACTATAAAAAAGTCGGAGCTACATTGGAAATTGTCACATATAAATCACAAGAAGGGTCTCAGTTTGTGAAAGGATTTGGTAGAATTGGAGGTCTCTTGTGGTACCAAGTGGATTTCCAAAGAATGGAATACCAAGGAGGAGACGATGAATTTTTTTACCTTGATGACTACTAGGTAGTCGACATGGGTCCGGCAAAACATGCCTCACTCTCCAGCATCCAACCCAAGGAGCATACTCATGATGGAATCCAAACAGATCCCTGCCTTACAATTGGAACATTTCCAGAACTTAATCCATGAGCACTGGATATTGAAAAGAAAACAGAAACAAAACCAGACCCAACCCTACACTTTGGTTTGTCACGGTGTCAGCGTAGCAGCCTACAACTAAGTTCCTAAATGCCACTTTGGACTAATTTAAAAAAGAATCCCAGTTTTTACTTTTACTCGATGGTGAAATTGGCTGCTCTTGTATTTTATTTAAAAAATGATTTTTTTAACCTTTATACAAATAAGCAAAAATACTTTAACTGCTGTAAACCTTCAAAAGTTAATAGAAGTGAGATCGTACTGCTTTCTTATTTTGATTGGAGAGAAATTAAATTGCTACATTTTGCAGTGACCCATTTACATGGCATTCTCAGCTTAGACTGCATAAGAAGAAATATATGTGGTGAAATGTTGGAACCATTTCTCTCTTGGTCTCTGTTTAATGATGAAAGAGTGAGCTAATAGGAGGCAATTTCAACTTCACTCCCTCACGCTACCCCTTCCCCCTCCAGACTGGCCGTTTCAAGGATGAAAATTGCATTGCAAAATCAAACTGACTCATGAAGCATTTGGGCCAGTGCACTGTTTACTTCCATCTGTTTGCAGACACATTTGTGCCCGGTGTTTGGGAGCTCTTTGTATCAATGTTCCGACAAGGGTCCCAATAACCTTAACCTACTCGAAACCAGTTTGGGATGGATATGATGGGGCTTCTGTGCTATTGCTGGGATTGGGAGAAATAAAACATGCAATTTAAGTGGAAGCAAAACAATTAAAAATAAAATAAATAAATCCATTGCCTGATTCCATGTCTCCCTCCAATTACCGCCCCATTTCTCTGACACTCCTTATAGAATAATTCCTTAGTCAATTGTCTCATGATGTTTTTAATATATCAAATGGATTTATGGACAGTGTTTCAAAAGCCAAATACTTCTACAAGGCTTGTTATGAACACAGATGTCCCCAATCTTTCATGTACACCATTTCCTGAATCCTAGAGGCAATCTACTTTATTTATTCTGCCTAATTTTTTGATCGTTACATCTGTGCCTCCAAATAGTGTGTTATAGTGCCATTTTGTTTTTCACTCTTATGTATCATCCTTAGTGTATAGCTCCCTTTCATATACCCCTCTCCTCTCAATATAGTTATTTTATAATTTTGGTTAGCTGGGTGTTCACTATTTATATTATTATGACCACAGAAATGCTATTCACAGCTAGACTAGGAAATGCTATTCACAATTAGATTAGGAAATGCTGTTCACAATTAGATTAGGAAATGCTATTCACAAGGACTATTTTCCTTCCTGGAATTGACTTTTTAATTTCCCTGGAATTAATAAATGTTTTATCCCTTCATGTGCTTAATTTCTGTTGTACTCATTATAAAATCTCTTCCAAATTTCCCTCCAAGGCCTCTGCTATAGTTTGAATGTGTTCCCCAAAGTTCATGTGTTGGAAACTTGATCCCCAATGCAGTGATATTGGAAAGTAAGGCCTAATAGAAGCTGTCTGAGTCATGAGCGCAGAGCCCTCATGAACATATTAATATCATTATTATGGGAGTGAGCCCATAATAATAATATTGTCCTCTCTCTTGCCCTTGACCCACTTGCCATGTGAAGACACAGCAAGAAGGCTCTTGCCAAATGCTGGTGGCTTGATCTTGGATTCCTAGCCTCACAACTGAGAAAACAAATTTCTGTTCTTCATAACTGACCCAGACTATGGCATTCTGTTATAGCAGCATAAATGAACTAAGACAGTCTCCATGAATATATTCAACCATGCCCCGTGTTCTACCAACCTCATCTTTGTGAAGACACTTCCCTTGGTCCTGCCACACGTGGACTGGTGCATGCACATCTGGGCTGATTTCCAAGATCGTCTTCACCTCATCCTGGGCATCCCTCTGCCTCTCTCTTATGCTGGCTCTCCTATTGCCTGGATCCCATGTGTCCCCTTTTTTGGTTTTCTCCATCGTTTTTGTTTCTCATTTCATCCGTGTTCCTAAGGGAACATGGAAAGTAAAATCTGAAAGCCTAAGCTTCTGAAAATGTCTTCAGGCTACCCTAGCACTTATTCCAACCTGGACTTGGTATGGAATTCTGTATTGAAAACATTTTTCCTAGGAATTTCCATGACATTCCATCAACATTTTTTAGCTTCTAATGTTGTTTTTCTTGCCTTTTGATGTTTTTGGGATTTCTTCTTTTCCACCCACCTTCTAAAGTTTCATTGTGATGTGTCTTGGTGTGGGTCTGTTTTCATCTACTATAGTAAGAACTTGGTTGGGGCCATTACAAGTTAAATTTTTGTCTGTAAACTTGGAGAAATTTTTTTATTTTAAATAATTTCTATCTTTCCATTCTTTTAGAATTTGTATTATTAAGTTGCAGGAAATCCTTGACTGATAGCCTAGTATTCATATAGTTTTTCTGTCTTTCTTGACATTGTTTTTCCATTTTTAATATTTAGTGGTAGTACAAATTTACTCTTCCAAGTGATCTATTGAAATACTTATTTAAATGATCACTTTTTGATTTCCAAGAGTGCTTTTTGGTTCTCTGATTGTATATAATTTTATAAAATCCTATTCATCATTTATAAATGCCATATCTTATTATTTCTTTTAGGTATTATTGAGAATAGTGGTAGTGGACCTGTTAGATCTCCTGGTTATCTGCTTTCATGGTACCATGAACTTTTCTTCACCACACTTAGCTCAGCAGTAATTTTATATTTCTCTTTGTAAGTTCTGCTAAATGTGCATCTCCTTCATGACAGTGCAAACATCAAATTGCCAGCATCTTACTTTTGCTCTTCACTGTATCTTCAGGGTCTAGTAGATCACATGATTCATCAGAGGACTTGAAATACATGCTGAATGAGGAAATATAAGTGTGGTTAGGCAGGGAAGTCAGACTTCCTTGATCAATTGCCCCTTGATGTTCTCCTGAGCACTGTATCTCATGACCTCCTGTCATAGAACATTCAGGGACATTGAAAGAGTTCACTGGCATGGGATACAGCGTCATATCCACCACCAGATGGACAGGGAATCAGTGAAAGATGATTCCATTAAGAGAAAATTCCCTGGGTCCACTCCACCCCCACCACCTGCTTAACCTCTCTGAGTCTCCCTTTCCCTGTCTATACAAAGATATCACATATTGGGCTTCTCATGGGTTTGCATTGAAGATCAAATTTGACTCTCTCAGTAAAACACATGGTATTATACCTTGAGGTATATTAAGTGTTCTGCTACTCATAGCTACTATCCCTATATTGATTACAGCATTTGGATTGTTTCAATCATTTTGCTTTTATAAACCAAAATTCAAGAAACATCCTTGAACATATATTTTTTAGAATGTGTGCGGTTATCTTCTTAGGAAAAATTCTTGAAAGAGAAATATATGCATTGAAATGTAAGTCCATTTATATTGTTAACATGTTTCGCAAAAGTCCCCTCTAGAAATTTATACCCCAGTGTTTTTTGTTGTTGCTTTGTTTTGTTTTGTTTTGTTTTTGAGACAGAGTCTTGCTCTGTTTCCCAGGCTGGAGTGCGGTGGCACGATCTCGGCTCACTGTAAGCTCCGCCTCCTGGGTTCACACCATTCTCCTGCCTCAGCCTCCCAAGTAGCTGGGACTACAGGCGCCTGCCACCACGCCCGGCTAATTTTTTTTTAATATTTTTAGTAGAGACGGGTTTCACCGTGTTAGCCAGGATGGTCTTGATCTCCTGACCTCGTGATCCACCTGCCTCGGCCTCCCAAAGTATACCCGTTTTTCATCAGCCTTCATGACAGTGTATTTTCCCTACCTCTGGATAATATGCTTATCATTTACTTTCACATATGCCAAACTGACAGATTTTAATTTTCATTCGCATTTCTAATGTCATGTTCTCATTTTTCCTCATATTCATTAATCAGAGTATATTGTCTGATATTTGATTTATTCTTTCCCATATTGCTTTCTAATATTATTATTTTTCTATTGGGATGACTTAAAAATGTTGAATTTGACTAAGAAAAAAAGCAGCTCTTGACTTCTGACACTGACAGTAGGTTTCAGTACTGTTAGAAGCTGTCCTACTGCTCAACACTAGGCCATATTATTCTTTTCTTGGACATAAACCATATTACACAACATCAGACAAGGACGCTCTGGGAACATGATAAAACAAGACAAAACAGGGGCACTACATAATTTAGTATAAGCACAGACAAAAACCAAGGCACTGTGTACCTCACAAAATACCAAACCTCTCCCCCTGCTGGCTAATATGAGTGACGGCTGTTTCTTTACCAGCCACAACTTTATCCTTGCTCTGCTCTGCATTTATTATGGGTAAGATTTATTGGGACAGTCGTAGAAATGTTCCTGCTTTTTGACAACACCCCATCTACAGTCAACCCCTACCTCGTTAGCCCTCCCCAAAAACATCCACTAAAAGACCAAATCCTATATTGCATTTTTTCTAATATCCTCACGCTAAGATGGTGTGCATTCTCTCTTGTGACAATGAGTAATAAACCCCAGTTGTTCAGCTATAGATGTTCCTGGTGGTCTTTGGCTGAAAGACATTGAAATATGCTACCTTTTGTCTTTCCAATTATTTATGTGTCTTTGAATTTGATCACAGGCATATGTTTGTATATTTGTGAGTCTGTGGTTGACATAGAGAAGTTTTATTTTTTTATTTATGGCTTTTCATATTTGGGTCATGCTTACAGAATCCTTTTCTACCTCACAATTGTAAAACTTAACATCTATTTTCATCTAGGTACAGATGATATGAAGAGAGGGAAGTCCCAGAGTGAAGAGAAACACACAGATATGTTTGATTTGGGGAGAAAGCTGGGGGGAATGAGCAAGAAGCAGAGTTCTAAGGTGGAGTTTTAACATTTAAAACCTGGTCAGGTGTGGTGGCTCACGCCTGTAATCCTAGCACTTTTGGAGGGCAAGGTAGGCAGATCACTCGAGGTCAGGAGTTCAAGACCAGCCTGGCCAACATGGTGTATTCACCAAAAAATACAAAAACTAGCCAGGTGTGGTGGTGCGTGCCTGTAGGCCCAGCTACTTGGGAGGCTGAGGTGGAAGAATCACCTGAACCTGGGAGGCGGAGGTTGCAGTGAGCCATGATTGCCCAACTGCAATCCAGCCTGGGTGGCAGAATAAGACTCTATCTCAAAAATGAAAAAGTTTAAATCATTTGCTTATAATTTTAAAATATGTCTACAAAGCCTATAAGATATTTTATATGGCAACTTCAATAAATACTTTCTCTTGGGCTAAGTAATGACTTATATACCTCCTTGTGTTCACCAGGTTATAGAAAACAGTAACACCAAGAGTCTCAATGAAATATTGACAAGGATTAGCTCTGGTGATAAGCATTTTTGAAAATGTATGACCTTGAGTTGATAAATCATGTTTTGGTAATCTATACGTACACTCTAATTGTTAAAATACATATTGAACTTTCTTGGGCCTGCTGTATTTTAGGGATATGTCTAAGACCCACATAGCCAAATCCATGGGTTCTATGTGAAGGTAATTTTAATGTATTTCAATCTGGGAGTCACAAGGTATCTTTTCTTGTGGGGGAGATTGAAAACTAAGAGCACTCTAGATAAGCACTATCAAAAATGGTAACTACTAGCTACACATGGCTATTTATATTTCAATTAATTGAATAAAACTTTTAAAAAATCAACTCTTTATCACACTAGCCACATTCCAAGTGCTCAATAACCACATGTAACTAGTGGCTCCCATATTGGACAGTGCAGATATAGATCAATTTCATCATCACAGAATGTTCTATTGAACAGCACTACTGCTATAGAGATTTTTATGCTCCTCCCAAAATAAAACCTAATCCCCAGTGAGATGATATTTGGAAGTGGGTTTGTTTTAGAGGAAGTGATTATGTCATGAGGTCAGAACTCCCATGAATTGAACTTGTACCCTTATAAAAGAGATTCTAGAAAGCTGTCTTGGCCCTTCTGCCATGGGAGGATGCAGTGAGAGGACAGCTATGAAGAAGCAGGCCCTCACCAGACACAGAGTTAGCTGACACCTTGATATTGGACCTCCCAGCCTCCAGCACTGTGAGAAATATCTTTCTTTTGTTTATAAGCCACCTAATCTAGGGTATTTTTGTTATAGCAGCCTGATGGATTAAGATAACTGCTCTTGGTGCTATGTGGGCCTCAAGTCAAGTGCATTAGACACATCTAAAATGAAAGGGTGACTGGTTGTGGTGACTTACGCCTGTAATCCCAGCACTTTGGGAGGCCAAAGCAGGAGGATCGCTTGAGCTCAGAAGTTTGAAACCAGCCTGGGGAACATAGCAAGATCCCATCTCTACAAAATATTTTTTAAAATTAGCTCTACAAAATATATAATTTTTAAAATTAGCTGGACATGCTGGCAAGTGCCTGTAGTTCCAACAGCTTAAGAGTCTGAGGTGGGAGGATGGCTTGAGCCCCCCGAGAGTTCGCCACTACAGTGAGCCATTATCATGCCACTGCACTCTAGCTTGGGTGACACTGTGAGACCCCATCTTGGAAAAAACAGAAATGAAAGGGCCAATATTATTTCTCATAGAGATTGCAAATTCAAAGTGGGTCAGGAGTGAAATCTCTATTTTGTGCTTTTAGGCGCAAACCATTCCCAGCTCCAAAATGGAAACACATTTGCCACCTCTGTTCCCAGACTAAGGACACTCTCTGCATCCAATTTACAGGTGATAGGTTCTCTTCTATAAGAGCCCAGGGCAAGGCAAACTTAGCGCTAGCTAAGTTTTGGGATGCAGGGAGTCCTGCTCGGGGAGAAAAATTTGGGAAAATGAAGAGGCAAAGGGGCCAGTCAAGAACTCTCCACAGCTTACCCAGAACAGGATTTCTCAAAGTGCAATCTGTGGAACCCTTGTGGGCTGCTGAAACCCCTTCATAGATCCACAAGGTTAAAAGTATTTTTATAATACAATGAAGACATTATTTGTACTAAAGTAAAACTTGACAAGAAGGGAGGCTATGGTACCAAACTGAAATAGTAGTTATTATATTCTTAACCACTTCTTAATTATAGAAGAAAAAACAGGTTTCACTTAAATATGTCCTGGTTGAAGTATCAAAGAATTATTAACTTTATTAAATCTCTATCCCAGAATCCACAGTTTAATATATCTTAAATGAGTAAGTGGGAAGTACGCATAAGGTATTTCTACTACATTCCAAATTAGGATGTTTGAGGCCAGGCGCAGTGGCTCCCACCTGCAATTAATTCTAGCACTGTGGGAGGCCTAGGCAGGTGGATCATTTGAGGTCAGGAGTTCAAGACCAGCTTGGCCAACATGGTGAAACCCTGTCTCTACTAAAAATACAAAATTAGCCAGGCATGGTGGTGCGCACCTGTAGTCCCAGCTACTAGGGAAGCTGAGTCACAAGAATCACTTGAACCCGGGAGGTGGAGGTTTCAGTGAGCCAAAATCATGCCACTGCACTCCAGCCTGGGTAACAGAGCGAGACCCTGTCTTAAAACGAAAACAAAAACAAATTAAAATGTTTGTGTCCACAAAATCATTTTGTGAGTTGTACTAGTCTATTTTTTATGGAATATCCTTTTTACTTGAAAGAATGAATGACAGAAATGATTATCATTTAGACTTGAATATTTGGCTGACACTTTCTCAAAAACGAACATAACCCTGTCCCTTCCACATAATCAACTGATGGTATTATTCCCAATGATAAAAGGCAAGCTCTCAAGAGAAAATTAGAATCCTGGGGAACTTGTATCCACCATCATAAGCCTGATGGCTTCCCAATACTTAACAATCTTTTCTGGTAATATCTGTGGTAATATTAAAAAATGTGATTTTTTGATAACTTGTAGTTAAATGTGTCAACACTGGAAGACATAATGTGGTGAAATTGTGTTTCTTTTTTTAAAAGTCATGTATTATACAAGAAGCATTCAATGTGGAAGTCGGACCTATATATTTTAATGTAACAGCATGTGAAATAGTTATTGATAGTTTCATGTTCCACATTACAAATAACCTTTAAGAAGCTAACACTTCTATCATTTTAGTGTAGTATCAAGGATGAATATCCAGTTTTCTAAAAATGTTATTAAAAACATTCCTGGCCTAGCGAGGTGACTTATACCTGTAATCCCAGCATTTTGGGAGGCCAAGGCAGGAGAATCATTTGAGCCTAGGAGTTCCACCCAGGAGTTCGAATGAGACCCCCATCTCTACAAAAAATAAACAAAATTAGCTGCGGTGGTGTTTCGTGCCTGTGGTCACAGCTGCTCATGAGGCTGAAATGGGAGGATCACTTGAGCCCAGGAATTCGAGGCTGCCGTGTGCTATGATCACACCACTACACTCAAGCCTGGGTGATAGCATGAGACCAAAAGAAACAAACAAACAAACAAAACCCCCCAACAAAACCCAAAACAAGAACAGCAACAAAAATATCATTGTGTGAGGATGGATTTTTTTTCATACACTTCAACCAAACATAACAGATTAACCAAAATAACAGATTAAATGAAGGAGAAGAAAATTCATTAATCTTCTAATGAGACACATAAGAAAAGGATTTACAAACATACAAAATGTAAAAAGATGCACTCTTCTCACTATACTGTTTACTTTGGGAAATACTGACTTTGCATAAAAATATTTCTAACATGCAATGCATTATTAATATTCTAAGTGAATAAAATAATTTAAGTGATTTTAGTTTCTAATATGGTAAATATTAACGTATATAACTCACATAAAATTATCTTCAGAGTCCTCACTAATTCCTAAGAGCATGCAGAGATCCTGAAACCAAAACGTTTGAGAAACGATGACGTAACTCCTAGCTCTGGATTAAGGGAGAATGTGTGACAAAGAGCATTTGGTATAGGAGGAGAAGGGCCAGGCCTTATCCTGTCTCTAGGACTGTGGCAAGGGCTTTGTGTGACCAGGTCAGCCTAGGCTCAGGCTTAGGTCTGGCCCTCAGCCCCCATCTTGTTCATTGTTTTGTTTTGACAGAAGACTATGCCTGTTCTTCTTCTTGTATCTGAGTTCTGGTCTCCAAGTCTCCAATCTCCTCTAGGACAGCCGTAGGAGTTACTTTTTCTGTCATTGTCCTCACAAGCCCTGGGGTGGCCCCTGCACACAGGAGTCTCTGTGGTATCAAGAGACCAATTTTTAGACCCACCCAGCTCTTGTCCTTCCAGGGCTGTTTCCTGGACTGTTCTTCGCATCTTTTCCCCAATCTTTTTCAGGAAATCAAATTCTGGAATTAGAGATCATATCTCGGTTTCTCACCTTAGATAAACTCCTGTTAGGTTTCTAACAGGAATTTATTTTTGGCTCACCTACCCTCTCTCCCTGCCTTTGGCTGTAATAATCCTAGTGCTGGCTCAAATCCAAACTCATGGATGTCTAGACTCTAATTTAATTCACAGTTGGTTGGAAAATAGGGTCCATAAGCCTAGGATCATTTTTTTTTTCTGAAAAGGGAACTATAATTGTCTGCTGTGGTATATGAGGATTGGTGTGGGAGGGAGGCGAGAACAGCATTTGTGAGAAAAGTACAGGCAGCATTGATGTCAACATGAGCGGTTGTTTCACTGTAGCTGCCACAAAACAGCATGTGGTCTGCAGCTACATTAATAAAGATACTGTTTCTAGAATAGGGAGGTGCTGTACACTGGTCATTCATTTAGCCAATATTTGTTGAGTGCTGGCTGTATGAAATGCTAGTTTTACATCTGGAAACTAAAAACAGGCAAAAATTGCTGGCCTTGAGGGGCACATGTTTTAGTGGGAAAACACAGACTATGTACTATAAGCAGAGTAAATAAGGAAAGTGTTTCTGTCAAAAGGTGCTGAGGGGTGTGAGGCAGGTGATCCAGATTGTGGGTGTGTGGGGACAGGGAAGATGGCTGTTTTACTAGGGTGGTCTATGGTCTCACTGGGAATGTGACCTTAAGAGAAAAGATGAATTATCTATGAGGACGTCTGGGGCAGGTTCTTTCCAGGCAGGGGAACCCCCAGTGCAAAGGCACCAGAACAGGAGCACATCTGGGTTGTGGGAGGAGTTGAGGGGGCTCAGATAGCTGCAGCAGTCATTGATATAAGGTCAGAGATTTGGGGAGATCATGTAGGCTTGAGGATACTGGAAGGGTTCTGACTTTGCTCTGAGTGAGATGGGGGAGACACAAACAGCTGTCAGCAGAGTAGAGACTTGGCACATCTTTTAAAAGGATCATCCTGGCTGCTATGCTGAGAACAGAATTGAGAGATGAGGGGTGAGTGAGAAAGTGGGAAAACTGTAGGAAACTAGTGCAGTATTTCAGATTAGCAACTCTGGTTGCTTTGCCTGGAGTGTGAGCAGAGAAAAGAGTGGGAAGTGATTGGATTTCAGACACATTCTCAATATGGACTTCACAGTACTTCCTAATAGATTAAGTCTGGGGTATGAAAAAGAGGAGTCAAAGAGGAACCCCAAAATTTCAGACTGTGCAAGTAGAAAAATGAAGTTGTTGTCAGCACAGATGGGAAAAATTCTGAAAGGGGCATATTTGAGGAGGGGGCACTATAGGCATTCAATTTAGGAAATGTTGAATCTCAGATGTCAGACATTCAAGTGAGGTTGTTGTGTTGGCAGATGGATATGCAAGTTGGAAATGTAGGAGAAATGTCTGGGCTGGGAAAATAGATTTAGGAGTTAATGCCATATTAATGATATTTAAAGCATAGAGCATGCATGAGTCGCCAAGGGAAAGATGGCTATAGAAGAGAAAAAGGACATGGACTGAACCCTGGACCTTCAGTGCTAAGGGATTTCATCAGAACACACTCTGACAGCAGACTGCACAGTTCTAACACCACATCTAGAAAGTAAGTAAATCTGAGAATCTCAAATTTTAGTGTGCGTAGGAATCACCTGGACAACTTTCTAAGATTCAGGTTGTCTGGAGTTGAGAATGAGATTCTGTGTTTATAAAAAAGTTGAGGCAGACACTGATGGTCTTCAGATCACACTTTTAGTAGCAAGAATGTAGACCAGGATTCCCAGGTGGCTGTGCATCAGCCTCACCTGTGGCTTGTTATTCCTGGGATCCATGTTCCACTTCTGAGATGGTGGGTATGGGGAAAGGCCTGAGTATTTTTGTAAAAAATCTACAAGGAATCCTGGTGATCAGCCAGATTGGGAACCACTGAGGTCAGTGATCAACAGTGCCTAGGGTGGGAAAGGGTCTTAAGTCCACATTTAAATGCTATTTTTTCTAATTTAAACATAAAGGACTTCTATCTGTCTATCTATCTATCATCTATCTTCATTAGGCTGGTGTTTATTTTATTTTGGGAAGGTCTGTGAGAATAGGCTTAAAGCTACATAGCTAGAAGCAGCATCTATAATCCCATCCTAGGTGGAGTCTCACATAGGAATCACTGCCCCTGATGCTGGGCACAGATGTCACTGTTCATACCAATGACACTCTAAAGCTAGACACTGGACCTTGCAGATAGAACTGCTATCACGACTGCTCCTGGCAACTGGACATTGCTGCTGCAACTCACACCACACTTACTAAAATGTGTGCACAGTACCAGCTTATGTCACCAGGCTGAGTCAGAATCCAGCAAGTGGTTATCTGCCTGGTGGAACCTAAGCCTCATCCCATATCCAGCTGCCAGAATATTTGGAAAAGTGAGTTTTTCTTTCGTGGAAGAAGTTGGTGTCTGCTTCCTACAATGACTCTTTAAGTATGAAATCATACTCTTTAAGTATGAAATTCTCCCTAACATGGAGAGGGTTCAGGTGCTGGGACACAGGAAGATAGAGTGGAAAAAGAATGAAAAAAAAAGTCAATTCCTAGAGCAGTAATCTGAGACTAGAACCTTATCTGGTATATCATAGACACTTGGGTTTTGCTGAATGAATCAGTGACTAATTAATTACAACTTTCAATTTATTTCCTTGATAGTCTGTTATGAAGTACAACTTTTTCCTGATCAGTTTATACTCAGATAAGTAGAGTGGCACTGTGGGATGGTGAAATGATTGCTCAAAACTTATCTCTTGTTAGGATTTTTTAAAATCTAGATGTCTAAGACTTCAGAGGACCTGTGTATACACTAAGATTTTATACTAATATTTATATTTCTTTGTATATGCACATATTTTCTGGAAAGAATATCTGTGACATTTATGTTTTTGTAACCCTATTTTAGGAAACCCTCTCTCAAACCACATTTTCCCTCTGCTCTCATACCACAACAATCATCAACACAGAAGATTTCTGTGACCAAAGGTGTGGGGGTTTTTCCCCACACACCAAGCAGTGGACACCAGCTGGGTATCCTCCAGTTCAATGTCAACACTGTCTACCTGGAGATAGCATCATATCCCACAGATTGGGGGCTTAGTCCCCAAGACTACTCCACATCAGACACCAATCGCAGAAGTTCCCACCACCCACTTCTGGGCTTCACTAATTTGCTGGAGTAGCTCACAGAATTCAGGGAAACATTTATGTTTACTAGTTTATTATAAAGGATATTACAAAGGATACAGATGAAAATACGTGTAGGGTGAGGTATCAGGGAAGGAGCATGGAGCTTCCATGCCCTTCCTGGGCACACCAACCTCCAAAAACCTCCACTTGTTCAGCTACCTGGAAGCTCCCTGAACCCAGTTCTCCTGGGTTTTTATGGAAGCTTCGTGACACCAGCATTCCTTCTCCCAATGTATAGTGTGGGACCCTCTCCAGAGAGGGTCTTAAGACCCATAATCAGAAAGGCAGAAGATTAGAGTCCTGCCTTGGGGCAGGTGAAATGAGGCCAGAAGAGAGATTCTGACTCCTGAGGCCTGCCGAGGCCGAACACACCCAATATTATTACAAAAGACCGAAACAAGGGAATATAGGAGCTAGGAACCAGGAACTGTGGCCAAAAACCAATCTATAACACCACATACCCCCACTGTCTTAGTCCACTCAGGCTGCTATAACAGAATACCTTAGACTGGGTGGCTTATAAACAACATAAAAGTATTTCTCACAGTTATGGAGGCTGGTAAGTCCAAGAGCAAGGTGTTGGTTAATTTCATGTCTGATGAAGGCCCCTTTCCTGTTTCATAAACGTATATCTTCTCCAAGTGGCCTCACATGGCAGAAAGGTGAAGAGAACTGCCTGGGGTCTTTCTGATAAAGGCAGTGATCCCATTCATGGGGGCTCTGCATTCATAACCTAATCACCTCCAAAAGGCCCCACCTCTAAGTATCATCACACTGGGGATTAAGTTTTAAACATAGGAATTTGGGTGGGGGATTGGAGACACAAACATTCAGTCTAGAGCATCCATAAAAGTCTAAAAAATTATCCTAGGTTTGTCACCATGCTACTCAAACTCTGATCTATGAATAGCTGATATCAAACCATTTCTTCACAAACTCTCCCAAAAAGGAGAAAGGAACACTGCCCAACATATTCTATAAGGTATGTTCTATAAGGCTGGTACCAAAAGCAGACAAAACAATCACAAAAAAACTACAGATTGCTATTCATGAATATAGATGTGAAAATCTTCAAGAAAATACTAGCAAACAACCCAGCAATGTACAAAAATAATTATACACCATGACAAAGTGAGATTTATCCTAGGAATGCAAGATGGGTTTAATATCCAAAAATCAATTAATGTAATATATTATATCAATAGAATAAAAACCCACAATTATCTCAATAGATGCAGAAAAAGGTTTTGACCAAATTCGATACTCTTTCATAATAGAAACAGTCAACAGGTGGGCACATTGGCATGTGTCTATAGTCCCAGCTACTCAAGGAGACTGAGGAAAGAGAATCACTTGAGGCCAGAAGTTCGAGGGCATCTTGGGCGATGTGTTGAGACCATGTTACTTTAAAAAAAAAAGAGTCAACAAACTGGGAATTGAAAGGAACTTTCTCAGCCGGATAAAGGGCATCTATAAAAAAGCTACAGCTAACATCATACTCGTATTAGTCCATTTATGCATTGCTTTAAAGAAATACATGAAACTGGATAATTTATAAAGAAAAGAGGTTTAATTGGCTAAAGGTTCTGCAGGCTATACAGGTTTCTGCTCCTGGGGAGGCCTCAGGAAACACAATAATGGTGGAAGGTGAACAGGAAGTTAGTACATCTTACATGGCTGAAGCAGGAAGAAGAGAGAAGGGGGAGGTGGCACACATGTTTAAAAAGCCAAATCTCACTACAAAATCTCAATGAAAATTCACTATCATGAGAACAGCAAGGGGGAAGTCCACCCCCATGACCCAATCACCTCCCACCACACCCTTCCTCCAACACTGGGGACTACAGTTTGACATAAGATTTGGGCGGGTACACAAATCCAAACCACATCAATATTTAATGGTGAAAGACTGGTTGCTTTCCTCCTAAGATCAGCAATTAAAACAAGAATATCCACTCCCACTATGTCTATTCAACATTACCAAAGGTTCTAGCTAAGATAATTAGACAAGAAAAAAGCAATAAAGTATATTCAGATTGGAAAGAAAGAAGTAAAACTATATTCACAGATGACATGATCTTTTATATAAAAAAAATGCTAAATGATCCATTAAAGAGCTATTAGAACTACTAACTTCAGCAAGGATAAAGGATATAACACCAGTATACAAAAATCAATTGTATTTCTAAACCCTTGCAATGACAAATCCAGAAATGAAATTAAGAAAACAATTCCATTTGTAATAGCTTTAAAGGAACAAAATACTTAGAAGCAAATTTAACAAAAGAAGTGCAACTCAAACATCAATGAAAGAAATTAAAAATCTAAATAAATGGGGTAAAGTTCATGGATTAGATTTAATATAACTCAATGATTATATTTCCAAACTGATAGATTCAGCACAATCCCTATCAGATTCCTAAATGACTTCTTCGTAGAAATTTGCAAACTAATTGTAAATTTATAAAGAAATTAAAGGGACGCAGACTATGCAAACAATCTTGAAAAAAAGAACAAAGGGCCAGGCACAGTGGCTCATGCCTGTAATCAATCGCAGCACTTTGGGAGGCCGAGGCAGGAGGATTGCTTGAGGCCAGAAGTTCAAGACCAGCCTGGGCAACACAGCAAGATCCTGTCTCTACAAAAAATAAAAATTAGCGGGGCATGGTGGTACACACCTGTCATCCCAGCTACTTGGGAGGCTGAGGCAGGGGGATTGCTTTAGCCTAGAAGGTTGAGGCTGCAGTGAGCCATGATTATGCCACTGCACTACAGTGTGGGTTACAGGGTAAGAAACTGTCTCTAAAAAATAAAAAGAAGGAAGAAAAGAACAAAGTAGAACTCATTCTTTCCAGTTTCAAAACATCGCATAAAGTAATGGTAATCAAGACAGTGTGGTACTTGCATAAGATAGACATAGATCAATAGAATAGAACTGAAATTCAGAAATAAAACCATGTGTCTACGGTCAACTGATTTTCAGCAAGGGTGCTGAGCACATTCAACGGGGGAAAGCACAGTCTTTTCAACAAATGGTACTGGGGAAACTTGATAGCCACATACAAAATGATGGAGTGGACCTTATGGTGGTTGAAGTGTGTACTCCGAAAGGTTTGTCTAAGACCTGACCACCAGTACCTGTGAACGTGAACTTATTTGGAAATGGTGTCTTTGTATATGAAATTAAGTTCAGGTTCCCAAGAAAAGATCATCCTGGATTTAGGGTGGGACCTAAATCTAGTGACTGGTGTCTTAATAAAAGAGAAGGAGATATGACATCAACAGAGAAGAGACACAGGCAAGAATGCCATGTGAAGATGAAGGCAAAGATTTCAGTGATGTATCTCCAAGCCAATGGAGCAACAACTACCAACAGCTACCAGAAGTTAGGAAAGTATCATGGAATGAACTTTCCCGCAGAGCCTCCAGAAGAAACTAATCCTGCCAACACCTGGATTTCAAACTTCTGGCCTCCAGAACTGTGACAGAATACATGTTTGCTGTTTTAAGCCATCAAATCTTGGCAATGTGTTACACAAGGTCTAAGAAACTAATACAGGCCTTTACTTCACACTATATACAAAAATAAGCTCAAAATGGAAGAAAGATCTAAATGTTAGTGGTGAAATTACAAAATTCTTGGAGGAAAACCTAGGCGATAAATCTTTATGAACTGGCCGGGTGCGGTGGCTCATGCCTGTAATCCCAGCACTTTGGGAGGCCGAGGCAGGTGGATCACAAGGTCAGGAGTTTGAGACCAGCCTGACCAACATGGTGAAACTCCGTCTCTACTAAAAATATAAAAATTAGCCGGGTGTGGTGGTGCACACCTATAATCCCAGCTACTCAGAAGGCTGAGGCAGGAGAATGGCTTGAACCCAGGAGGCAGAGGTTGCAGTGAGCCGAGATCACACCACTCCACTCCAGCCTGGGCAACAGAGTGAGACTCCGTCTCAAATATATATATATATATATATATTTATGAACTCAGGTTGGACAATGGATTCTTAGATATTATGCCAAAGCACAAACAAAAGATATTAGATAATATTGAGAAAAATTAGATGTCATCAAAATTAAAATGTTTATGCTTCAAAGGACACTATCAAGAAAGTGATCCACAATATATACATATATCAAAACATCACATTGTACCCCATATGTGTATTATTTACTAATTAACAGTAAACATTTAGATCAAAAAATAAAAATAGTTTTAAAAATTAAGAATTTTTTTAAAAGTGAAAAAAACCCACAGGAAAGGAGAAAAGATTTGCAAATCATACATTTAACAAGAGATGTTTCTAGAATATATAACAATCTCCTACAACTTAATCGCAAAACACACATAATCCCAATTTTAAAATGAGCAAAGGAGTCCGAGCGCAGTGGCTCACGCCTGTAATCTCAGCACTTTGGGAGGCTGAAGTGGGTGGATCACTTGAGGTCAGGAGTTCGAGATCAGCCTCACCAACATGGTAAAACCCTGCCTCCACTAAAAATACAAAAATTAGCTGGGTGTGGTGGCACACACCTGTAGTCCCAGCTACTTGGGAGGCTGGGACACAAGAATCGCTTGAACCCAAGAGACGGAGGTTGCAGTAAAGCCAAGATCGCACCACTCCACTCCAGCCTGGATGACAGAGCAAGACTCCGTCTCTAAATAAATAAATAAAAATAGAATGAGCAAAAGATATGAACAGTCATTTCCCTAAAGAAGATATACAAATAGCCAATAAGTTCATAAAAAAGATGATCGACATTATTAGGGAAATGCAATTTAAAACCACAGTGAAGGCTGGGCATGGTGGCTCACACCTGTAATTCCAGCACTTTGGGAGGCCAAGGTGGGTGGATCGCAAGGTCAGGAGTTCCAGACCAGCCTGGCCAACATGGTGAAACCCCATCTCTACTAAAAATAGAAAAAATTAGCTGGGCATGGTGGCAGGTACCTGTAATCCCAGCTACTTGGGAGGCTGAGGCAGGAGAATTGCTTGAACCTGGGAGGCAGAGGTTGCAGTGAGCCGAGACCACACCACTGCACTCCAGCCTGGGCAACAGAGCGAGACTCTGTCTAAAACACACACACGCACGCACGCACACACACACACACACACACACACACACACGAGATACCACTTCCCAGCCAAAGAATGGCTAGAATCAAAACATCAGATAATAAGTATTGTTAAGGATATGCAGGAATGAGAACCCTCAGACACTGCTGGCAGGAATGTGTAATTATGTAGTCACTTTGGAAGGAGTCAGGCTGTGGCTCAACTGATTAAAAATGAAGATACCATACGACTCACCCATTCTTAGGTATATGTCCAAGAGAAATAAAAATGTGTCACACAAAAATTTGTAAATGAACATTCATAGATGCATTATTTGTATTAGCCAAAAGACAGAAACAATCCAGATGTCTATAAACCGATAAATAAACAAATGTGATACATCTATGGAATACAGTATTATTTGGCCATAAAAAGCAATGAAATACTGATACATGCTATAATATAAATGACACTTGGAAACATTAAGTGAAAGAAACTAGTCACAAAAGACCATATATGATTATATTTACATATGAATTTTCCAAAATAGGCAAATCCATACAGGTAGGACATAGATTAACTCTTGCTTAGGGTTTGGGGTGATGGGGAAGGGGGAATAAGAGAGTAATAGCTATAGGGCATGGGGTTTCTTTTTCAGGCGATGATAATATTCTAAAATTGAATGCAGTGATGGTTGCACATATTTGGGAATATACTTTAAAACTTTGATTGCATACATACTTTATTTTTTTCCAGATTTATTGAAGTATAATTGACAAATAAAAATTGTACAGTGTGACTTTTTATTTGTACATAATATTTGCACATATTTATGGGGTACATGTGATATTTTGATACACACATAGTATCTAATAATGAAGTTAGGGTACATAGGATATCCGTCACCTCAAGCATTTATTTCTCTGTGTTGGGAACATTACAAGTCTTCTAGCTATTTTGAAATACACAATATATTGTTGTTAATTATAGTCACCCTACTGTGCTATCAAACACTAGAACTTATTCCTTCTATCTGACTGTACATTCGTACCCATTAACCTACCTCTCTTCATCACCCCCCTCACACACACACACACACACACACACACACACACACACACACCCCCTTCCCAGCCTCTGGATACTATCTTTCTGCTGTTTACCTCGATTAGATCAACCTTTTAAAGCCCGCACATGAGTGAGAACATGCAATATTTGTCTTTCTGTGCCTGGCTTATTTCATTTAATATCAGAACCTCCAGTTCTGTCCATGTTAGTGGAAATGACAAGATTCCATTCTTTTAATAGCTAAATAGTATTCCATTGTGTATATATGCCATATCTTTTTAATCCATTCATCCATTGATGGACAGTTAGGTTGATTCCCTGTCTTTGCTATTGTAAATAGTACCACAGTAAACATGGGGGTGCCAGTATCCCTTTGATGTATCGATTTCCTTACCTTTGGATAAATACCCAGTGGTGGTATTGCTGGATCACACAGATCTATTTTCAGTTTTCTAAGAAATCTCCATACTGTTTTCCATAGTGGCTGTACTAATTCACCTTCCCACCAACCGTGTGTAAGAGTTTGTCTTTATATCCTAGCTACCATTTTTGTCTTTTTAATAATAGCTATTCTAGCTAGGGTAAGATGATATATTATTGTGGTTTGCTTTAAATTTCCCTGATAATTAGTGATGTTGAGCATCTTTTTCACATACATGTTGGCCATTTGTATTTCTTAAGAAATTTCTATTCAGATCCCTTGACCATTTTTAAGGGGATTTTTTTTTTTTTTTTTTTTTTTTTTACTGTTGAATTGTGTTCCTTGTACACTCTGGATATTAGTCCCCTGTTGGATAATTTGAAAATATTGTTCCCATCTACAGTTGGTCTCTTCACTCTGTTGTTTTCTTTGCTGTGCAGATTTTTAGTTTAATATAGTCCCACCTGCCTATTTTTTGTTGTTGTTGCCTATGCTTTTGATGTCTTAACCATAAAATCTTTGCCTAGACCAATGTTCTTGAGCATTTCCCCTATATTCTCTTTTAGTAGTTTCATAGTTTCGGATCTATCATTTAAGCCTTTAATCCATTTTTGGTTGATTTTTTAATATGGTAAGAGATATGAGCCTAGCTGCAATCTTCTGCATATGGATATCCAGTTTTCCCAGCACCATTTATGGAAAAGGGTGTCCTTTCTTGGTGCCTTTGTTGAAAGTCAGTTGGCTGTAAGTATATGAAATTATTTCTGGGTTCTCTATTCTTTCCATTGGTCTATGTGTCTGTTTTAGGCCGGTACCATGATGATTTGGTTTCTACTATAACAGTTACAAAGCTATTACTATAGCTTAACTATTGGATGGGGCTCTTTTGTGGTTCCATATGAATTTTTTTTATTTTTGAGATAGGGTCTCACTTTGTCACCCAGGCTGCAACACAGTGGCGCAATACCAGCTCACTGCAGCCTTAACCTCCTGAGGTTCAAGCGATCCTCCTGCCTCAGCCCCCTAAGTAGCTGGGACTACATGCACATGCCACCACACCCAGCTAATTTTTGTAATTTTTGTAGACATTTCACCAGGAACAAATAGAAAACTTGAACAGACCAACAATGAGTAATAAGACTGAATCAGTAATTAAAAGTGTCTCAATAAAGAAAAGCCCAGGACCAGATGGCTTTCCTGTCAAATTCTACCATACATACAAAGAAAAATTAATACCAATACTTCTCAAAATATTTTAAAAAAACTGAAGAGGAAGGAATTATTCTTAACTCATTTTATGAAGCCTGCATTGCCCTGATACCAAAAGCAGAGAAGAATACAAAAAAAAAAGAAAATTACAGGCCAATCTTCCTAGTGAAAATATACACAAAAATCCTGAACAAAATTTTAGCAAACTGAATCCAACAACATATCAAAAATATACCACAATTAATTGGGATTCATCCCAAGGATACAAGAGTGGTTCAACACACACAAATCAACAGACATTAACATTTTTTAATCTTATTTGAAAAGGTGGATAAAACTGAATTTGGAATTGGAAGATTTGTTTTGGGTCCCCACTCTGCCATTTCCAAACTCAGTACTCTATCAGAACTAAGTCACAGGGTGCTTGAGGGCTCAGAAGCTTTTGTCCAGCAGACAAGAAGGAACTGTTATTACACAGCCTTTGACCCTCTAGGGACTCCAGCAACCTCGTACTGAAAGGAGACTCCTTGTCTCCTTCTCTGGGGACCCTTTTGTTCAGAAATAAAACTTTCGTGCTGCAGGTGCCTTGAGGAGACGACATGTGGGTGATCTTTTCTAGAAGGCAGTGGAGTGAAAGTTTTGGGAAAAGTGACAGAAAGAGAAACAAATCCTGTACTGGAAGCTCACTGAAAACCAACTAAGTAAACAAATATTTTAGTACCTCAACTGAAATATAAGCATAAACAGAGGTTGACTATGATTGTACCTGGACAAGATGAGTAAAAAGGTAAAGTGGTCTGTTATCAGCTATTTATGTATTTTGGTCCTGGCTCTGCCTGACACAGTTCTGTCTCCAGCAGTTAACAAATGTCCTTTCTTTCAACAAATATCTATTAAGAGGCTAACATGTGCCAGACTCTACAGAACAGGCTTACAGGCATAATGCCACAAAGGAACAGAAATCTAACAGGCTTCAAGATCAGGCCTGTCAAATAAATGTACCACAATTTATATATCATATATATATCTAGTACACAGTCACCAGAACATAAGATTAAACATGTTAATGTAGTATCTAAGTATCATTTTTAAAAGAAAAATAAAACAAAAACTGGAAACAACTAAATGACATCAACAGAATATATAATTAAGTTGTGGCATATTCATGTCATGGAAATGAACTACAGTGTCACACATCAACATGGATGAATCCAAAAATAATAATGAGCAAAAGTAGTCAGTCATATACAGTATAATTCTATTTATATAAAGGCTATAAATAAGCAACTGTTAAGGATACACAGACAGTAAAATCTATAAAAGCTAGGTGACAGTTATACAAAATTCAGGATAGTGGTTGCCTCTGGCTGCAGGGGAGAGAGATATGAATGAGAGCATACGAGGCTCCTGGGATGTAGTAATGTTCCATTTCTCAGTCTGAGCAACGGGCACCTGGACATTTATTATTGTTCTTCTAAATATACATTTTCATTTGTGTATTGTATATTCTATTTCACATTAAAAAGAAAAAAGACCAAAAAAAAAACATTAAGTGTGACTCAAGATTTAAGCAGACACAGTGCAAAGAAATGAAAAGGTGGATATAATTTGAGGTAGATGATGGATGCAGGTTTGGACAAACTGAGTTCCTGAAACATAGACTTTTATTCTTAGCCATATTAGGTGTGAAATTGCCCTGAGAGCACCAGTTGCTTTTATGCTAGATTTGGAGGGGAAAGAGGGCAGTTGAACTCAGCAATTTATGTGTCCAGCACTGAAAACCTTCATGGTAAACAATTACTAATAGGTTATATGTTAGGTTACTTTTCAGTCCCACTCAGCTCAAAGGGCTTGTCATTACCCTACTGATTTGCACTTCTAAGTCTTCTGCCTGTTGCATTCTGATGATCCATTTCTATGCAAAACATAGAATCTAAAGCTGAGACATAGCAATAGAGGACCAGAGAACAGACACAGCAACGAAGTTTCCATGAGGCAAATCAGGAGGGTAGGAATGAGATTTTGATGTGCATCCTGGCCAAATTCCAGAACTAGCAAAGAGAGGTCAGTTCCTAATTCCAATCAAAGCAAATTCAGTCATCTTATTTTCACACAGAAGTGGTCTACATTGATTTTTAAATCTCTTTAAGGGATTAGGGAGCCTCTGAAATGCAAAGGAAACTAAACTGATAGTAATGTAAAATGAACAGTGACCTATCATACCAGCAAACACTGTCAAAAACAGAAAGCTAATGGTGGGACTGGAATCTAGAACACAGAAGTTATGTTTATCCAGTGCTACACTGTGCAACAGGGTAGTCACTTGCCACATGTGGCAATTTAAATTTAAATGAAATTCAATTAAACATTCCATTCCACAGCTGCACCAGCCACATTTTAAATGCCTCAACAGCCACGTGTAGCAAGGGCTACTGTACTGAGGAGCACAGACACAGAACATTTGTATCAGTGGCTGACCTAGCAGTATCCAGGGTAAAGGGTGTTCTGCTAGTAAAGCAAGGTGGGCATCAGAATTATCACAACTTAAGCATAATATTCCTGAGGGCATCTATTTCCATTTATTTGCTTCTCTGCTTACCAACTCTGAACCCCTGCTTTCCCAACTTTCTGGTATCTGGGAAGAAAATAAACTGACTAGAAAACACAAATTTCATTCTGCTTGACAACTGTAATTCTCACTAAATTTATAAATTTGCTTTCTGATTTATCAATGAGTGCCAAAAACATGAGTTTGAGAAAGGCTGAGTTTGATTATCCCTGAGTGGATCCAAGCATTAGGAAGGTCTTGCTTAAGTGGGTGATAGGAAGTGACAAAAAAAGCTGGAAGAAACATGACAGACTATAATACTCCCTTCCCTAACCTTCCTCCTTTTCACCCTGCTCACCTGGGCCAGGTTAGAATCCGTCCTTTGTAAAGCACCCTGTACCTTTCTATTGTAACCTTTATTTACTACATTATCTGTTTATAGAGTGATCTATGCCATTAGTTGAAAATTATTCAAGGGCAGAGACTTCTCTTTATTCACCTTCAGTAACTAACATAATGCCTAGCATGTAGGAGGCTCTCAAAATTAAGTTTCTCATTCAAATAAATTGTACAGAGCAAGTTACACTTTTAGGGGCTGGCTAGTAGTTATCTGATGAAGGTATGATATTAAAGACCATATACTAAACTATAGCAATCTCATCAAAATAACCTTGGAGGGCTGGGAGCAGGGAGAATAAGAGAAGTAGATTAGAATAATTCTTTATTCACCACCATTGCCCAACCCCGGTCTTTCCAAGTGGGGAAACTAACATTTATGAAACAACTAATACATACCTACACTTCACAAAAAAAACAGTCCTTCCATAAATGCCATCAAATATTATTGCCATTTTAAAGATGAGGACACTGAACACTAGAAAGGATATGCAACTTGAACAAATGCAAGTCAACTAAAAATAGTTAAGCTAATTTTCAAGTGCAGAACTATCTATCTGTATCTGATACAAATGGGAATATTCACTGAACCCTGGAGAGAACGAGCATTTGAAAAAAAAAAAGGGTTCACTTAAGAGATATGATTTTATCATAACAGCATTGAAACTTTAATCTGTTATTTTTCCTATTTGACTTCTTAAAAAGGGTGGCATTGCCAAGAATTTTCTTTGATATGGTTTCACAATTGTATTCACCTTCTCTCCATTCTGAGACTTATCCATAAGAATACTCACTTTAATCCGACTTCTACTGCATGGTTGGAAAAGAAGATACGCAATAACTCTTTCAAACTCCTTTATCTCTTTTACTCTCTCATGCTTCTCATATGTAAGTAGCTGGCTCTGGCTTCTTCTCAAGATTCTCTCCTTGAGTCTTTGTTCTGCAAGTTCTCTCCCTCGAATCATGCGTTCCTGGTGATCCTTAGTCTGCATCTGTTCCCTCTCATTTACCTGCTTTCTTCTCTGTGCGTTCTGGATGCCATGCCCTTCTGGCATAATTTTTGGTAATTTTGTTTCATTGGGGGGTTGTAGTACTTGTCTAAATGATTTGTTCTTAAATTCTCCAGCCTTTCCTGTCTGATGTATGTGCCTTTCTATGTGTTTCATCTCTCTCTCAGGTACCAAACAGTACTGTTTTAGTCCTTCTACGCTTTGGGTTGTTTTCTCCTCCATTTTTTTCTAGATTTCATTGCCTGTCTCTTCTTTCATCATTTCCACTATTATTTTATTATAATAAGACTCTGCTTTGGCAAGCCAGTAGTCAAGAGAAACAGCTTGCTCCCTACAGAGTATTTCACACTCCTCCTGATATTTCTGCATTATCAACTGTCTTGCTGCTGTTGTATGCACACCACCTAGATTCTGTCAAAGTGAAGTCAGAAATTTATAATGTGATCATCTTTTTCCTTTGAACACATTTAAACAGGAGCCAAGCCCACCCTCCCTAATGACACCAGGAAAAGCTACATGCTCTTTACTTTAGCTTAGTTGTTATTTTATTCCCATCACTCCCAGGTGAGCCTGGGAGCTCTGAAAGTATTAAGTACTCACCACCACAAATCAGTAACTAGGTTTAAAAATGTATGGTGTTGGAAGTTTCCAAAAATGATACTTTGTTTTGCAACTGTGGATATAGCTGGGTAACATTTGCCAGTGTAGACATACTACCTGAATGTGTCACTTGGGCAGAAGGATTTTAAACCTAAGATTCCTTCTCTGTGTAGTTCCAAACTGTATGATGTGAAGATAATTTACTTACCAAGATCTTTTTTTCCAGTGGAGACTGCTGACCTGCAGCAATCCTAGGATCTTTAGATGATGTACCCCAGGCCAATCTGGAAGATAAAAAAGCCAAGGTAGATTCAAATGTAGGAGGTGTCAGAACAAATCTGCTAATAGGGAGGACTACAGCAGGGCCATTTCCCCCATGGGAAACCACTGCATTCCTATGGTAGAAAATAATGAATGCTCTTTTAATAAGAGGATCTTTCCTTTCATATGAACAAGCATACTTTTCCTGTGGACTCAGCGTGAACCACTGTGAATCTCGTATTGGGGATTGTGAGTGGGAAGAGACATGCTCCTTGGTGAGGTGTTGTCCAAGTACATCTATGTCAGTCTGCTCAGTCCTCAAGCCTCCTTTGTGTTCTGAGACGATTGTAGGTTCTAGTTTTCTAGACGATTCTAGGTTTCTAGTTTTCTCTTCCTGCAGTTTCTCGATCCGGGCCCTCTCTGACTCTATCAGCACATACAGCATTTCTGCCCTCTAATCTTTTGTTCTGAAATTCTGTTCTTATTTGACTGCTCAGCCCTCTGCTTGCCTGACTAACAATGCCAATCATCCTTCACTCTAAATCCATTATGAGACTATTCCCTGTTGAACCCCTCAGGATGGCAATTTGTGGTTACTCTGGGTTTATTTATAGAGGAGGCTGATGGCAACACAAATGAAAACTATCATCTTTTATGTGTCATCCCTGGTCTAGCCTGAGTTTACTGTGATGTCGTATTTAAGCCACTGAGGATGCCTGGCATTTCCTCTGTATGTCTTTTATACCATTTAGAGTTCAAAGGATGGTCTTTACAGTCTGACAGAGCTAGATCTGAAATCTAATTCTACCACTTCCTAGGTGTGTGACTCAGGGCAAGTAACTTCTGTCAGCTTTCTCATCTATAAAATGGAGATGTAAGACAAAAATCTGCCTCTCAGGGTTATAAAGAACAAATATGAATTAGATGTAAAGAGCTTGGTAAGTTCTCAATAAATTCTATCTATCTGTCCTTCACAGGTCAAGCTCCTGATTATAAAGTCTTTCCAGTCTACTCTGTCAGTGATCTTCCCTTCCTCTAAATACTTGACATATTTTAATTCTACAACTCATTTGAAAATTAATCGTGGTTTACACTGTGATATCTGTATTCACATATCACTTTTAACATTTTGATGCTGAAATTTAGGCTCATAAGGAATGAAAACTGTAATTTATATCTACAAATATGATGCCTCTATATTGTTGGAAAGGATCTGATATCAAATATTTGGTCTCACTGACCTCTTAGGAACATTCTTATTTGTCTACGTAAGCTTATTTTGAGATTGTAAACGTATGATCATCTTACTTTTACTTCTCTGTACATGGCTTCTAGCACAATACTTAACATTAGAGTCTGTGATCCCAAGTTCTCAAAATTAATGATTTGCTGATTGCTGATGATCCTTGACACATAATATCTGAGCATCTTTTTTAAATATCTGCCATAACATTGTATCTATTTTTATTAAACCATTTCCCAGTCTTCCTTGAAGTTTACAGATATGTTTGCTTTATATGCATGTTCTGGGCTCTCACATTTTGTACCTACTAGCACAGTTTTATTATATTCTAATTATTCATTCATGTTCCTTGAGGTCAGAGAACACAGATTTCAACTTTGCAGGCTCAGCCTCAGCTCAAAACCTGGCATAGTTGCTCAATAAATCTTTACTGATTAGACTGTGAGCTTTTGTTGGGAAAAGGATATGCCTTTTAATGCTTTGTTCCTTTACTGCAATTCACAGGGGATGTTGGCTGTTTTTCAAATTAAAAACAGAAAACTGAGGAGGGTAGAATTTCAAGTTCCATTTTCAAAGGAGACACACAGATAAGTGAGAATAAAAACTGTCTACGACAATCAGCTCAACAACACGTCTCCCTTTGTAAGACAGAATAACAAGCAATTTCACAGTTAAGTGATAGGGCTTGTCACTCTTCAGCAGTTTGCTGAGTTTTAACCCTTTCACTATGGCGTTCTCTCCATTATTACAGAGAAAGGCAGATGGGAGCCTCTCCCAGCGAAAAGACTACAGCTTGTGTCCTTCATAGGAGAAAACAGTGATGGCTCCAGAACTTTTATATGAATGAACTTAGCACAGCTATCAGAGTGGATGGTGGTGGGAGGGCTAGCAGGAAACTAGTAAACAACTACAAGCTGCCCCTTCAGGGAAAGTTTCTACTTGGAATATAAGTTACAGATTAATGAAAATAGAAAGATTTCCCAAAGATACTTATTCTCATGTTTTATAAAAGATCAGGGAAATGTCAGCTGTCCACTTAACGGATGACGATAATGAATTAAGAGTTCGATAGGCGGCAGGCACAACTAAAAGCCAAACTCGACCTAAGTCTTATGAAATCCTACTTAATGAGCTTTCTTGACTACTGCTAGCCTCACTTATCTGGCAGGAGTCGAAGGAGAGGAAGCCCCAAGCTCCTCTGTTCCACCACCTCCAAAGTCCTGAACCCCTTCTCAAGTGTCCCACTTCATCCCTGCTTCCTTTCGTCCCGTGGGACTAAGCATTCCTCCTGCCCTCACTCTCACCACTTGCTGTCCCTCAAAAAGCCGACTCACCCCTTTCCAAGCGCAGTGAACCGTCCGCAAAGCACGAGGCCGGTTGCGAGCTGCAGAAAGCCCACGCTCGCCAGCGGGACCCAAGGAACGCTAGAACTATACGTCCCAGAACACTTAGCTTTGTTTTTAACTACGGTGCAGCCGCAAAAGGGAAATACCGGCTCAGGACCCAGGGGAGTTGTAGTTCTCTAATCCAAAGAAATCATTATTTGGCAACGTACGGTTTTCAGGGGGATATACCCCGCGACTGCGTTCCTGTAGGATGTGAGACAAAGAGAATAAATATCCCCGGATTGGGTGCTGGTGGGAAAATTTGCTGGAAGCGCAGCATTGGTTACCAATTTTGTGCTCAATCTCTCAGTACCAGGGTGAAAGTGGAGACGCAATCTCCCTTGAAAGACGTTAGTCTCCATCTCTAACGCTCCCGAGACACGGTTCGCAATTAATTATGACGTCACAGCCAATCGTCAACGCGAAAGCCTGACGCTCTAGCCGGCTCTATCTCGCTGCCCCGCCGCGGGCGCAGAGCTGGCGCTCTAGCCCACGGAGTTGGTTAACTCCTCTCACCGGCCCCTGGAAAGGGTTCCAAGTGCTTTAGTACCCGACGCTGTCTGGGAATTCCGGGCGTTTCGGCTCCTTGGTCGCAGAGGCAGGAGGGCGTGCGTGGCAGGAGGGTTCGGGTTATATACTCCTAGGTCCTGGGACAGAATAGTTACGACCTCTGGGACAGGAACTCTTCTCTCTTTTGTTAATAAACTTCCAACTCCCTCCTCAGACCCGACCGCATGTCTGTCATGGACCTCGCCAATACTTGCTCCAGCTTTCAGTCGGACCTGGATTTCTGTTCAGATTGCGGCTCGGTCCTGCCTCTGCCCGGGGCTCAGGATACGGTCACCTGTATTCGCTGTGGCTTCAACATCAACGTTCGGGGTGAGAGGCTTGTACGCAGGGGTCCTGGCGGAGGGCGCAGGGTCGGAAGCTTGGGGAACTCAAGATCGGTTGGGTTGAGGAGGGGATCCTAGAGCAGGACATCAGGCGGTTGTACATTTGGTCTAGCGATGAAAACTGAGGGAAAGGATGTAGGGCCTCCTGGCCTAACCAGCCAGGGGAAAGGGGAGGTTTCCGGTGTCAGCTCTCTCTGGTTGTCTCCATAACCAGTTCTTACTTGCCTGTGCAGACTTTGAGGGGAAGGTTGTGAAGACTTCGGTTGTGTTCCACCAACTGGGGACAGCCATGCCTATGTCGGTGGAGGAAGGGCCTGAGTGCCAGGGACCTGTGGTAAGCTAATGAGATCAAGAACTGGCTCCATAAGGTGGGTAGGAAAGAAATGGAGGAGTGATTGCAAAGCTCTGGAGAGTTTTGTGCCCAATTCCAAGAGGGAAAAGAGATGTAAACCATCGACGTTTGAGAGGCGTGATCGCCTGATTCCTGTGGGAAGTAAGGGGATATGACCAGGCCTCCCTAACCCACCAGTTTCTTCCCAGGTTGACAGGCGCTGCCCTCGATGTGGTCATGAAGGAATGGCATACCACACCAGACAAATGCGTTCAGCCGATGAAGGGCAAACTGTCTTCTACACCTGTACCAACTGCAAGTGGGTATTCTTTCCCCTCCCTCTACTCAGTCTGTTTGCTAACTAAACAAATCCAGTGATTTATTTTTTTGTACGAAAAGGCCGTTTCCCTTGGTCCCATCCCTTATTTCTGTGCAGTTCTGGTAATAGGGAGATTTGTAGTTGTTTTTTATTTTTTTAAGTTACACTTTTTTAAACCTTTTTATAACCAGTGAAATAAACCTTTTAGGATTTTTTTTTTTTTTTTTTTTTGACAGGGTGTCGCTCTGTCACCTAGCCTGGAGTGCAGTGAGGCAATCTTGGCTCACTGCAACCTCCGCCTCCTGGGCTCAGGTAATCCTCCCACCTCAGCCTCCAAAGTAGCTGGGACCACAGACACATGCCACCACGCCTGGCTTTTTTTTTTTTTGTATTTTTAGTAGAGATGGGGTTTCTCTATGTTTCCCAGGCTGGTCTTGAACTTCTGAGCTCAAGTGATCCACCCACCTCAGCATCCCAAAGTGCTGGGATTACAGGCATGAGCCACCCCACCTGACCTACTTTTAGGATATTTAAAAGGAAATGAAGAAAAAAAAAACAACATAAGAAGCAGGTATTGTTTAGTGGTCAGCATCTTATACTGCAGTCTTCAACCGCAGTCAAGGTAGCTTTCTTTGGAGAGAATTAGTCACACATGATTTAGAGAACATGGGCTTTCTGAATGCTTTTAAGACCTCATTTTTGTCTTTGGTGTTCTGCAGTCACTATAGTATATCAAAATACGATTTTCTTTTATTCTGTTTGGGATTTGTTGGACTTTCTGAAACTGAGAGTGGATTTTTTTTTTTCATCAACCTTGGAAAATTATCAGCCATCATCTCTTTTAATATTCTCTTTCCCCCATGTTCTCAGTCCTCACATTCTGGACCTCGAATTAGTTACTAGAAAGAGGTTTCTCTCTTCTGTCCTCTATTTCTCTCACCTTCTTTTCATATTTTCAATCGCTGTTCTCTTTATGCCACCTTCTGAGTAATTTCTTCAGGTCCCTCTTCCATGTCACTAATTCTGTCTTCAGTTTATTTCAAGTATTATTATTTTTTACTATTGTTATTATTTTGAGTTCTATTTAATTACTTTTCAAATCTCCTTAATTTTTAAATAATTATCAGTTCTTTAATCATATTTTAAATTGTTCCTTTTATTATTCTTTAAATATATATTTAAAATATTAAATATGGTTATTATATTCTATGTCTCATAATTCTGATATCTGTGGATTTTGTGTGTCTGATGCTGCTGTCTTTTGTTTCTGCTGTCTCTCTCATAGTGCTTTTTTTCTTTGTTTTGTGATTTTTGACTATAAATTCGAGTTTTTTAGAACTTGAACTGTAGGAATTCTTTGAGGCCTTGGGCGAGTGCTGTATTCTCAGCATTTGTGTTTCTTTTCTAGGTGCCTTGAAGCACTATCAAGCTGGAATTACTTTAAATAAATTCTTGGCTTCATGTTTTTTGGAGCAGACAGATAGTATGAATTTGAGCTGCAAATCCATGTAAGGGCTAGCTTACAGTTAGAAATTCTCAGGAGAGAGTTTTCTCTCTTTCTACCTACTGAGACAGTCAAATTCCCCTTCTATAGAGTTGAATTTTTTCTTTTCTTGTTCACTTTTACAAGAAAGGGCAGCCTTTTGCAGTTCCCAAATTTATGCACGGGATCTCCTATCAGACCTTATACATTTTGTCCCTCATTTCCTATGCTTCCAGTGACTGTCAAAACAGTATAAAGGGCACCATAGTGTCACTGTCACGTTTCATAGGGACATTAGTTTTAACTTCCCTGTCTGGATTTCTGGTTTTACAGAACTTTTAACCAGTGTGCAGATTGCCTTTACTTTCTTGCCATCTCATCAAAGGATTAAAAATATTCATAGTCAGATATATCTTTTAAAAGTATTTTTTTCCTATCACTGGTTGTCATTTTACCAAAAAAAAAAAAAATTTTTTTTAAATAAAAAGATTTTTTTTCCCAGCGTGTGGCTTGCCTATTTTCTTAACCCTCTTTAAATGAGCAGAAGTTTTAAGTTTTTATAAGGTTCAGCTTATCCTTTTTTTTTTCTTTTACAGCTAGTGCTTTCTGTGTCCTAAGAAATCTTTGCTTTGAGGTTATAACTCATTGGATATATTTTTAATCCCAGAATTTTTAGTTGTCTTGGAATTAGAATTGGAAGTTTGTTTAGGGGAGCCAGTCCTCAATGATGTCATAAATAAAAGTCCTTCCTTGATTATTTGATTGCATATCTTATCTTATACTACTAGAAACTCATCTTTTGGTGAATATAACAAGTCCTTTCTTTCCTCATAGGTTCCAGGAGAAGGAAGACTCTTGACCTTTTTCCTGGGCAACTCTGCAGTCCCTCCCTCCTTTCGGAAGGTGAAGGATACTGGGTTTTTAGATGCCTTGTCCATCCTGTCTGGTTGCAATGTTTTGCTCCCAGAAGAGAATCAGATCATCATGTGGGGATTACCATTGTTCCTGGAGTACTCCTACCCTTAGTTGAATTTCCTTATTAAAGTTATATTTTTCTATAAGACCCTGACATATGTATGTTACTTATAATCTGTCTTATTCCAAAAGGAATTTAAATGAGTTTCCAGAGATATATTTATATGAAAAAGAAAAGGGGGAAAAATTAGGACAAAAAAGTAGAGTCAGGAATGAGGCTAATATAAACAAAAAGCAATTGTAAGTATTGCCATACTATTTAAATCTATTTGGTTCCTGAGTTTAGGTTAAGAAAAACTAGGAATTTGGATAGTGAGACATTTAACAGAAATTTTAACCAGATCTCTTTAGCATATAAATTTGGACAACAAAAAATCTGATACTAAGTAATGCCACTAAGTGATCACTATAGGTGAGTATTTTATTAGTATTGAGATAAATACAATACACAGTTGACCCTTGAACAACACAGGTTTGAACTGCTTGAGTCTACATATATGTGGATTTTCTTCTACTTCTGAGACCCATAAGATAGCAGCACATTTAAGCCCTCCTTTTCCTCCTCCTGAGCCTACTCAACATGAAAATGTGATCCACTTCTACTTAATGAATAGTAAATATATTTTCTTTTCCTTATGATTTTCTTAATAATGTTTTCTCTAGCTTACTTGATTGTAAGATTATATGTATTATAAGTATATAATACATATACAAAATATGTGTTAATCAACGGTTTATGTTATTGGTAAGGCATCTGGTCAACAGTAGTTAAGTTTTGGGGGAGTCAAAAGTTATATATGGATTTTTGGCTGTTCAGAGGGTCAGCACCCCTTACCCCCATGTTGTTCAAGGATGAATTGTATATCTATTATAATAGATTCTTATATAGAAAGAAAGAAAAAAGTAAAGTCACAAGGAATCCTACTCCACAGAGATAACCAAATTATACTGTATATCTGTGCTTGTGTATATGTATGTGGCTCTGTATATGTGTGTTGCTATATATGTGTTTGGTTTTTTTAATGGACTAGACATGCTGAACTATATCTTGCTTTTTTCTGTTTGAACTAAAAACTTTCAAGGGGAACAAATGCATACTCAGTTCCCGCATTCCTTGGCTCAAATAGTGATCAAGGGGTTACTGTAATAATTATCATATAATTGTGTGGCCCTTTATATATATTCAGAGCTCTCAAACATAGCTATCTTGTTTGACCCCCACAGCAACCTGGAGAATGGGCAGGGCAGTCTTCCCCACTGTACGTTTGAACTGTTCTGGCAGTTGACTTTCCTGACCCACTCCTGAAATCTGAAACAAACCTGTTCATGTTTCTACCCTACTTTAAGCCTTTCTCTGGCCCATAACAGTGATTGGATTAAGCTTAATTTCTTAGCAAAGCATACAGGTTCTTCCATATAACCACTGCCTACCTGTCAAGCTTCATCTGGCACTCCCTCAGATCCAAGCGGTACAAAACTCCATTTCCTGTAGTGCACACATCTACAACTTTTTAAGCTGCTCTTCTAAAAAAACCTACTTGTCGGCCTTCCTGGTTCTTGTTTTACCACTTTCTTTTGCTCTCTAAGAAACGTGCATATATTTTTATAAAATAGCCTATACTGTAATTTACGACCATTTCTCTGCTTCATCCTACTCATCACCCCAGAGAGAACGAATATGTTGGCAGTATGTAACTACATTCAGATTTACAAATCAGACATGGCATTTGTTAATGCCCCAGTGTTTCATATTTTTGTTTTCAGCATGCCTGTCTTTCCTACTAGAGCTAAAAGGCAGGGTCTGAGCGTCTTACGCGCCTCCATCTTCAAGGCGTAGCACAGTGACTGAAAAAAACTGACGTTGAACGTGCACTAAACTGAACTGCTCAAACACCTACAGGCACAGGGCGAGGGGTAGAACCACATCGCTTGACTCTTAAGTGTGTTTCCAACTGCTCCCACTTCCCGTTTTCTTTAGAGAAACCCAGACCAAACAAGGAAAGGGAAATAGGCCACGGTAGGGTCATTACTATTGCTCCTTAAGCTTCCTCGCCGGTCCACCTACCCAGACAAGGCAAACGGAAATCTGCAGCAGGACTCAGCTTGGTGCACACAACTCCGCCCTCGCCACACCCACTCTGCAGCGTCTGGCCCGGCAATACCCATCTGGGCGCCCCTCCTGCTTCCTCTAGGCTGTGAGTACGCGTGCTGCCCCAGACTCTCCCTCCTCCACCCACACCCGCAGTGACACCCCTTCCGCCAAATTTGTTTCTCTTTCTTTCAGCGCCTGCGCGCTGTCACGTTACGGCGGAACTAATCCAGCGACGCCTGCGCTTTGACGCATTTGGTGCCGTGGAAGGGAAAAAGGGGGACTGCAGTATGCGTCACACCCGGAAGCGGCGAGCCGGAAGTGGGGTTAGCCAGGTTATCCCCAGGGGTGGAGAAGCGGAGGCCCAGGAGGAGGGGGAATAAAGAAGGTGGAGGATCCTGGCTACCACTCTGAATCCGATACCGCTTCTCTTAGACCTCAGCGACAGAAAAAGGGAAGGGTGTCTCATCCCCCTTCCTCCTCTCCTCCCTGTCCTGAGCCTTAGCCATGGCCGAGGCAGGGGCTGGGCTGAGCGAGACCGTCACTGAGACAACGGTTACCGTGACAACCGAGCCCGTGAGAAAGGCGGGGGGGCGGTGCTGTTTAGGGGTCTGGGAGATACTGGGAGGGAGGGGACAGGGATTAGAAGAGTTGTTGGAGGAGCTAGGCCTAGGGATATGGGAGGTGTGGGGTTGAATATCTAGGGCTGGGAGAATCGGAAGGTATTGGAGCTATTTGGAGTGGCAGAGATGGTGCAGGAGGCAGGTCAAGGAACTGGTAATAGGGAGGTACAGTTAGGATATAGGTGTTGCTGCTTGGGGTGGTTATGTGTGTAAGTAATAAACGAAAGGGAAATTGAGGATTAAGGAGCCAGGAAGATGTTGGGAGGAAATCAAAGGTAGTGTAAGAAAGCATGGTTGGAGGCCAACTTATCAATATTATCAATATTGATATTCGAATAAATATTTATTGAATGGATGAATGTAAAAGGAAGTGGCAGGAATGAGGAAACAAGAAAAGGAGATGAAAAGAGGTATTTTGAGAAATCAGAGAGCAAAGATGTAAATGGAGAAACAAGAAGTATTTATCCAAAAACATGTTAAGTTGCCTTCAAAGGGAGAAGGATGCATTGGGCTTAATACTCTTGGATTAAAGGAAGTTTAGTAATTAATAGATTAGTAATACTTGCTACTAGAGATGCCAGGATGCCAGAGAATAGGTGGATAAGAGGTAGGGAGGGCTGGAGCTTGAGAATGAGAGAGGTTTTGTTTGTTTTTTTAAGAGAAAAAGAATAGGGGATCTGGAAAAAGGAAGGGAGATCAAAGATTAGGTGCTGGGGACTGAAAAATAATTTTCATGTATTAATACTACCAAGGATGATTTGGGGAGGAAGACGGAGAAAAAGCAAGGATTATATTTTCCTTTGAAGAGTTGCTGGGACCTTTCCTAGGTTAGGAATTGTGTCTTCTCTTATACTGGTGGTATAAGAACAGGAAATAATACTTATTCCTCAAGGGACTATCTGAGGTAAAAGACCTGTTCTGTTTTATCTTCTGTCAGCTCCTCTGGTGCTATGCCTATGGTACTGGTTGAGCTAAAGAAGAAAAGAGAGGAGGTTCCCTGGGAGGGAGTGGGAAAGGTTAGTAAGAGGGGACTAGATAGGTATGCTCATCCTTAACCTTCTAGGAGAACCGGAGCCTTACCATCAAACTTCGGAAACGGAAGCCAGAGAAAAAGGTAGAATGGACAAGTGACACTGTGGACAATGAACACATGGGCCGCCGCTCATCAAAATGTGAGTAATTGTTGGCCCGCAGTAGCCCTGGAGTTCTGGCTCCCTTCAGCATATCTTGTATCTACTCATATCCACTGGCTTTCCAGAAGCCCCCGGATGTTCATAGTTCTGTCACTTTTTTGGTGGTGCTGTGGTATCAGGGAAAGAGGTAGGGAAGGGCTAGAACTGGAATTGCCTAGGTCTGACAGCAAGAAGTGTCAGAGGTGGGAGAAGTGGGGCTTTGAATTCGTGGCTCTCTAAGAGGACAAGAGGGGTGGGGCCTGAGTCCCAGAGGGTGGGCCTGGGGAAGCTGGATCCTGGAAGGTAGGAGAAAATAGGAATTTTCACTGAGTTTGAGTGGGAATGGAACTGACTATATATCTTACCCTTCCTCCTCTTTAACTGGGCTCCTCCCTCTAAATCTAGGCTGCTGTATTTATGAGAAACCTCGGGCCTTTGGCGAGAGCTCCACGGAAAGTGATGAGGAGGAAGAAGAGGGCTGTGGTCATACACACTGTGTACGTGGCCACCGCAAAGGACGGCGTCGTGCAACCCTAGGACCGACCCCCACCACCCCTCCCCAGCCTCCTGACCCTTCCCAGCCCCCTCCAGGGCCAATGCAGCACTAAATCCCTCTCTCCTCCAGCATTCCTGTGTCTGTCTGGCCCTAAATGTATCCATGTGGCTACTTCTCCAGCCCCCTCCTTCCCTCTCTTCTGCCTGATAGAGGGAAGAGGAAGAGGAGGACGAACAGAGATCCTGAAATTCTGACTTGCTGCTATTCCAGAACCCAGCCTCCTGGGTTTCCCCAGTCCTCATTTTTCCTCCCAATACCCACCCTTCTCTCTCGAGGGATCTAGGCACCTTGGTCCCAGTGTCTTCCTTTTGTTCTCACTGCCAAACTGCCTGTCCTGGGATCTAGTTATCTTGGCCCTGCACTCTCAACATGAGTAGCGAACACTTAAATTGGGTTTTCAACAGTCCCAGCTTTCACTGCCAGGGTCCCAGTCAGATTCCAGGAATTTGCGCCCTAACTTTGCTTGCTAATCCTGGTTTAGAGCTATCCCACTAAAATATTTAATCCTAATTCTTAGTCCTTGCCTGTGAGATATGAGGTCTTACAGGAGACCTCAGAGCTCCCAGCCCTTCTCCTCCTGCTAACCCTTCTCACACCCTCAAGAGGAGTTAGAAAAGAGGTCCTTGTTATTCTCACCTCTTATGGAAAATGGAACAAGAAATAATCATATCCTTTCTTCCCACCCTTCTCCTGTTATTTAGGATTTCTGACAAAGCTGGCTTGAGATTGGTCACTTAGAGCCGACTGTCTCCTCTGCCTTTTGTTTTTCAGCTTCAGAGACAGATCCAATATAGTCCCAGGGACCTGGGTCTCTGGGAGAGGAAGGAAGAGGGAGGGAGCAAAGAGATTGGGGTATGTCCCCTGTAGTACACTCTTTCCTCTTACTTCCTAGACTTTGATTTCTCCGGCAGCCCAGATGTTCAGTTCTCTTGGCCCCTCTCTACCCCTTACTGGGATCTGGTTTTCATTTTCCGGTCCTTTTGCCATACACAGTTACAGAGATCAGTCAAATCCATACCACCACTGAGATCTCATTTATTGCCACAGATGCACAAAATAAATAACCCAAAATCACAAAATGTGTTAAATATGGGCCCATTTATACTTATGGGGAAGGGTGTGAGACTATACACAAGGATGAGTTTGGAGATGTCTGAAGTATTCCCAGGTTGAGGAGGAGAGAGGGGAAATAGCACCATTGGTTCCTTTCCGTATGTGCGGGGAGAAGTTTCAAGAAGGTTCTTATGGAAAAAAGGCTGTGAGCATAGAAAGCAGTCATAGGAGGTTGGGGAACTAGCTTGTCCCTCCCCACCCCCAGATCCTGCAAAAGAGTACAAAGCTTCCCAGAGGGCCACAGGGCCCAGACCAGAGTCAAGCCTCTTGTTTTAGGAGAAACCTCAGTGGACAGGCAGGGTAGCCCAGTCCTTAGATCTGTGGGGAAGGCCCTGAGCCCTTCTGGAGCTAGGAGTGGCAAGAGTGGGAGTCAAGTATTTGACCAGCAGAGCCTCTATGTAGGAATCATGGTCACTTTACCAATACTGATGGGGAGGGCCTGTTCCCCATTGCAGGCCTAGAATGGTTTGAATGGGAGAAGTCAGGAAGTACTGTAGTAGCTGTAGGGGAGAGAAGATTCTGAGAGCCAGAAGGCAGGAATGGATTTGGTTTTGAGCAGGGATGTGGAAACGTGGAGACCAGGTGAGGTCTCATTATTTTGGGGCGAAAATGTGGGTTGCTATTAATACTCCTGCAATGGGCGTGTGAATGTGTTCCCAGAAATGAGTGGGGAATTCCACGCCCAAAAAGCAGCTGCAGGGCCAGTGGCCGGGCCAAACTTCTAGTTGGAGACGAGACTCAGCTTTCCGCTGGTACAATGCGGAGCGGAGCACGAGGGTCGCAGGTGCAGAACAGCGGGAAGATGCGCTCCCCCAGGGGGCCAGGCGCCTGGAAGGCGTAAAGCAGGTCGAGTGAGCGGCCGTCGTAGAAGGCCACGCGGCCCCGCTCCCAGTCCAGGTCCACGCGAATGCGCCGCGGCGGGGGCTCAACACCGCCCAGCAGGGTGGGCTCGGGTGCCGTGAGGGCCCACAGGCGGCCGCCGCGGCCCTCCACGGCCCACACGGCCCCCGCAGGGCACAGCCTTACGCAGCCCTTGCGTTGCACTGATTCCCCGGCCGCGCCCACTGCATAGTGGCTCTCCTCGTCGTCCTCATCCTCCCCAGAAGAGTCTCTGCAGGAGGCGGCGTCCGCAGTCTCCACCTCCCAGCAGTGGCGGCCGGCCCCGAAGCCCTGCGCACCCAGCACAGCTGGGAGCTGATCGAAGCGCTTGGGGCCGTCAGGGGGCGCGGGCGTCCCTGGTGGGGCCAGTTGTACGCTGCGGCGGTCGGTGGAGATGAGCAGGCGGCGGTGTGCGGTCCCAGGGTCCAGGGTCAGGTCGGCTGGAGACGGGGAGGTAGGGAGAGGACCTCATGAGAGAGTTTTCTAAATCACAGGCGGGGTAGGGTGGAGAATAGTCAACGAAGATCACGTAAAAGACTGAGAGCTAGTGACCACACAACAGCTCAAAAGGCGACTGCAGGACCAAAAAGAAGGAAGGCATATGAAGAGCAGGCCTGGGCAATATCAGACCTTTTACTGATGCACCACTTCTGTAGAATTGGACCTGGGGAAGGATCATACTGGCCCAGTGCAGGGAGCACAGCAGGAAGATCAAATGAGAGGATGTCTCGTTTGTGGGGTTGGGGGAGGAAGAGTGAGGCTGATCTGACTTCGAGGGAGGAGTAAGGACTGATACCTCAATCTGCATCATCTGGGATGGGGCATGGGAGCTGGGTCAGCAAAATGGGGAAGGTTCATCTAAAGAGAAAGTCATACTGATACTGGAACCTCAAGTAATGGGAGGGGCACAGGGAGGAATCCAAGGTATCCTGAGAAACCAGCCCACCCACCCACAGGAATTGGGGGGTGGGGTGGACAGGCCTATTTCTGTAGGGGTTGTGGGGCAGAGGAGGAGAGCAGGTGGTGATAGCCAGAGACCAGAAAAAGAACCATTGGCCTTATATGTATGGGGTGCTTTGAAGAAAAATTTCTGGATTAGGGGTGTCAGAAGCAATCTGGACTGGGCAAGATGGTGGATGACCAAGATGGTGGACCATCTTCTCTAGGCAGTTTAAAGAAGGGTAGAGGCACCCTTCTTCTTGGGAGTGAGTGAGGAAAGAAGGGTCAAGGAGATGCTGGGGTCCCCTTCCAGGGAGGAGTGACGAGAGGTGGTGGAAGCAGAGATTTTTGAGAGGCACCTAACCTTCAGGGATCTGTTGTTTGAATGTATGAAAAAGGAAGAGGGAAAATGGCTGGAATATGAGGAATCGAGGATAGACATTGTTATAGGCTGAACTGTGCCCTCCCCCACTCCACACACACACACAAAGATAGGTTGAAGTCCTCCAAACCTCAGAATGTTACCTTGTTTTGAAACAGGATCTTTACATAGGTAATCAAGTTAAAATGAAGGTCATTAGGGTGGGCTCTAATCCAGATTGCTGACTTACAAAAAGAGGAAATTTGGACACAGAGACAAATGCATACAAAAGAAAATGTGCAGACCTATCACCCAAAGAACATGTGAGGCTACCAGAGGCTAGGAGACAGGCATGGAACAGATTCTGTCTCATGGCCCTCAGAAGGAACCAACACTGCTGACACCTTGATTTCAGACTTCTACCTCCTGAACTTTGAGATAAATGTCTGTTGTTTCAGCCACCTACTTTGCGGTGCTTCATGAGAGCAGTACTAGGAAACTAATGCAGACATCAAAAAGGACCTGATCACTTTTTAGGGCTAAAAGGAAGAAAATCTAACACAGACTTTCATTCAATTCCCTTCCCTCCCTTCTTCTTTCCTTACCTGTCAGTCTATGAAGCATTTTTTTGACCACTGGATAATCTTCAGGGAGATCATCCTCTGAATTAGATGACTTGGGTGTTGGGACTTCAAATCTACACAGATGAGGGGAAGGGTCAGGAAATCAGCCCTCTGATCCTAATGCCCCCACGCATACCCCACTCACATCTCTGGAGGAAGAAGGGATGAGACTATACCCCAGAAAACCTGCCTATTAATGGGAACAAAGGTGTGGGCCCAGTGAGAACGTGATGGCTATGGCAGCTGGTGAGAAAAGGAGGGAACAGAAAAGTGGAACTCACCGTCTCCATGTCTTCCTCATATCCTAGGATGGGCAGAAACAAACATGGATGTGAGCTCTGGGCTTCATTCCCTGGGGCATCCTTCCCTATCTCTCCCCTCCTCAGGTGAGTTCTGTCTGAGTTAGCAGTGTCCCTCCTCACCTTTCAGAGTGATCTCACCTCTTTACACACTGTGCTCCTTTCCCTCTCATTCTCCTCCTTCACCTTTCATGATCCCTCCTTCCTCTCACCCCATCACTTTTCCCTCATCCTCCTAACTCCATCCCCACTGTCCTCCCCCTTTCCACTCCCCAAGGGTTCTCAATTCTCTTTTCCCAGGCTCGTCCATGACTGTTTCTTGTCCTCAGAGCCCTTGCCTTCCTTGCTGCCTCCTCAGTCCCATTCTCTGTCTCTTTCAGCGGCCCCATCCTTATCTACCTTCCCCAGTGCATCCCAGAAAAACATCTGTCCCTTCCTCCCTCCATCACACAGACCAAACACACACCCAGAGCCCTCGGGCTAAGAGTTGGTATATAAAAGCCTTACAATAAAGCTGCTTCCCCTCTTGCAATAAAAGCCCAGTGGCATTTATTGGGCCCTTTGCTTTGTGTCTCTGGACCCTGGCCAGGGAGGCAGCTAGACTTGAATGTGTCCCAAAAGGCCCAGCAGATCCACAGAGTACTATGGGAGCCAGGAGAGGGCACTGGATGCTCCCCTCCAAACACTGGGATACCGACCCCTCCACTTCACTGTCTAGTGCTGATGGCTGGAGCAGGCCGATATGGTGGAGCGGGGGAGAGAGAAACAATTTGCATAATTGTGCCAATTACTTTCAGACTAATTAGGTCTATGAAGACTTCAAAGGGCAGAAGCAAGACCCAAGACCAGCTTGGCTGCTGGGAAGAAGCCAGTCAGGAGTCCCAGACGCCCAGGGGTCGGTCGGGCAAGGGAATGGGCTGGTTAGTGGCCAAGGAGCCGGGGCCCAGGAGAGGCGCGGGGGGTAGATGGGTGGTAAGACTGGGATGTGGAGAGGAGCCAGAGGCCCCAGCGGCTGTTCTCCCGCACCTCGCCTCCACCCCTGGCCGCTCCTGCCTGGGGCCTTGGGAGGAGCCGAAATAACAATAACAAACAACACAGAGCTTAGCTTGAGCCAGAGTCCGAGACCAACCCCCACGACGCTACGGGGAGGTTTGGATATGCCCCAACCCCTTGCTCCCTTCCTCCATCCTCTTGTCAGTCCCCTCCTCCCCAGCTTTTTCTCCGCCCCCAACCCACCAGCCCAGCCTCCTGCTCCCGCTCCTCTAAGCAGGTTCTGCCCTCGCCCACCATCCTCCCAGGACCCCTCCTCACCCTCAGCTGGGTCGGCTCTCCCTTCCGCCCGCCGCTCCCTCCCCTCCGCCAGCTCTCCTCCTCCCGGGCGCCTGCGGCTGCCCTGCCAAAACTTCTGCAGTTCCCACGCCCTTCGCGGCGACTCCAGGGCTCTCCGCGTTCTATCCGGTACCCCTTCTCTGCCTCCCCAGTCTCTTCTCTCCAGCCCCTCTCACAAGGCTCAGGCATCGGTCCAGCCTCCTCCCCTGTGGACCAAGTGTCAACTCCATCCATCGTCCTTCCGGGCGCCTCTCACCTTGAGGACCCAGGGTCCTCGCCCCCTCATCCTTTGCTTTTCTCTCCCCACCCCATCCTTTGCCTAAACTTCCACAGGGCCTCCGGCTCCAGACGTGCCATTCCCGGCTTCCCCGGGAACCTCCCGCTTCCACCAACAACTCCGCGACGCGCGCCCAGCCTCACCTCTCCGGGCAGGTCCAGGCAGCCCATGGTGGGGATGCGCCCCCCTCGGCGTCTCCCCGCACGGGCCCCAGGCTCAGCCAGCTTCTCTCGCAGCTCGCGGCTGATTCGCACCTCCACCGCCAGCCGCACATTAGACCTCAGGCTGCGGCGGGGACACGGCAGGCCGCAGCACGGACAGGCGGTGGGGGAAGCCTCGGTGCCGGTCGCCGGCGGAGTCCCCCAGCGGCGGGCCAGACACGCGCGGCAGAAGCTGTGCTCGCACGCCAGAAGCACCGGGTCCTCGAAGGAGCCCCCGCACAGAGGACACGTCGCCAGCTGCTCCAGACGCTCCACCAGCCCCGGGCCCAGCTCGGGCGCATCCATGGAAAGCCAGGATCTGGACGCCGCCCCTTCCGCGACCACCGTGACCGCCTTCGAGCGCGCAGATGGCGGGCCGCCCCTGCTGCTTGCTGTGTAGATGCCCTTCTCTCCGACTCCCGCATTAACTTTTGCCGCTTTCCGCCCCTCTCCTGGGATTGCCTCTCTCTTCAACCAGAGTCTCAGTCTCGTCAAATCTCTCCACCACATCAGGCTTTATAGGGAGGGAGGAGGCTCCCACGGGAGGTAAACACCAGGCCTTGCGTAACGCCTCATCTGGTTCTCCTGCTTCCCGGGTAAGGTTTGGGGGAGCAGGGAGGGGAGAATAGCACACCTGGTTCCCAGAGCCTAGGAGGCGGTCACTAGAGGGCGCTCTGGGGCGGGGTAGCCCTGTGTGGGGAGGGTAGTCCCCTGTGACCCCCCGAAGAGCCCCAATTTTACCTTCCCCTCCGCCTGTGGTACGCGCATGGGCCGGGTGCCCAGGCTCACTCTTGGCATGTGCGCCCACATTGCCAAGGTGCGAGTCATTCCAGGTGGCTGGCACACCTACATCTGGGGGCTGGGGGCCGGAAGCACAGATCCTGGTTTGTGTGGCTTTGGCAAGCCTCTGAGTGTTGTGTGGTTTTCATTCCCGGTGCCTCTCGCCTTTCCATCTTCCTTCCTTACCTATTAAGGGCTTAAGGGCATTCTGCAGCTCTGGGGTAAGGGGTGGGGAGCAGGCGCCCACACTTCGGCCTCAGGGAGTCGGGGCAGAGCTCTTTCAGCTCTACCTCTGGCCAGCTCCCAGGGCCTCTCCTTACTTTCTTCGTAAGTCTCTCTTTCTGGTTCTTTCTCTCTGTTTTTCCCCGTGTGTGATTTTATTACCAGTTTTCTCTTTCCTTCCTTCTTTGGAATGTACCCGGTATTATCTATTTCAACTCTGGTAGTTCACAGAGGCCCAGAGAACTGGAATAGCCAAGGTCACATAGCAAGGGAATGACCAGAAGTGGAGCCCTACCCTGGTCTTCTGACTTGTGTTCTTGCTGTGACTCAACCCTGCCTTTTTCAGTTGCAGATCCCTGGGACCCCCTCCTGCTTCCTGATTTTTTTCTGGTGTTCCTTTGTGCCTTCATTCCTCACCTCCATTCTCTCTTTTTCTCCTTACCTGCTCCTCTCCCCACCTCTCCTCTTCCTCCCTGCTCCCTCCTCTTCCTAGCTTCTCTACCCTTCCAATGCCAGGCCTAGCTAACTGGATACTCATGGGGGTTTGTGCATAAGTAAACATCCAGATGTCTACAACTATGATCACCCACACTGTTATATAACATGTGTCTGCATCCATCAGTGTCCAAATGCCCAAATGTGCACAAACTTGCAGACAGAAGCATTCATGTAATACAAACATCACAGCTAAATATAATGTGTATGAATAGCCTCATATGCATTGAATATCACTGGGATAAATGTCCAGTATTATTTAGGAACAGATGGACATGCTCAAAGAAAACAGGCAAAGAGACAGATACTCTATCATCAGTTTTATTATTAATAAGAATAACAGTATAACAGCAGTAAATCTTTATGGAGCAGCAGGACTTTATTAGGCACCCCCTCCAGGCACTCTTCTTCTGCCTCCCCCATACTTATCGGGGAGACACTCAAATATGACACCCTGATAAACAAACCTACACAAACAAACACACGTACATTCATCTTGGAACAACCCTCCCGGCTCAGTGCTCATAAAACACACAGATACCCAAGCATAAGACTACAGTTGTGACTGAAATCTATTTTGTAAAAGATGCACTTCTATGCTCTGATAGGTAGCATAGAGAGATAGCAGCATGAGAAGTGATCGGCCTGACATTGCTGGCTTTGGAGACTGAGGCAGGAAGCCACAAGCTAAGGAAGTGGGTAACCTCTGGAAGCTGCAAAAGACGAGGGAATGGATTCTCTAGCAGACCATTCAGAAGGAACCTAGCACTGCTGACACCTTAATTTTTGCCCAGTAAGACCCATTTCAGACTCTGAACTACAGAATAATAAAGTAACAAATGTGTATTGTTTCAAGCTCCTAAGTTTGTGGTAATTTGTTACAGTATCAATAGGAAACTAATACACAAGATTGCCTTTTCTCCTCCAGTCTCTGACTCTCTGAGTCTGTTTGCACTTCTGTGTTGTTGCACCTTCCAGTTTGTCATATTTTCTGGATGTCTCTGCCTCTCTTGACCTTCTTTTCAGTCTCATGTTATCTCTTTTCCTTCATTGTCCTGGCTTATCCCCAACTCCAAGGCCTCTCAGGATCTTTTTGGATCTGGGCTTGAAGTACTGGAGAAATGTCTCTGAGACTCCTCAAGAACCTCAATTGTCACCAATCCAAGTGCCTTGCCATGGCCCTCATGGGCTTGTCAGCGGTTAACAGCTTCAGTTGCACATTAGAATTATCTGGGAAACTTTAAAACTCCTGATGCCCAAGTGACACCTCAGACCAATTAAACGGACACTCTGGGGGTGGGTCCCAGGTGTCAGTACTTTTAAAAGCTTTCCAGATGGTTGCAGTGTTTAGCTAACAGGAGAACCATGGTCTTGAATGACGGCTGTTCATGTGGGCTGGTCGCTCCATTTTGCTCCTTGTGCTCTGGCTGCAGTGCCTTCTACTTCTCGTTCCCCGAGCCACTGCTGGTGCGGCTGCACCGCCTTTGCACTCACTGTTCCCTCTGCCTGGGCCCCTGCTCCTCCAGAGCTTCACATGGCTTTCTCCATTTTCTCACTCATGTCTCAACCCAAAGGTAACATTCAGAGAGGACTTCTTTTACCACTTGTATCTCAAGTGGTCTTTCTCAAAGGTATTCACTATCTCTTTACCCATATTTATTATCTTCATGCTATTTATTACTGTCTGCAATGATCTATTTATGGACTTTTGATGTGTCTCTGTCCAATAGAAGGTGAGTGAACAGGGACCTAACCTTCATGTTTGCTGCTGCTTTCCCTGCACCTAGAATAGCACCTGGCACACAGTGAGCCTTAATAAACTTAGGTCCAGTTGTTGAATTGCTCATTACACTGATTGGACAACCTGAGAGGGTCATTTGATTGACTCTGCTTAGACCTTCTTATCCTTCTCAACCAATAGTCATGCCTCACTGGCAGATGCCAGGCATAGTGCTGGGAAACGCTCATGTGTTGTAAGACATACGGTGCTCAGTCTGGCTAGGAAGTTCATGACTAGTTGTCATTTGCCTTCCATAACCAGATGGTGAGGATTCCTGCTAACAAAGCATCAGCTCAACCTTTACGTCCAGGTTACAATGAGTTCATACCTAATGGTTCCAGGACACCAGTAAGGGAAAAGGCATTTGGAGACAGACTCTGCCTGGAAACATCTCACTTCTCAAGACCTTCTCCCTACCTTTCCAGAATCCCTAACAACTCTATACTTGATGCTCTAATCACCACTGAGTTCATTCTATTTCCAGAGAGCCAGAAGGGTGGATGTGATTTTACGTGTGTCAGCTTGGCTTGGCTTGATCCAGTTGACCATGACGGGATCCTGTCTCTCTGCTAGGATCCACATCTTCCTTCCTTAATGTAGGTGTCTCCTAAATAACTGTTCCCACCCCTTTCCAACTCCTTCCAGGTTTCCTACTTGTGGTGTTGTGGAGTGTGACAGCTTGATACCCATGCATGGCACTAGGGAATGTCAGAGGTGGGACAGGCCTTGACCCATCCCTTCTTTTCCTTCTCTTCATTTTTTTCTTCTATCCTTTCATTTATCCTTCAGTCTCTCTCCTCCATATTAGCAACATCCTCATGCTTTTAAAAGCCCCACTAGTCTTTAGAAGCTTTCCAGAGGGAGAGATAAGTATGATAGAGGAGTTTGGGAGACTGATCACAGGACAGTCATGGTCCCTGCCCTTAGGAAGTGTGATAAGGCAGGTAAAGTGTATCCATCATCAACAAAATTTAGCATTACTGAATTAGGGTGTGTAAGAAGGCAGATAAAGTGTATCCATCATCAACCTAAATCTGTCATTACCAAATTTTAAAGGTGCAGTGACGGGGGAAGAGTGAGGGAGGATTCTGTTGACAGATTGAAGGACAAGTGGGAATCATTTCAGGAAGTCTTCCAGGAGGAGGTGACCTGTAAAAGAAGTGAAGTTTGTGTTGACTGGAAGAGAAGTGAAAAGGCCTGAACAAAGAATGTGAAGCATCTCTGGGGAGAAAACTGGATTGGGAAAAGAAGGGCTAGGAGGTAAGAAATCAAAATGAAGGAGACCATAATTCTTTCTCAATTCCCACTCACTATGCCCTTCCCAAAGATTTTCTTCAATCTTGATTGTTTCTATAATGACTCATTTTTTTAAGGACTTGGATGTTTACACTGTGCTTTAACATAGCTGGAAATTCTATTAGACCAGAGCAGTTTTCCTATGCAACTACTCCAAGGACTCTGAGTAAAACTTGCCCTGATGGGGGAGGCAGTTTTAGGAGGAGTGGCTTGAGGCAGGGATAGAGGAAGAATATCCAGCCAGATTAATCCAATCAATCTTGATACTCAAATACATGACTATGTTATAGAAATGTCACCTTCATAGTCCATTCTCTCATTTAACCCTATAACAGCCGTGAGGCCAAGTCCAGCCATGTTACACTGAGGCCCCTGGGATTCTGGCATGGTAAGGGATTTGACTAGGCTCAAACAGCCGGCAGGAGGCAGAGCCAGGACTGAAATTCAAACCTGCTGGCTCCAAAGTCTATATTCTTTTCCTTAAATATTAATTTCTTTCTTTTGAGACTTTACTTTCTCTTTTCTGTCCCTCCTGGAAGGCTCCTTCCTTTCTCTCCCTTTAAATCCCTGCTTAGGGCTAACAGTTTCTCTGAAATGTTGCCCATCCTTCAAGTTCATGTAGGTGCTCACTTATTCTCTTTCCTTCCAACAACCCACCTATCAATGTCACTATTATTTCTATCCATCATTTAAATTCTCCCCTAAATGTTCACTATTTGTCTTCTCAGTTTTCTTATTTATTTATTTATTTATTATTATTATACTTTAAGTTTTAGGGTACATGTGCACAATGTGCAGGTTAGTTACATATGTATACACGTGCCATGCTGGTGCGCTGCACCCACTAACTCGTCATCTAGCATTAGGTATACCTCCCAATGCTATCCCTCCCCCCTGCCCTCACCCCACAACAGTCCCCAGAGTGTGATGTTCCCCTTCCTGTGTCCACGTGTTCTCATTGTTCAATTCCCACCTATGAGTGAGAATATGCGGTGTTTGGTTTTTTGTTCTTACGATAGTTTACTGAGAATGATGATTTCCAATTTCATTCATGTCCCTACAAAGGACATGAACTCATCATTTTTTATGACTGCATAGTATTCCATGGTGTATATGTGCCACATTTTCTTAATCCAGTCTATCATTGTTGGACATTTGGGTTGGTTCCAAGTCTTTGCTATTGTGAATAATGCCACAATAAACATACGTGTGCATGTGTCTTTATAGCAGCATGATTTATAGTCCTCTGGGTATATAACCAGTAATGGGATGGCTGGGTCAAATGGTATTTCTAGTTCTAGATCCCTGAGGAATCGCCACACTGACTTCCACAATGGTTGAACTAGTTTACAGTCCCACCAACAGTGTAAAAGTGTTCCTATTTCTCCACATCCTCTCCAGCACCTGTTGTTTCCTGACTTTTTAATGATTGCCATTCTAACTGGTGTGAGATGGTATCTCATTGTGGTTTTGATTTGCATTTCTCTGATGGCCAGTGATGGTGAGCATTTTTTCATGTGTTTTTTGGCTGCATAAATGTCTTCTTTTGAGACGTGTCTGTTCATGTCCTTCGCCCATTTTTTGATGGGGTTGTTTGTTTTTTTCTTGTAAATTTGTTTGAGTTCATTGTAGATTCTGGATATTAGCCCTTTGTCAGATGAGTAGGTTGCGAAAATTTTCTCCCATTTTGTAGGTTGCCTATTCACTCTGATGGTAGTTTCTTTTGCTGTGCAGAAGCTCTTTAGTTTAATTAGATCCCATTTGCCAATTTTGGCTTTTGTTGCCATTGCTTTTGGTGTTTTAGACATGAAGTCCTTGCCCATGCCTATGTCCTGAATGGTAATGCCTAGGTTTTCTTCTAGGGTTTGTATGGTTTTAGGTCTAACATTTAAGTCTTTAATCCATCTTGAATTAATTTTTGTATAAGGTGTAAGGAAGGGATCCAGTTTCAGCTTTCTACATATGGCTAGCCAGTTTTCCCAGCACCATTTATTAAATAGGGAATCCTTTCCCCATTGCTTGTTTTTCTCAGGTTTGTCAAAGATCAGATACTTGTAGATATGCGGCCTTATTTCTGAGGGCTCTGTTCTGTTCCATTGATCTATATCTCTGTTTTGGCACCAGTACCATGCTGTTTTGGTTACTGTAGCCTTGTAGTATAGTTTGAAGTCAGGTAACGTGATGCCTCCAGCTTTGTTCTTTTGGCTTAGGATAGACTTGACGATGCGGGCTCTTTTTTGGTTCCACATGAACTTTAAAGTAGTTTTTTCCAATTCTGTGAAGAAAGTCATTGGTAGCTTGATGGGGATAGCATTGAATCTGTAAATTACCTTGGGCAGTATGGCCATTTTCACGATATTGATTCTTCCTACCCATGAGCGTGGAATGTTCTTCCATTTGTTTGTATCCTCTTTTATTTCCTTGAGCAGTGGTTTGTAGTTCTCCTTGAAGAGGTCCTTCACATCCCTTATAAGTTGGATTCCTAGGTATTTTATTCTCTTTGAAGCAATTGTGAATGGGAGTTCACTCATGATTTGGCTCTCTGTTTGTCTGTTGTTGGTGTATAAGAATGCTTGTGACTTTTGTACGTTGATTTTGTATCCTGAGACTTTGCTGAAGTTGCTTATCAGCTTAAGGAGATTTTGGGCTGAGACAATGGGGTTTTCTAGATATACAATCATGTTGTCTGCAAACAGAAACAATTTGACTTCCTCTTTTCCTAATTGAATACCCTTTATTTCCTTCTCCTGACTAATTGCCATGGCCAAACTTCCAACACTATGTTGAATAGGAGTGGTGAGAGAGGGCATCCCTGTCTTGTGCCAGTTTTCAAAGGGAATGCTTCCAGTTTTTGCCCATTCAGTATGATATTGGCTGTGGGTTTGTCATAGATAGCTCTTATTATTTTGAAATACATCCCATCAATACCTAATTTATTGAGAGTTTTTAGCATGAAGCGTTGTTGAATTTTGTCAAAGGCCTTTTCTGCATCTATTGAGATAATCATGTGGTTTTTGTCTTTGATTCTGTTTATATGCTGGATTACATTTATTGATTTGTGTATATTGAACCAGCCTTGCATCCCAGGGATGAAGCCCACTTGATCATGGTGGATAAGCTTTTTGATGTGCTGCTGGATTCGGTTTGCCAGTATTTTATTGAGGATTTTTGCATCAATGTTCATCAAGGATATTGGTCTAAAATTCTCTTTTTTGGTTGTGTCTCTGCCCAGCTTTGGTATCAGGATGATGCTGGCCTCATAAAATGAGTTAGGGAAGATTCCCTCTTTTTCTATTGTTTGGAATAGTTTCAGAAGGAATGGTACCAGTTCCTCCTTGTACCTCTGGTAGAATTCGGCTGTGAATCCATCTGGTCCTGGACTCTTTTTGGTTGGTAAGCTATTGATTATTGCCACAATTTCAGATCCTGTTATTGGTCTATTCAGAGATTCAACTTCTTCCTGGTTTAGTCTTGGGAGAGTGTATGTGTCAAGGAATTTATCCATTTCTTCTAGATTTTCTAGTTTATTTGCATAGAGGTGTTTGTAGTATTCTCTGATGGTAGTTTCTGTTTCTGTGGGATCGGTGATGATATCCCCTTTATCATTTTTTATTGTGTCTATTTGATTCTTCTCTCTTTTTTCTTTATTAGTCTTGCTAGCGGTTTATCAATTTTGTTGATCCTTTCAAAAAACCAGCTCCTGGATTCATTAATTTTTTGAAGGGTTTTTTTGTGTCTCTATTTCCTTCAATTCTGCTCTGATTTTAGTTATTTCTTGCCTTCTGCTAGCTTTTGAATGTGTTTGCTCTTGCTTTTCTAGTTCTTTTAATTGTGATTATAGGGTGTCAATTTTAGATCTTTCCTGCTTTCTCTTGTGGGCATTTAGTGCTATAAATTTCCCTCTACACACTGCTTTGAATGCGTCCCAGAGATTCTAGTATGTTGTGTCTTTGTTCTCGTTGGTTTCAAAGAACATCTTTATTTCTGCCTTCATTTCGTTATGTACCCAGTAGTCATTCAGGAGCAGGTTGTTCAGTTTCCATGTAGTTGAGCGGTTTTGAGTGAGATTCTTAATCCTGAGTTCTAGTTTGATTGAACTGTGGTCTGAGAGATAGTTTGTTATAATTTCTGTTCTTTTACATTTGCTGAGGAGAGCTTTACTTTCAAGTATGTGGTCAATTTTGGAATAGGTGTGGTGTGGTGCTGAAAAAAATGTATATTCTGTTGATTTGGGGTGGAGAGTTCTGTAGATGTCTATTAGGTCTGCTTGGTGCAGAGCTGAGTTCAATTCCTGGGTATCCTTGTTGACTTTCTGTCTTGTTGATCTGTCTAATGTTGACAGTGGGGTGTTAAAGTCTCCCATTATTAATGCGTGGGAATCTAAGTCTCTTTGTAGGTCACTCAGGACTTGCTTTATGAATCTGGGTGCTCCTGTATTGGGTGCATATATATTTGGGATAGTTAGCTCTTCTTGTTGAATTGATCCCTTTACCATTATGTAATGGCCTTCTTTGTCTCTTTTGATCTTTATTGGTTTAAAGTCTGTTTTATCAGAGACTAGGATTGCAACCCCTGCCTTTTTTTGTTTTCCATTTGCTTGGTAGATCTTCCTCCATCCTTTTATTTTGAGCCTATGTGTGTCTCTGCACGTGAAATGGGTTTCCTGAATACAGCACACTGATGGGTCTTGACTCTTTATCCAATTTGCCAGTCTGTGTCTTTTAATTGGAGCATTTAGTCCATTTACATTTAAAGTTAATATTGTTATGTGTGAATTTGATCCTGTCATTATGATGTTAGCTGGTTATTTTGCTCGTTAGTTGATGCAGTTTCTTCCTAGTCTCAATGGTCTTTACATTTTGGCATGATTTTGCAGCGGCTGGTACTGGTTGTTCCTTTCCATGTTTAGTGCGTCCTTCAGGAGCTCTTTTAGGGCAGGCCTGGTGGTGACAAAATCTCTCAGCATTTGCTTGTCTGTAAAGGATTTTATTTCTCCTTCACTTATGAAGCTTAGTTTGGCTGGATATGAAATTCTGGGTTGAAAATTCTTTTCTTTAAGAATGTTGAATATTGACCCCCACTCTCTTCTGGCTTGTAGAGTTTCTGCCGAGAGATCCGCTGTTAGTCTGATGGGCTTCCCTTTGAGGGTAACCCGACCTTTCTCTCTGGCTGTTCTTAACATTTTTTCCTTCATTTCAACTTTGGTGAATCTGACAATTACGTGTCTTGGAGTTGCTCTTCTCGAGGAGTATCTTTGTGGCGTTCTCTGTATTTCCTGAATCTGAATGTTGGCCTGCCTTGCTAGATTGGGGAAGTTCTCCTGGATAATATCCTGCAGAGTGTTTTCCAACTTGGTTCCATTCTCCCCGTCACTTTCAGGTACACCAATCAGATGTAGATTTGGTCTTTTCACATAGTCCCATATTTCTTGGAGGCTTTGCTCGTTTCTTTTTATTCCTTTTTCTCTAAACTTCCCTTCTCGCTTCATTTCATTCATTTCATCTTCCATCGCTGATACCCTTTCTTCCAGTTGATCGCATCAGCTCCTGAGGCTTCTACATTCTTCACGTAGTTCTCGAGCCTTGGTTTTCAGCTCCATCAGCTCCTTTAAGCACTTCTCTCTATTGGTTATTCTAGTTATTCATTCTTCTAAATTCTTTTCAAAGTTTTCAACTTCTTTGCCTTTGGTTTGAATGTCCTCCCATAGTTCGGAGTAATTTGATCGTCTGAAGCCTTCTTCTCTCAGCTCGTCAAAGTCATTCTCCGTCCAGCTTTGTTCCATTCCTGGTGAGGAACTGCATTCCTTTGGAGGAGGAGAGGAGCTCTGCTTTTTAGAGTTTCCAGTTTTTCTGCTCTGTTTTTTCCCCATCTTTGTGGTTTTATCTACTTTTGGTCTTTGACGATGGTGATGTACAGATGGGTTTTTTGTGTGGATGTCCTTTCTGTTTGTTAGTTTTCCTTCTAACAGACAGGACCCTCAGCTGCAGGTCTGTTAGAGTACCCGGCCGTGTGAAGTGTCAGTCTGCCCCTGCTGGGGGGTGCCTCCCAGTTAGGCTGCTCGGGGGTCAGGGGTCAGGGACCCACTTGAGGAGGCAGTCTGCCCGTTCTCAGATCTCCAGCTGCGTGCTGGGAGAACCACTGCTCTCTTCAAAGCTGTCAGACAGGGACATTTAAGTCTGCAGAGGTTACTGCTGTCTTTTTGTTTGTCTGTGCCCTGCCCCCAGAGGTGGAGCCTACAGAGGCAGGCAGGCCTCCTTGAGCTGTGGTGGGCTCCACCCAGTTCGAGCTTCCCGGCTGCTTTGTTTACCTCAGCAAGCCTGGGCAATGGCGGGCGCCCCTCCTCCAGCCTTGCTGCCACCTTGCAGTTTGATCTCAGACTGCTGTGCTAGCAATCAGCAAGACTCTGTGGGCGTAGGACCCTCTGAGCCAAGTGCGGGATATAATCTCCTGGTGCGCCGTTTTTTAAGCCCGTCGGAAAAGCGCAGTATTCGGGTGAGAGTGACCCGATTTTCCAGGTGCCCTCTGTCACCCCTTTCTTTGACTAGGAAAGGGAACTCCCTGACCCCTTGTGCTTCCTGAGTGAGGCAATGCCTCGCCCTGCTTCGGCTCACGCACGGTGCGCGCACCCACTGACCTGTGCCCACTGTCTGGCACTCCCTAGTGAGATGAACCCGGTACCTCAGATGGAAATGCAGAAATCACCTGTCTTCTGCGTTGCTCACGCTGGGAGCTGTAGACCGGAGCTGTTCCTATTTGGCCATCTTGGCTCCTCCCCCCATCTTCTCAGTTTTCTCAAGGCCTTCTTGTTCTCCAAGCCCTTAGCAGTTTCCATTTTTTTTGTTTGTTTGTTTGTTTGTGACAGAGTCTCGCTCTGTCACCAGGCTGGAGTGCAGTGGCATGAGCTCAGTTCACTACAACCTCTGCCTCCTGGGTTCAAGCGATTCTCCTAGCTTAGCCTCCCAAGTAGCTGGGACTACAGGCACATGCCACCACACCCAGCTAATTTTTGTATTTTTAGTAGAGATGGGGTTTTGTCATGTTTGCCAGGCTGGTCTTGAACTCCTTACCTCAGGTGATCTGCCTGCTTCAGCCTACCAAAGTGCTAGGATTACAGATGTGAGCCACCGCACCTGGCCAGCAGTTTCCTTTTAAGAGCTGTGCATTCATTCATCCAT